>NC_000007.14:44179635-44482666 GCF_000001405.40 Homo sapiens | reverse complement strand
GATTTCTTCTGTTGAGTGTTGAGTTTTGTTCTTGCAGGCAATTAATTTATTTGCTGATCAGAATGATCTTTTTGAAGCTTGTTTTTTATTTGTATTGATTGATCAATTGATTGTAGAGATGGAGTCTTAATATGTTACCCAGGCTAATCTCGAACTCCTGGTCCCAAATGATCTTCCCACCTTTGCTTACCAAAGTGCTGGGATTATAGGTGTGCACCAATGTGTCTGGCCTTGTTTTTCAGCTTTGTTAAGCTGTATCTAGGGTACTTTTATTTTAAAGCTAGCTTAGTCTTCTAAGACATGCCTTTTTGGGGCTTCTGAGTGCTCCAGCTGTTAGTGAGGTCTTTCCATTCTGACTGGTTGAGGCTTGAACGTCTCCCAGCTCTAGGGATTGTCCATGTCAGTTACCCAGGTTTCCTACTTGTCTCATGGAGTTGCACTTTACACATGTGCAGTTTTGTATTCAGCCAAAGACTCAAGGGGATCCTATGAGGTTTTTTGGAGTTCTTTCTATGCGCAGCCTCCTTACTAGTAGTCTTTCTGTAAAATAATCAGATGTAAGAATGAAGATTTAATATACAAAGTTGTTTGTCATAGTCCACTTAGGCTGCTATAACAAAATAATATAGCCTGGGTGGCTTATAGACTACATAAATTTATTGCTCACAGTTCTGGATACTGGAAGTCTAAGGTCAAGGTACTGGCAGATTCAGTGTCTGGTGAGGGCCCACATTCTGATTCGTAGTTACCTTGCTGTGTCCTCAAATGGTGGAAGAGGTGAGAGAACTCTCTCAAATCTTTTATGAGGGCACTAATTCCAGTCATGAAGGCAGAGCCCTGATCACCTCCCAAAGTACTCATCCCAATATCTTGGGATTAAGATTTACCGTAGGAATTTTGGGACACAAACATTCAGTCTATAGCATTGTTCACTTCAGTTCTATTTATTCCAACATTACTTATATTAGCAAAATTTTGGAAGAATGCTGAATTTCTGTAGTAAGGGAATGGAGAAATACATTTATAAAATGCTTTTAAAGACTACTGACATGGTTATTGTGATGGTCAGTTTCATTTGTCAGTTTGGCTAAGTTACAGTCCTGGTTATTCAGTCAAACACTCATCTTGGCATGGCTGTCAAGGTATTTTGTGGATGTGATGCAAGTTAATAATTGGTTGACTTTAAGTAAGGGTGATTGTCCTAGGTGATCTGAGTGGGCCTGATCTATCAGCTGAAAGCCTGAAGAGCGCAGCAGAGCTCCCCTGAAGTAGAAGAAATTTCTCCGATGGACAGCAGCTGCACTCAGTTTCTGGAGAGTTCCACATTGGCCTGCTATGTGGATTTCAGACTGGCCTAGCCAGCCCCCACAATCATGTAAGCCAATTTCTTGCAGTAACTCTCTTAATAAATACACTTATCCCTTGGTATCTGCAGGGGATTGGTTCCTGGTCCCTCGTGGATACCAAAATTCATGGATGTCTAGGTCTCTTATATAAAACAGTATAATATTTGTGTATAACCTATGCACATTCTCCCATAGACTTTAAATTATGTCTAGATTACTTACAATCCCTAATACAATGTAAATGCTATGTAAATAGTTGTTACACTGTATTATTTGGGGAATAATGACAAGAAGTTTGTACATGTTCAGCACAGACAAAACAATCCATTTTTTTTTTTTTTCAAATTTTTGGATTTTTTTTTTTTTTTTTTTTTTTTTTGATACTGGGTCTTGCTCTGTTGCCCATACTGGAATGCAGTGACATGATCTTGGCTCACTGCAGCCTCTGCCTTCTGAGCTCAAGCGAGCCTCCCACCTCAGCCTCCCAAGTAGCTGGGACTACAGGCGTGCACCACCTTGCCCAGCTGATTTTTGTATTTTTTGTAGAGATAGGGTCTTACCATGTTGCCCAGGCTGGTGTCGAACTGGTGAGCTCAAGTGATCCACTCGCCTCAGCCTCGTAAAGTGCTGGGATTATAGGTGTGAGGCACCATGCCTGGCCATTTTTTGGGAATATTTTTGATCCTCAGCAAATATTTTGGTAAATATTTTTTGGGAATATTTTGATTTGGGCTATGGAACCCATGGATAGCGAGGGCTGACTATATCTGCTGCTTCTGTTTCTTTGGTGGAACCTTGACTTATACAGATATTTTCATGATATAATGTTAAGTGAGAAGGGGAGAATTCAAACTATATAGTCTAATATCAAATTTGAAAACTTTAAAAATTATGTATGTAGAAAAAAAGCTGGAAGAAAATAGTAGTAGTAATCACAGAGTGGTGGAATTGTGAGTGTTCTTCATTTTTATCTTTGTCCCTTACTATATTTTCTAATTTTTCTGTAATGACCATTTATTTTGTTTTATTAATTTTTTTGTATTCCTTTTATGATCTCTAAAAAATGAAAGGAGGGTATTGGTTTTGATTTCTGAGTAATAGACTAGAATAGCTACTTTGTTGTTTTGTAGAGACCCTATTTTAAAATTCTTGAACCAGTGAATTTTGTTCTGGGTTAGAATTAGAGTTAGTTTTGTGAGTTCTACCTTAAAAATAAGTATAGAGTGAAGACTTGGATATGTTTCAGGAAAGCTAACCTTTCTACTTGGTAGCTCTTTGTTCAGAATAGACTGGTACCGCAAGAATCCTAATCAAACCTTTCCAAGGACTGGAACATTCTCAGCTTCAGTTACTTGTTTTCCTTGAACAAAACAGGAAGTTGTGGCACCGATCTCTAGTTATACCTGAAATGTAGTGTTTTAGCAGATTTGAAAATAGAATGTGAAAGACCATCCTTTTCCTTGTTCTACCTTTAGCTGCACCCCAAGTCCTCCCACCAGTGTTCAGGATGGTTTATCCTATAAATTATAGATCTGCAGTTCTTTTAATTGAGTAATTTAAGGTAGTTATTCTGTAGAAGACCACACAGAAGCACCATCTTTTGTGAGCACTCTGTCTAAAATCTGAGAATCTAAGTCTTAGATTGCTGATATCTGATGACTCTTACTTGACATGTTTTTCGGTTCTAACCAGTATTAGGCAAAAACTCCCTTTTTGTATACTACAGTAAAGTCACATCACATGCTTATTTAATTTAAATAAATTCAGTGTAAGTGCTGGGAAAGAAAGAAACAAGATTAAAAATAATGTATTTATATTTTGTATATATGTATTTTGAATTTTATTTTTTTAGAGACAGGATCTTGCTGTGTTTTTCAGGCTGAACTCGAACTTCTGGGCTCAAGTACTCCTCCTGCCTCTATATATGCATTTTTGTTGTAAGGTGTTCATTACTGTATACAGACAATTGTTTTGTGTTTTAGTAAAGTATAATTTATGTAACAATACAATTCATTCCTTTTAGAATACAGTTTATGACTTTGGACAAATGTAGTCTTGTAACCACCACAGTCAAGATAGATGACCAGTATGGTTTGGCTGTGTCCCCACCCAAATCTCATCTTGAATTGCAGTTCCCATAATCCTCACATGTCATGGGAGGGACCCGGTGGGAGGCAGTGAATCATGGGGGCAGTTATATCCATGTGGTTCTCGTGATAGTGAGTTCTCATAGACGGTTTTATAAGGGACTTTTCCCGCTTTGCTTGGCACGTCTTCCTGCTGGTATGTGAAGAAGGATGTGTTTACTTCCCCTTCTGTCATGATTGTAAGTTTTCTGAGGCCTCCCCAGCCATGCTGAACTGCGAGTCAATTAAACCTCTTTTCTTTATAAATTACCCCATCTTGGGTATGTCCTTATAGCAGCATGAGAATGGACTAATACAATGACATTTCCATTGGTGCCAGACTCCCAGATCCTGGCAACCTTGTGCCTGTGTTCTGCCCTAAAGCTGTTGCAGCATACATTGTTATTTATACATAATAATGTACAGGTTTCATTTATAGTATTTTTGGGGTGATTTGGGGGAAATTTTATTTTGACCTAATTTTACCATCACTCTGATTTTAGCATCTCCCTGACTAATAACCTACAATTGGTCTGAATTTCATTCTTGTTTCTGCCCTACTGTTGCTGCCAGGGCATGTCAAATGAAGATCAGAAATGCCCCCACCCCAGGGCTTAAAGGAACCTATCTTTTTCTTTTTTTAGACGGAGTTTTGCTCTTGTTGCCCAGGCTGGAGTGCAATGGCATGATCTCGGCTTACTGCAACTTCCACCTCCCAGGTTCAAGCGATTCTCCTGCCTTAGCCTTGCAAGTAGCTGGGAGTGCAGGTGCCTGCCACCATGCCTGGCTAATTTTTGTATTTTTTTAGTAGAGACAGGGTTTCACCATGTTGGCCATACTGGTCTGAAACTCCTGACCTTGGGTGATCCACCCATCTCGGTCTCCCAAAGTGCTGGAATTACAGGCGTGAGCCACCGCGCCCGGCCCAAAGTAAATAACCCATCTTATTCCTCAGAGAAGAGAGAGAATTTGCACACAGATATTTCCCTATTTGCACAAGATAGCATCAGAGAATGTGCTTATATTCTGTAAGGATGCTTTACAATTTTAATAGTTGTTCAGGCTGGGTGTGGTGGCTCATGCCTGTAATCTCAGCACTGTTAGAGGCCGAGGCCGGCTGATCATTTGAAGTCAGGAGTTTGAGACAAGCCTCACCAACATGGTGAAACTCTGTCTCTATAAAAATACAAAAAATTAACCAGGTGTGGTGGTGCGTGCCTGTAATCTCAGCTACACAGGAGGCTGAGGCAGCAGAATTGCATGAACCCGGGAGGTGGAGGTTGCAGTGAGTTGAGATTGTGCCACTGCACTCCAGCCTGGGCGACAGAGCAGAGCGAGACTCCATCTAAAAAAAAAAAAAAAAAAAAAAAAAGAATTGTTCATAGTAAAGACTTTGTAAAAAGTGAAAAAGTGCCATTTGAGCCTCAGTGTTTATGTAATACTAGACTGGGTGACCAGTGCCTGCAGACATGATTAGCACTGTGGAAGAGAGGGGCGCAAAGTCTGCAGCATCTTATGACGTAGTCACTAATCAGGCATTTCTCAAGAGCTGCCTGTTAGGGTTTGCCTCTTGGATGACCTCACGGTAGGGTTTGGTGTTGGTTTCCTGGGCATGGGCCGTCAGTGTCAACTTTCATAGCACCTGCAGTTCAGGCTCTTGACCTGCAGGTGTTGCTGTAGACAGTGGGATGGTGACTTTGCCTTTGCTTGTGCTGGGATGCTGACAAAAATCTCTGAAAGGCTGTGTCAGTCCTGGGCTTTTCCTTTTAAAAATCACGAGCAGAATTCTTTAACAGAGAAGAAGGAAAATATGGTAGCACTAAGAATGTCAGTTACTGCCTAGAAACTGTTGTCTTTGTCCTTTGTGCTTGGACTGGTTATCTTTTTGTCCTTTGGATGAGGAACAGAGTGCTCCAACACTGTTGGTGTGCATTGGGCAGTGACAGGGCCCTGGGTCCAACTAGGCCATTCCTCCTGCCCTGGGCAGGGAAGCAGAGTAGTGACAGTGTACAAAGAGGGTGTCATGGAACAATCTAACATATTAACCCCTTCTAGGACAAGCCCGTTAGAACATAATACCTGAGAAAACTGTTCAGTACTTTCTCTTGCTTTGGGTAGTGTGGCCTTTGTGCGCAGTTACAGGGACCTCGGTGCTTCTTGGGAAGGGAATGGCATCATTTGGAAGATAAATTTCAGGTTTCCTAATAGTGTCCTTGGCAGATACTTCATCATCATCATCAGGCTGCTCCCTCCTGACTTGGTCTCCGTAGGTATGGGCACTCTTCACTTTTCTCATCAGCAAAGTCTTTTCCAGTAGTTCATCCCTCCGCTTTCCCCAGCAGGTAACCATGCCTCCTTGGAGTTTGCACTTCATTTTACGTTATTCCTTTATGGCTGGCTGTGCCCACATTTTCAGTGATTAGGGGCAGAGACTTACTCAGCCTTTCTCACTTCCTGGTGCTGTGTGAGATGACCCCCCCAGTGCATGCCGAATTCCATTTCTTAGTACCTCTTCTTTGGTTTTGCTTACTGTTTTCGCTCAGTCTGTTATAACAAAAATACTGTAGCCTGGGTGGCTTATAAACAACAGACATTTATTGCTGACAGCCTCTATAGGAGGCTAGAAGTCCAAGATCAAGGTGCCAGCAGGTTCAGTGGTGAGGGCCCACTTCCTGGTTCATAGACCTCTGTCTTCTCATCGAGCTGTCACATGGTGAAAGGGGCAAATGAACTCCCTTAGGCCTGTTTTATAAGGCCACTACTCATATTCACGAGGGATCTGCCCTTATGACCTAATCGTCTCCCAAAGGCCCCACCTCCAAATAACATTACTTTGGAGGTTAGGTCTTTAACATGAATTTTGGAGGGACACAAACATTCCTTCTATAGCACTCACACACCTATCATGACATCTGTGGCTCTTGATGTCCCTCGGGTGGGCTGTCAGGAGAATAGAAAGGTGCCTGTGCTTCAGGCCTGAGACTTCTTTCCGTGTGTAGGCTCACACTGCCTGAGAAATTTGGGTTCCTTGTTTCGTCTTTAAACAGCTTCTTCCTTTACTAGTCGAGGCTTTTTCAGGTGCCCATTGCAGGAGACCCCTTTGTAGAGTCACGGGGGCTTAATCAGAATCCCCTTCTCTCCATATACCCAACCCCGTAGACTGTGGTGAGGATTGAATGAGACCTACTTAGCATGATTCCTGACAGAGTGTGCACTCAAGTAGATACTAGCTATTATCGTTACTATTATTTCTCTTAAAAAAGAAAAAGCTTTTCATTTTTCTTTCTGATTATACTCAATGTACAATATTTGGAAAATACAGATGAGTATATAAAGAAAATCCCTTCACTTCCTATTAACTTTTTGGGATATTTTCTATGGCTTTTCTTTTCTTTCCTTCTTTCTTTTCCTCTTCCCTTTTCTTTTTTGAGACATAGTCTTACTCTGTTGCCCAGGCTGGAATATAGTGGAGCACGGTGCAATTGTAGCTCAGTGCAACCTCGACTTCCTGGGCTCAAGCTGTCTTCCTACCTCAGCCTCCTGAGTAGCTGAGATCACGGATGTGTACCACCATGCCTGGCTAATTTTTAAAAAATTTTTTGTAGAGACGAGACTCCCTGTGTTGCCCAGGCTGGTCTCAAACTCCTGGGCTTAAGAGATCCTCCTGCCTCAGCCTCTCAAAGTGCTGGAATTACAGGCATGAGTGTCTGTATCCAGCCTGTTTTTTTCTTATGCATGTAAACATATACATAAATACATGTATGTATATTTATAAAATTTTATTACACTTTATCTTCTTTTATGCTGAACAGAGTATCCTTAGCATTTCCTGCATGCCTTTTGCTGATTTTGAATTTGTGATGTAGACCAGCCTGGCCAGTATGGTGACAGCCTGTCTCTACTAAAAATACAAAAATTAGCTGAGTGTGGTGGTGCATGCCTGTAGTCCCAGCTACTCGGGAAGCTGAGGCAGAAGAATTGCTTGAACCTAGGAGGCGGGGGTTGCAGTGAGCTGAGATCATGCCACTGCACTCCAGCTGGAGTGACAGAGCGAGACTTCGTCTCAAAAAAAAAAAAAAAAAGAAATGAATTTGTGATGTACACTGTTGAGTGTTGTCTACCTGAAGTGGCTCTTGTCCTTGGATGAGGGCATATGCTGCATAGTATGCACTGAGAGAGAATAATGAATAGAAAGCCAGGGGTTGAGGGATGTCTGTCTGTTTCCCCTCAGATTCAGCTATCTGTGGACCCCACCTGGGGATTGAGCCTTAGGCCACCTGGCTCAGTGTCATCTTGTGTCATAGCTGCTATTTCACCTTTCCAGTGATTCACCCTGAAACTGCACCTTCTTTAAGAAAGCTCAGGCATAAGAAGCCTCCAAGCGATTTGACTTAAATCACAAGTCAGGAAAACCTGATTTAAGTTGTTAGGAGGACTTTTAAAAAATTCTCACAAGAAACATTGCATTTTTATTTTTTATTTTGCAGTTTATTTTTATTTTGCAGTGAAGGTTATATGCTTCATTTTTAGAAAGCAGTGTTGAGTTTGCTGGATATTGAAGTTATATCAGAAAATAACCTGGTATCTTAACGTTTTCAGAGTTGGATGGGTTCAGGGAGCATGTGGTCAGGGAGGAGGAAGAGGAGTGTTAGAATCATCTGTGGAGTTTTTCCCCTGGAAAAATGTGTATTTCCAAAAATTGAGAACCAGTGATCTGCTTCCTTTTTACAGGTGAAGAAATTGAGATGTACAATGGTCAAGTGCTTTGCTTAAAATCATACATTTAGAAGGTAGGGCCAGAGAGTTATTGGGAATTGAAGCAGAACTACCTCGTGGACTAACTGAGGATTTATTTGCATTGATGTGTTAGAAAAAAGCAACTAATTACCCTACTATCTGAGAGATACTTTTTAAAAACTAGCCAATTTCTTTTAAAATAACCAACTTCTATTTGAATATTTTTCTATAATAATAGTTCTTCTTTTTATGCTAGCTTGGTTTTTTTTTTTTTTGATGTTGGAAAGGTAATATATGTACTTCACAAAATGTTTATTAGGTAGAATTTGAAATACAAAAGACAGTAGACAGAAGAACATGACTCCTCATGTGCTCATTGCCCAGTTCCAACAGCAGCCTGCTTTTCTCCCTCCTGGTTTATTTTGAAACAAATTCTGCCTTGTATCATTTCATCTGTAAATATTTTCAGCCACTGTTTAAACTTCCAGTTTTCTTATAGTGTCCTAATTAAAAGAAAGTTTTGTTTGAATCAGGCTACTAATAAGGCTCCAAACACCAATGCCTCATAGTCAACCCTCCATTTTTCTCTCTTTTTTTTCCCTCAAAATTTATTTGGTAAAGTAAATCAAGTTGTTTGTTTGTATTTCCCACTAGCTGGATTTTGCTGATTATTACCCACATGTGGTTTAGCATGTCCTTTGTCCTATTTCCTATAAGTTGGAGTTGGATTTAGGGTAACATTTTTGAAAGTTAGGAGAGTATGTAATAGAAGCAGGTTCTTCCTAAAGATGACTGTTGTTCAATATCATCTTTTGCAAAATTTTAATATTTTATATGTATGTATATATTTTCCCTACTATATATAGTACACATGCACAGACAAAAGCACATCAGTGAATGTTGCCTTTGTCATATCCCTGGAATGTGCTGTGAACCCTTGCACTAGATAAGCAGCTGACACTGACTGAATACTTCCTGTTGCCAGGTAGCTTCTCCTTAGTGTACACATAGGTTTTTCACTGTCCTCACAACTCTTTGAGGCCGTTCTGTTGCCTTCCCATTTTGTAGTTTAGGAAACTGACCCAGGCTCATGTTGTTGAGCAGTGGAACCTAGTTTGCCTTTGGGTGGTTTGCCCTGAGATTCTCCGCTACGTTAAAATGCTGATGTTCATATTGTTTGGTCCATAAAACATAAAATAAAATAAAATGCTTGGGTCCTTGCTCTAGAGATCTGATTTAATTGGTCTGAGTGTGGCCTCTTCTGTGTCATGTCTGGATTTTCAGAAACTTTCCAGGTGACTCTGATGTGTGGCCAAGATGTTTACTAACTGCCATGTAGTATTCTGCTGTGTAGATCTTATTATTTAATGAGTCCCCAAGGGGTGTGTACTTAAGTTGTTTCCCGTGTGCCAGCATCACAAATGATGTTGCAGTGAATATGCGTTTAAGTGTCTCTTGGAACATGTGTATGAATATCAGCTAAATGAATTCCCAGAACAGGAATTACTGGGTCAAAGGGTATGGCGTTTGTAATTTTGATGGATGTTGCTAAATTGGCCTCAGGGAGTTTGTGTCTGTTCTCTCACTGCTAGGTTGCTAGGTTGTCTCAGAGTACCCGACCCCATCCTAGGTGTTAGCCAGAGTCCCTAACTCCTTTCTGGGCTACTGTTACCTTTTCTTCTTTGGTTTTCTTTGAAATGTCGTTCACTTTTGAAATATCTTGGATTTAACTTTGTATATGTTTCTGTATTTTTTTCCATTCTTTGTATCTACAAATACTAAACCATTTGTTCATTTTGTTTGTTAGCACAACGCTATTTTGTTTCATAGCTTTATAATACATTTTAGCACTTGGTAGAACTAGTGTTTAATCTTTTTACCCCCAGACTTTTCTCAAATATTCCCGTAAATTAATTTTTGTGTATGAAAATTCTGTTGAAATATTCATTGAGAATACATTAAATTTATGTTTTGGATTAGGGAGAATTGACATCTTTACATTATTGAGTCTTTTGGTCTAAGAAAAGGTTATGTCTTATTTACTCAAGTCTTGCTTTATGTTCTTTTGTAGAATTTTAATCTTTTTATTCAGTAAGTCCTATACACCAATATCGAATTCTCTTACTGGTTTCTAATAGTTTCTCAGTTGATTTTCTTGGATTTTCTAGGAGTGCAGACTATTTCTTATTTATAGTAGTATTTTAGTAACAACTATATTTAGTAATACATCATTTATGTATTTGTCACATTTAGAATTCTAAATGTAATTGTATTTTTTTCCTCCTCCTCAAAATTTGTTGCTGAGCAACTGGAAGGATGGAACTGGCAGCCACTAAAGCACTGGAGGGGAAGTTTCTCAGGGTTGATTGGGGTTGGTCACGGCTTCCATCAATCTGAGAAGCTGACCAGTGGTTGAGGTGGCATTACTAATTAGGCAATAGACACACGAGTCTGGAGTTCTGAGAAGAGTAGGGACTGGGATGGGCATTTGGAAAACATTAGCATTTAGATGCATTTAACCATAGACTGGGTAAGATCACCAAGGCAGTGAGGGTGGATGGAGGAGACAAACCTGAGAGCATTCCAGGAGCCCTTGTGACCGGTGCAGTAACCCCTCGATTAGACCTGTTGCTTCATCTCTGGTTTGTTCATGGAGTCCGGATGAGCACCTAAAATCCTGTGTCATTTTGTGAGTCTTTGTCACCCCTTGCTTCTAAGAGGTATATCTAAGGTCTGTGTGTCACTTCTACTCTGTAGTGGCCTCAGTGTGTCCCTGAGTAGGTGATTCTGTGTTCTCTATCCTATGAGTGGTGGCTGTAAACACTTCTATGTGTTTACACACTCCTATGTGTTTACAAAAAACCTCTATGTGCCTTTCCTGTGCAAACTGTCCTTTGTGTGTCTTTTCTTGTGGCCACTCATGCTTGCCCTGCTCATTCTGTCAGCAGAGAAGTCAGGAGGAGGGGAGTGGGACTGACCTAGATCACCTAGCCCTGAGCTGGTTGTTACCATGTACAGTTGGCCCTCTGTATCCTTCGGTTCCACATCTGCAGATCCAACCAACCTTGGATTGAAAATACTAAAAAAGCCAAAACCATAAAAAATAACAATACAACAATAAAGATAATACAAATAAAAAATATTTAACAACTATTTACATAGCATTTTCATTGTATTAACTATTATAAAGCTAAAGATGATTTAAAGTATACATGAGGACGTGCATATGCAAATACTATACCATTTGATATCAGGATATCAGGGACTTGAGCATCGTTGGATTTTGGTATCCTTAGGGTTCTTGGAACCAGCACTCTGTGAATACCAAGGGACAACTGCATATCTACTTGTTGGGTACCATTTGTCGTCACCATGCAAGGCAGGAACTTTGTTCATTGTGGATTCTACTGCCTGGCACGTAGTTGGTACTCAGTAAACAGCTGAACAAATAATGATTGAAGTTAAAAGTCACATTGAAGATGATCAACCTTTGAATTTTAACATATCTCATGAATGCCACTCTTCAGTAACATTTAGTTTTTCTCATATTTTCACATTTGTGTATGTTCTCTGTCTTCTTAGGGCAACTCAGAGTTGTACTTTGAACTTGGTAGTAGTTTGAACTCTTGTTTTGGTTTGGTCAAAGTAAAGATAAATAAAAATAGTTAAAAGTTAAACTTGCTAGTAGAGTCCTGAGGCCACTTCTCTGTCTTCCAGACATTGTGCTGAGCCGTCAGGCTGTCAGCTGCCCCTTCTGGTTTTGTTGTTTGTGCTCTTGCCCTTCTTTCCCTTCCCTCATGGGTTGCTTCCCTTGCAGCCCCTGAGTTACAGATGCCCAGGACTATGCAGAGCCCGGTCCACGCAGGCCTTGTGCTCTCTGAGCCACGCTGTGAGGTAGTTGGAGTGACCTGAGTTTTTGTATCTCCTTTAATTAAGCCAAGGAATTTGCTGTGGAAGCAGCATCTGAGTGAGAGGCTAACATTGGGGGGACCTTAAACCGAGCCTGGGCGTGTAGGCAGCTCTGTCCTATAGGATTTGCTTTGAGACCCTCTGGAATAAGTCATCTCAAATGACTTGGCTGTGAGTTCTGTGAGCTGAGAAATCAGATTTGGAGCCTGTTATCTGGTCTTTAAAATAGCAGCTGTGGGATTCTGAAGAGTGAGGGTCAGATCTGTGGTCTGGCTGCTGGCTGCTGTGGTATGGAGTCAGTGTTCTTAGCTAACCAAAGACTAGCATATTCTCTCTCTCATATAACTGTTAATGTCTGTTTATTTTTTGGTCTTTTAAAAAAATCTTTGAATTTTAGATAATTCATATCTACCAAAAAAAATTGCAGAAGTCATGCGAAGAATTCTCACATATGCTCTTCACCCAGCTTCACCAAATGTTAGAGTCTTTTATAATGAGGGATTACCATTAGCTCATCTGTAGACCTTGTTTAAATTCTGCCTGTTGAATCATGTCCTTTATCCTTGGCTCAGGGTTCAATTTGTTATTGTCATTGTATTCGTGGTTGTGTCTCTCTTCAGTCTCCTTTATCTGGGACAGTGACAGTTTCTTAGTCTTTTCATGACCTTGACAGTTAAAGAGAACTGGTCCTTTTTTTTTTCCTTCATTGCCATTTTTTTTTTTCGTGGAATGTCCCTCATTATAGTTTTGTCTGATGCTTCCTTATGACTGTATTCGTGTTATATGTTTTTGGCAAGAATGCCACAGAAGAATACCATGGTGGGCCCTTAGTGTGTCATGCCAGGATTTGTCCCATTCCTTCTGATGTTAATTGTGATCATAACTGTGATCATTTGGCTGAATGGATGGCTGCACATTTCTTCCACTGTGGAGTTACTGTGTTCCTTTTTGTAATTAATAAGTATCTTGTGGGGAGATAACTTTGAGACTAGATAAATATCTTGTTTCTCAGCATACCTTTACCATTAATCTTAGCAACCACTGATTATTCTTGCCTGAAACAATTATTACTGTACTGTTTGCTAAATGATTTTCTATTTTTATCATTCTCTCTCCATTTATTATTTAGAATTATACTTGTCAAAAGACAAAATTATAACAAATTTAGTTTAAAGATCTAGTTGGCATTTGTGTTTCTAGAATTGGGCAACATCTCATTCTGTAAAATAGAATGAGTATTCCCATGAGCTGACCAAAGGAGGTAGGTTTTATAGGCAGAAAAGGGCTGAGAAAAGCAGACACAGAGAACAAAAAGCAGATGGGTCGTTTCAAAGTCACTTCCTCATAGGGTTGAAACAGGTAAGGGGTCTTCCTTACCTGCTGACTCAAGTTGACTGAAATCTCCTGTTTTTTTTTTTTTTTTTTTTTTTTTTGGTTTGTTTGTTTGAAAACTGGCCCTTTTTAAAGTTCATTTTGATTGTCTCTATTCTGGTTTGGTCTGGTGTGCTGGGGCCTTATGCAGGAGCTCAGTCCAAAACAAATGGACTGTAAGGACTGTAAGTTTCACATGCTGTAAGGAAGAGCTTTTCTTTCTCCTCTACTTATTTATTAGTTCTTGGTGTATGTCAGTGTGTATTCATGGATAGTTATTCCATAGGTTATGGTCCATTACTATTGTTTAATTGCTCAAGTGGCCTCTTGCAGTTGACTTTTCCTGTTAACATGTTTGCATCATTTTTCGAGCACTTCTTTATTTTCTTGTACACTACAGGAAGTTCCAGGTTTGAATTCTTCTCCTGCCCTGGCTGTGGAATGGACCCTTTCTCCAAGAAGTCCTTGGGTTTTGATAAGAGATTGAGATTACAAGCCAAGAGCTGGGCCTGCTGTGTTAGTTGGTGCTGTGGTGTCAGGCTTCTAGACTCTCCCAGTGGATGAGCAAGGAGGATACCTGTCTCTTGCCTTGTGGTTTGCTCCTTTAATCTCTGAAACTGTTACATTTATCTTTTTACTTCCTGATTCTAGTCTTTTTCCCCCTTTTAAAAAAATTATGTTATGGAATAAGAGTATGAATCTTGGAGTCTAGAGACCGGGCATTCAGTTGCTAGCTCTGACACTGATAAGCTGTCTGGCATTGAACAAACAAATTCTTTCGTCTCCCTGGGCCTTAGTTTTCTTTTCTTTTTTTTTTTTTTTTTTTTTGCAGTTTTTACATTTATTTAAACAGAAAACGTGCACACGAGCTGTCTACTCATTTTCTTCGCTGCGCAGCCTGGCATTGGGGTTGGTGACTCTGATGGCCAGTTGGGCAGCTGTTTCCACGATGGCTTTGCGGTTCTTGGAGGAAACATTGTGAGCGATCTCGGCACAGTAAGATTTGTTGCACATCAGCAGCACTTCCAGCTCCTTGATGTTGTGGACCAGGAACTTCCGGAAGCCACTGGGCAGCATGTGCTTTGTTTTTTTGTTGCTCCCATAACCAATGTTGGGCATCAAGATCTGGCCCTTGAATCTTCTACGAACCCTGTTGTCAGTGCCTCTGGGTTTCCGCCAGTTACGCTTAATTTTGACATATTGGTCTGACTGGTGCTGGATGAACTTCTTGGTTCTCTTTTTGACGATCTTGGGCTTCACAAGGGGTCTGAGGGCGGCCATGATGCCGAGGAGGAGATGGCTGCCACCTCCGTAGGCAGCGCCGAGGAAGAGAGCCTTTTCTTTTCTTTTTTTTTTTTTTACTGAGGTCTTAGTTTTTTTCTTATATACAATAGGGTGATAACAATTAAAGGGCTGTTGTAAGGATTAAATGAGATAGTATAATTAAAGCTTTCAGTATAAGCTAAGTACTAGGTTTGGTTCTTGGATTCAGCAAGTATTTATGGAATACTTTTTTTTTTTAGGGGCTTGGGGCAAATGGGGTTTAAGATTGCCAGCCTGCCCCAGTCTTTTGCCTCGTCCCTGCCGGGCCTCAATGGGGACCTTGATCTCTGACCTGCCCCTTGATCAAAGAGCTCCACCTCTGACTTGTCCCTTGATCTGGGAGCTTGGGTTCTAACTTGGCAGCCTGGATCAGGGTGATTGGCCTCTGGCTGATGCAGAGGAACCTCTGGCTTCTTTTTCTTCCTTTGAGCAGTTGTACAATTTGAGTCAGGAAGGGAGAGAGGATGGCTTCTTTCTGGCCACCCACTAGCAGAAGTCTTGGAGTGGGCGCTTCGCCGTTCCCATGTTAAATGAGCAGTTCTGATTCTGTCTGGGCACATTCTACTTCTGAAAGCAAAATTTCACACCGATCTCTGTGGGTGGTATTATTGTGAGGACCATTGGAAGGGACTCTCCTTCCTTCCCTCCTTTTCTGTCATAACTTTTCTATCTTTATTGACCCATTCTTCAGTAGGGGTGAGATGCTGGTTCAGCAGGCCCTGTAATAGCAGCACACTCTGCCCTGCAGAGGTTGGAGGAAGTGACACCCAACCTTCTTCACCACGGGGGGCTGGTGAGGGTGAATGTGGGGAAAGAAACCAGTCAGTGCCCCTCAATCTTCACTGCTGATAGCTGAGCCACACCATAGATTTGGACCAGAATCTTCTCCCAAGGAGGGCCAGTGCTCTCTTCCCATGACCCTCATAGCAGAGTCTGAAACAGCAGTCTGAGTGGGTCACACGTTCCCTCACCCGGTGGGGCTTTGTGACCTAGTGATTCATGGGAAGCGGGGGTGTTTGCACACTTTCTCCCTCCTGCCCACTAGCATGCCTCCTGCTTTGCAGGCTCACCCAGAGCTTTCTATTCTGCTGCTGCTAGAGCTTCCCAATAAGTGGGTAGGTAGGACTAGCTGTGACCTAGAAAACACTTAGCATTATCCAAGTGTCCCTAGTGAAAAGCTGAATAAAGCAGGAGAAATGTCACTTTGGATGCTCAAGTTCTCCTAGGAGAACAAACTTCCAGACCTTTTGTTTCCCCTAATTTTTGAAGGCAGCATGGCTGAGCCCAGAACCACATGGCTGAGCCTGGTACCAGAGTGGCTGGCAGGATGAGCACTTCACAGATTGGTGTGGTGACTAGCAGCCTCCTTCCTGAGGCCTTTGGGGCCCTGCTGACTGTACTGGGTCTTAAGTAAGAAAAACAGAAAACTGTTTCTCTCTCCAAGGAAAACAAGCAATAAACCCCATGTACATACCTCCCTGAGTTCTGAGTAAGAAAGGAAACCAGGCATGGTGGCCCCAGAAGTGTTCAGGGCATATGGGTATGATCCCTTGCCCGAGTGGGTTGGCAGTGTCCTCTTGAGAGGCTTTTTGTGTCTGCTGAGTATTTTCCAATTTAGGGTGGCTCAGGGGATGGGATGAGGATTCTTCAACTTTTTCCTTGTTTTTTAGCTTTTTTCCTTCTCAAGTTGGCCCTGGGTGGCTGTCCCTGCTTCTAGGGGCCATTGTGAGCTTTACATTGGTGCAGTGCTGGCTCCTGGCAGCAAGCATCTGGCTTATACCACTGAGATGTCTCATGTTGGGTGGCTGTGCCACCCAGGCTTCCATGGTCCTGGGTTCACTGGTCATTTCTTTCCCAAAAGTATGCATTCACGAGGTCAGCTTTGTATCTTTGGGGCCAAGCATCTGTGATTTTGCTGCTCTAGCTTTTATTTAGATTTGACTCTCTTGCACCCCTTTTACCCTGGAACTTCCTATTTTTCCGTAAAAGTTTTTCTTTATTTTTTTTAACTGGTGTTTTGAAAAATGCTGTATGCATATATCAAAAACAATTTGAGAAGTACGGTGGGGTGTATAGTAGAACTTTGGTGGTCTTCTCACTCACGGCCCTGTCTGTGGCTCTGTTCTGCTCTACACAGTGAGGTGACTGTGTTTATCCACTCTACCCTAAGTGGCTGCTGTTACCAGTGTCTGGTGTACCGGTCAGGAGATAGTCTATGAAAATACAAGCATACTTATCTATGCCTGTCTTCTTACTTTTTTCTTTTTTGGTTAATACAGTTTATTTTTAGACTGACTTTAGGTTCACAGCAAAATTGAGCAGGAAGTGCAGAGAGTTCTCCCTGTGCCCATGGCCTCCACGATTAATGTCCCACATTCTCTACTTTTTCAGTTTTAACCTTTCCACAGATGATAGTGGCTGTATACACTGCTCATCCACATCAGTCTCAGTGGGTGTCTGCTGTGTTCTCTAACGGCTGTTCAGAAGTTTCCCACTTCATGTGGACAGGCCTTAAGGTGTTGATGTTTTACTGTGTGAACTGTGCTGTGGCTGTCTGTATTCTCTCAGCCTCATTTCTGGTGGAATTACGGGAGAATGATGTGAGATGACTGTGAGATTTTTAAAATCACTAAAAGTTTCTTTATAGTAATATAGAGGAAAATTAGAAAATACATGTAAAAAACATTAAGATTAAGGAAATTTAAAATGCTCTCTGGAAATGTCCTGGGGATGTCCCATGCTCGTGTGGGGTCTAGGGCACAGGGCGGAGAGCAAAGCATAGGTGTTTGAACTGGTGCTGCTGAGGTGGAGCAGAGCACATGTGTCAGCTTCTGTTTACACCTTCGTTTGGGCCCTTCTGCTCCCCTGCCACTTCCCTGAGCCCTGCCCTCGGCTCGGCCCCTGGGATGGATGTGGGTTATTGTTTTTGGCACTGTAAGAGGAGGGAATTTAGAATAAGGAAAAGAGGGTTGAGATTCTGTACTAAATGCCAGTATTGTTGGGTGTCTTAATCTAAAAGCTGGAATGGGGATAACGCTCCTTCTAAAAGGGTATTGGTCCATAGAATAAGAAAAAATTGAAGCTTATGTAAAGATTTGGTGGGCCGGGCATGGTGTCTCACACCTGTAATCCTAGCCCTTTGGGAGGCCAAGGCGGGCAGATTACTTGAGGCCAAGAGCTCGAGACCAGCCTGGCCAATGTGGTGAAACCCTGTCTCTACTAAAAATACAAAAATTAGCTGGGTTTGGTGGTACATGCCTGTAATCCCAGTTACTCAGGAGGCTGAGGTGGGAGGATTGCTTGAGTCTGAGAGGTGGAGGTTGCAATGAGCCGAGATTGTGCCATTGCACTGGGTGACACAGCAAGACTCCACCAAAAAAAAAAAATTGTTGATCTAGTCAAGGTACATTTCTCTGCCTGATGTTTTCTGAGACATGGGTGTATGATTTGTCTGTGCTATATTGTGTTCTAACCCAGAGGCCGTGAAATGAAAAAAACGTAATTTAACTCAAATTAATGGGACTGTGGCGCTCTTTTTCTTTCTAGTTGGCCTGCTGTCACTTTGAGGGACTGTTATTTGGAGGAAGTTAATTTGGGAAACGATTCTTGCTTCGTTTTCTTTTTCTTTTTTTTTTTTTTTTGAGATGGGGTCTTGCTCTTTAACCCAGGCTGGAGTGCAGTGGCATGATCTTGGCTCACTGCAACCTCTTCCTCTCGGGTTCAAGCAATTCTCCTGTCTCAGCCTCCCAAGTAGCTGGGACTACAGGCGTGCACCACCACGCCTGGCTAATTTTTGTATTTTTAGTAGAGACGGGGTTTCACCATATTGGTCAGGCTGGTCTCGAACTCCTAACCTCAGATGATCCACCTGCCGCAGCCTCCCAAAGTGCTGGGATCACAGGCGTGAGCCACTGTGCCCGGCCAGGAAATGATTCTTTTGGTCCCTCATACTGCTTGTGAAGTTGTAGAAGTACTAAATTCCCATTTCATCCAGAAAATATATTTCTTTGAAAATGTCCGTTGATTTTTTTTTTATTTAGTAAAAATACATTCCTTTTGTAAATAGATAAAACTCAAGACCCCTTTGATCATCCCTCAAGCCCAGTATTCTCCCAGAGATAACAATTGTTCTTGGGCTCACCTTTTATTTATTTATTTTAATTTAGTGATTCCAGTTTTTAATGTTTAAGATTGCTGGTTGATTCTTATGAGTGTAATATCCTCTCACACCACTTGGAGGCTGTTGATTGTGCCTGTTTTTAAGTCTTGTGTCTTTACTAACTCTGTGTTCTGCAGCATCACTTCTTTAGGTGTAGAATTTGTTGCCCTTTTCTCAGGGTTTGGGGATACTCAGCTGTGTATTAACTTTTAAATTTGAGGTTCCTGTTAGCCTGTCTGGATGCTGCATCAGTTTTCCAAAGTTGGTCTCTAGACATTGTTGGTGGCTTGGCTGGGCATGGACTATGTCAGCTGCTAGTTCTCAGGGATGGCAGGCTCCGTGCCCTCTGTGGGTGTCACCAGCTTGTCCTCCCAAACCAAGTGTCCAACTCTCCTTCTCTCTGGGTTCAATGCCACTTAGGTTCAAGTGAGTGGAGTTACATATGTGTTTTTGGGGAGGGGCAGGAGGTCATTCCATTGTTATACCCTAACCACATTGTCCCTTGATACTCACAAAGACAAACTAGAGCGGGCTAGGGTTTCTGGGCATCTCTGCCTCCTGACCCTATCGGGGTCAAGACACACCCAGGCTGCATGTGTAGCCTTCGCTTAGTGTCATATATTCAGTGCCAGCAGCTATCTCATGAGGGCCATGGGCACTCATACAATGCAAAAGATACTATAAATCTTTTGTATCTTTGTGTATACACACACACACACACACACACACACACACACACACACACACACAGCCTGGTTGTGTCTTGATTGGTAACCCAGAATACACAGGCAGTGTTGCTTTGGTGATGAGTATTTTCAAAAAGGCAATTACATTTTAGTAAAGGCCAGAATCAGACATGTTGTATTCCTGGAAAATTCATGATATAATAAAAGCATGCAAAAAATTATTTGGGTTTTTATCTAAAATTGAGTTAGGTTACAGGCTCAGAAGAATGTTAAACAGCTTCTGTCTACCTGCATGTCTAATGGGATGTGTGAAGGTAATGCAGGGCAGGGGACAGTGCCCATTGACTGCCCCAAGGACACCTAACGCTGCCCACACACTCCCAAACTCCCAGGAGGCAGGGCCTACCCTCCCTTTGAGAGCTGCTGATCAAGTAGGAGTTTTCTGTTTTCATTCATATTTGAAAAGTTGGAATAATCTGCTTTATGATGTCTTTATTCCCTGAAAAGTTAAGCTAATAATATTGGTCAGTGTTTTCCTATTTAGGAACATTTTCTGAACATGTGGTCATTAGGGGATTTTAGAGTATAAGTTATGTATCTGTTAATTTTTTCTGGGTAATTATGTGGTTGAGATGCTAGTGGCACACATTATGGTTACATTTGTTCAGTAACTGTAACTCGAGCCCTGGAAATTAGGCTTCTATAAAATTTCATAGCAATTCATGAAATGTTGTTTGTAAGCAAAATGTACCCAGCTCCTTGACTAAAGTTACCTTAAATATTCTTAAAGATAGAGAGGTAATACGCATTTCTTTTTCTCTTTCTGTATGTGTGTATATATGAGAGAGAGAGAGAGAGTGTGTGTGTACATGTCCCTGATAATTCCTATCTCAGAGCAGTGGAAGTCCTCTGAGTTTGATAATATGCTTTGCATGTGCTATATTTGTGGACTGCCTCAGAACATCTCTTGGGGAGACTACCTGGGTTCAGGGACCACCTGCCTATGCACCTGAATCATGTGAGCCCTGATTTTATTTACCACGGAGCCAGGCACTTGAACACTGTCCCATCCCAACTGTGTCCATCCCAACTGTGGACAGCTTTTACACGGTCCACCTCCTTGCCTTCCAGGACCCCTTCCTCCCTTCTCCTTGGCTTCTGTGGCCCTGCACCCATGAAGGCCAGCACAGGCACCACCTTCTCTAGGAAGCATTTCTGGCATTTGAGAAAATGAGCTTTCACACAGTCTGGGTTAGGGCCCGGATCCCAAACTTTCTGTTTCTTTGTTTCCTCCCCCTTTCAACCATTATGGCTGAGGTGTGGCCATTCTGCATGTCACATGGCTGGTGAAAGACTCCTTTCTCTCTCTCTTTGGTGCTTCTTCAAAGGCTCCTTCACTTTCAATGGTATAGGTCAGATTGTACCATGTGTCTGCGGCTGACTCAATCATGGTAGCTTTTCTGTCCTTCCCATAGCATCCCTAACAGGCAGGAAATGATTTAGTCTTTATGAGTGTGCCTCCCCCCACAGGGAGACAGCCTTTTCCTGTTGCAGATCACACTGATTTTAAGAGAAGACTTCTCTTCATATGCAGCTTGCCCTTCTATCCTCCCATCCCATGTATATGTGGCATACCTTCTATGATGTTTCAGGCTCTGTTCTAGCAGTCAGACATATAGAGTGGGAGATGCTCAAGGGGCTCACAGTTTAGGGGGAGCTTGGACAAACTGTTGCAATCCCATGTGATGAATGCAGAGGAAGGGTCCAGACCCATTTTCTGGAATGTCAGAAATACTTCCTGGAGAAGGTGATGCCTGTGCTGGCCTTCATGGGTGCAGGGCCGAAGAAGCCAGGAGAAGGGAGGAAGGGATTCCTGGAAGGCAAGGAGATAGAAGAAAGCATTTGAGTTGTGTCCAGAGAATCCCCTTGGGAGGGGTATAGTCTTGAAGGAGCGTTTTGAGATAAGCAGAGTTGAACCCGTCGGGTTTTTAGGCCTGTTGTCTAGGACTACCTAGGATATGTGGTAGGAGAAAAGAATTATCACACCGTTCAAATACATTTTTAAAAATAATGAAAGATTTTCCAATGGAGGAAAACTAAAATCCTTTAATGCAGATTTTGCAAAAAAGCGTTTTTGCCAAGTGTTGACTAGTGTAGAGTTAATTCATTTGGAGTAATGTTTTATAGTATTTGTGAAATTTAGTATAGGTTAGAGTTAGTACTGGATCCAGGGTTTAAACTTTTGTTTTCTCTTTCTTTCCCCCCAAATTAAAGCATCCTATCCTTTTCATCTTAATTTCATTCATATCTTCATATTACGTTTTTGAGATAGCTGTTTATTTTTTTGAGGGGGAAATAGTGACATAAATAGGTTTAGAACCTCAGGTGGCTTAAAACCCCAGATGTAGTCAGTGGTAAATTTTTTTTTTCTTGGTTAGTCTAGTTTTGGTGTTGGTAAGTATTATATATGCTGGTGGGTTTTTAAAAAGGGCACGTGGTAGAGTCTGGCATACTATTTGGAGTCTTGTGGTAGCTGCCCACTTCCTGCTAATGCAGTAGAGCATGTTCATAATGGCCTTATATGCTTTCCTTCCTAGGGCAGGCCGTACTTAGTCATACCAGGTAAGAAATATGTTTTAAAATTTTAGTTAAACAGTTATGATGATAGCTTATAGTTTACTTTGCATTTCTTTATTTATAGAAAGATTACATTTTCTACACAGTGATTTACTGTTGTTATTTCCTACTTTGTTAACTCATTAACTCCACTTACTCATTGATGGGAGTCTGGATATTATCCTTCTGTAGTTTTACAAATCCTCACATTTTCTTATTCACTGCTTTTCTTCTATCAGTTGATTCACTGAATTTAGTGTGGGGATTTTACCACATCGATACTGCCTTCAGTGATTTTCTTTATGTTAGATTTTAGAAATTTCTCTCTGCTTTAATGTTGTAGGCTAAATATACCATTCCATTGTCTACTAAAGGGCTCAAGACTGTTCTTTAATATTGTTTGATTTCTTTAAAATGAATTCCACTGTGACTTGATCAAGTTTTGTATTATACCACTTGGGGACTTTAATTGATATTATGTTAAAACTCCATATTAACTTGAAGAGTATGATCAGTTTTGTTCTCGTTAAATTTTCCTGTTAAAAGGAAGCATATCATTCTATTGTTGGTGGCTTCCTTTTTTCTGTCATTAAATTCAGTTACAGAAAGTTGCCCTCAAGAATTATATACAAATCTCATGTGTCCTCAGATCCATTAGTAGCCATACAGTTAATGTTTGTGTTGCTTTTAGCAATGGTATCTTCTTCTCCACCATATGTTATAGATGTGTGACAGTTAGGAAAGCAGTTGTTTAATTAATTACAAAAGTAATTTGGAAAATTTGGAAAATAGAATTATCCAGTTCTATCACTATTATTACCTTGTTCAATTTTCTTCTGATTAAAACAATTATATTTGCTAGTTCTTTATTAGACAATTATAATATTAGAAAATACATGACCACAGGTCTAGGCATGGTGGCTTATTCCTGTAATCCCAACACTTCAAGAGGCCGAGGCAGAAGGATTGCATGAGCCCAGGAGTTCCAGACCAGCCTGGGCAACATAGTGAGATCCCGTCTTGAAAAATTAGCCAGGCATGGTGGTGCATGCCTATAGTCCCAGCTATTCAGGGGGCCGAGATGGGAGAATTGCTTGAGCCCTGTAGGTCAAGGCTACAGTGGGCCATGATCGTGCCACTGCACTCAGCCTGGGCAACCAAGTGAGGCCCTGTCTCAAAAAAAAAAAAAAGAAAAAATTAAGAAAAATCCATCTACAATAGAATATATATAAAAAAATACTTAGGAATAAATTTTTAAAACTCCAAAACTAATAATACTCCCAAAACAACACAACATTGTTGAAAGGAATTTCTTCTTTATAATCCTGCAGCCATTGTCAATATACTGTGAGATGTCCTTGCACACCTTTCTCCAGGCTCATACACATGCTTGTATGTATGCATACACATCACCACACACACACACACACACACACACACACACACACACACACACAGCACTCCCCGTCTAATCCTGCAGCCAGTGTCAGTATACTGAGATGTGTCCTTGCACACCTTTCTCCAGGCTCATACACATGCTTGTATGCATGCACACACATCACACCAAGTGCACATGGCACACCATACCAGACACATGTACGGTTTTAAAAACTTGAGATATAGTTCACGTATCTTAAAATTTGTACTTTAACATGTACAATTCAGTGCTTTTCACATATTTACAAGGTTGTATAACTACCACTATTATCTAATTCCAGAACTTTTTTTTTCCCCCGAGACAGAGTTTCGCTCTTGTTGCGCAGGCTGGAGTGCAATTTCACAATCTCAGCTCACTGCAACCTCCGCCTCCCAGGTTCAAGTGATTCTCCTGCCTCAGCCTCCCAAGTAGCTGGAATTACAGGCATGCTCACCATGCCTGGCTAATTTTTTGTATTTAATAGAGACGGGGTTTCACCATGTTGGTCAGGCTAGTCACAAACTTCTGACCTCAGGTGATCCACCTGCCTCAGCCTCCCAAAGTGCTGAGTTTACAGGTGTGAGCCACCATGTCTGGCCCCAGAACATTTTTATTACCTGAAAAAGAACTTTGTATGCATTAGCATTCACTCCTCATTTTCTCTCAAACCTCCCAGCCCTAGGCAATTACCAGTCTACTTTGCCTTTGTAGATTTGCCAATTCTGACATTTCATATAAATGGAATAATACATTATGTGGCCTTTGTGTCTGGCTTTTCTCACTTAATGGAGTGTTTTCAGGATTCATCCATGTTGTAGCATTTATCAGTACTTCATTCCTTTTACTGACAGAATAATATTTTATTGTATGGACATACTTCATTTTGTTTATTCATCGGTTGGTGGACAGTTGGATTGCTATTATGAGGAATAGTGCTATGAACATTTGTATACAAGCTTTTGTGTAGACATATATGTTCATTTGTCTTAGGTATATACCTAGGAGTATAAATGCTGGGTCCTGTTAAACTGTATGTTTAACCTTTTGAGGAAGTGCCAGGCTGTTTTCCAAAGCAGTTCCACCATTGTACACCAGCAATCTATGGGGATTCCAATTCCTTCACATCCTTGCCAAAACTTATCTATTTTTTTTGATTGTGGCTATTCTAGTGGGCATGAAGTGGGATCTCATTGTAGTTTCCATGTGCATTTTCTAGTAACTAAAAATGTGTATTTTTTCATGTGCGTTATTGGCTATTTGTATATCTTTGGAGAAATAACTATTCAAACTCTTTAACCATCTTTATGTAGTCTACATACAAGTCCTGTATTACATATATAATTTACAAATATGTTTTCCCATTAGTTTCGTAGTTTAAAACATGTATTCCTAAGTATTTTATTCTTTTTTGAGTCTATTGTAGATGGAATATTTCTTAATTTCATTTTCAGATTGTTCATTGCTAGTTTATAGGAATACAATAGATTTTTGTATAGTGATCTTGTAACCTGCAGCTTTGCTAAATTTGTTTATTAATGCATAGTTTTTAGTGGATTCCTTAGGATTTTCTATATACAAGATCTTTTCATTTGCAAACAGATAATTTTACTTTTTTCTTCTCATCTGGATACTATTTATTTTCTTGCTTAACTCCCCTGGCTAGAACTTCTAGTACAAAGTTGAATAGAAATAGTGAGAGTAGGCACCCTTGTCTTATTCCATTCATCGGGGAAAATGTCTAGTGTTTCACCATTGAGGATGATGTGAGCTACAGTCCTTACTTTTTGTTAAATCTCATGATTCAGTTGACAGAATCCTCTAGTAACCTCGCTAGAAAGTGACCATGACACAGAAAGTTTTTGAGACCTCATCAGGGGTCACCAACTTCCTTGATTTGCCTGGGATTGAGAGATTATTGGGACATGTGAATTTTAGGTTTTTTTTTTTTTAACCAGGTTATATCTGGGTAAATAGTTTACCTAGGACTGAGGGAATTCCCAGGATGTGAGACTAATGCTGCTGAAGCCAGGAAAATCCTGGACAAACCAGGATGAGCTTGTTACCCTGCCACATGCCTGAAAATGCTTTTTTTCTATCTTTATGTTTGATCGATAGTTTGAATCTGTAGAACTTAAGGTTGGAAATATTCCCTGCATTCCTCCATTTTCTTCTAGCTTACAGTTTGACCCTTAGGAAGTTGATGTAAATTTTTTTTTTTTTTTAAGATTGGTCTTGCTCTATCACGCAGGCTGTATTGCAGTGGTGCAATCATGGCTCACTGTAGCCTCGACCTCCTGGGCTCAAGCAATCCTCTCACCTCAGTCCCCTGAGGAGCTGGGACCATAGGCATGTGCCACCATGCCTAGCTAAAGTAGAGATGAGGCCTTGATATGTTGCCTAGGCTGGTCTTGAACTCCTGGGTTCAAGCCGTCCTCCCATCTTGGCCTCTTAAAGTGTTCAGATTATAGATGTGGGCACCATGCCTGACCCTGATTGTGCTTTTGATATGACAAGTCGAGTGCAATAGTGAGAAGTGGGGAAAGAGTAGAACAAGGAGTTTGCTCGAGTTTAACCTTGTGCTGGTACTTGCTCGGCCTTTAAAGCTGAAGATTCATGTCTTTCATATCAGAATTTAAGAAATTTCCTTAAATTCTTTCTGGTTATCTGCTTTCCTTTATTTTCTTTGTTCTCTAGTTCTTCAGTTATTCAGATATTTGATCACTAGTTTCATTTTTCTAATTTTTTTTTTCCTATATCCTGTGTCTCTGACTTTTTATTCTTTTTGTGGGGAAAACCCACACATGACTTCCTCGGCTATGTTCTCTAATCCTAGTGTTGAGGTTTTTTTTCTTTGCTATCATTATTAGTTTCTAAAAGCTCTTTTCTTGTTTTCTGGAAGTGATTGTTATTGTTGTTTGTTTTTTTGTTTTTTTTTTTTTTTTTTTTTTTTTGAGACGGAGTCTCGCTCTGTCGCCCAGGCTGGAGTGCAGTGGCGGGATCTCGGCTCACTGCAAGCTCCGCCTCCCGGGTTCACGCCATTCTCCTGCCTCAGCCTCCCAAGTAGCTGGGACTACAGGCGCCCGCCACTACGCCCGGCTAATTTTTTGTATTTTTAGTAGAGACGGGGTTTCACCGTTTTAGCCGGGATGGTCTCGATCTCCTGACCTCGTGATCCGCCCGCCTCGGCCTCCCAAAGTGCTGTATTGTTGTTTTTTAAGCAATATTCTTTACTTGTTTCAAGGCTGCAAAGTTGTGTCATTGTTCTGAGCAGGTAGACACATGCTCTTATGTGCTCTTACACGTGTTCTTACACTCACATTTACCTGCACTAATGCACACTCACATGCACTCACACACACACTTGCGCTGTCATGCACACTCCCAATGCATACTCACATGAGCTGTCACACATATGTACACACACAATTTCTCACACACATGCCTGAAGGATTGGGCTTGGAGGGAAAGAGGGAAAGGTTTTGTGTGAGGAGCTTGTGGAAGAGGTAGCAGTCCTGGGCCAGACTGGCTGGGAGGATGCAGTGAGCTGGGAGATGTGCAGTGATGGGAAGAAGTGAGGACTACAGGCCTTGCAGGAAAACAAGCCTGATCCCCAATAAGACATGGTGACAGATGAGTGTGTGAACTGTGGATGAGAAAGGACCCCGTGCAGTGCCATACACACGCCAAGTATTGTTGCTCTTTATGCACATAAGAAGCATGTGATTGACTTCAGCTACGAGATAACTGAGATGTAAGTGCAAGTGACCAGCAGACAGTTGGAAATGTAGTCTGAAATTTGGGGAAGAGAAGCAGAAGTTGGAACTTGATTTGGGAGTCAGCATCTTACAAGTGGTAGTTACTGTCTCTGAAGGGAGAAGGATAGAAGTCAATGCTCAGATGGGAGAGGTCCATAATTATGGGGCAATTAAGAAGAGGAGCTTGTAAAGAAGGACAAGATAAAGAAGAAAGCAAGTCTGAGTATTCCAAATCAAAGATTTAAAAGAAAGGGTGTGTGTGTGTGTGTGTGTGTGTGTGTGTGTTTTGAGACAGGGTCCTGTTCTGTCACCCAGGCTAGAGTGCAATGGCATGATCTTGGCTCACTGCAGCCTCGACCTCCTGGGCTTAAGCAATCCTCCTACCCATAGCCTCTGGAGTAGTTGGGATCACAGGTGCATGCCAGTGTGCCTGGCTAATTAAAAAAAAATTTTTTTTGGTAGAGATAGGGTCTCATTATGTTGCCCAGGCTGGTTTTGAACTCCTGGGCTCAAGTGATCCTCCCGCCTTGGCCTCCCAAAGTGCTGGGATTATAGGCATGAGCCACTGTGCCCAGCCTAAAAGAAAGTTTTGAGAAGGACTCAGTCTAACCTGAGCTGAAAAACAGTTGAAAGGATCAGTTTGCCAGTTCACAGTTGCCAGGTCACAGAGGCAGCTGGCATAGCTCACGGAGGTGGTTGAGGTTAGCCTCAGTGGTTATATGCTATGAATGAAGAGCAGATGAAAGGATTTTAATTCAGTCATTTAACAATAATTTGACCAAACTTGATACTGGTAGGAAGGTAGACCAGGAGATCATTCTATTCTTGTGCTCTTTGCCAACTATTTTGACATGGGAGTTTTTATTTTTTTATTTTTATTTTTGAGACAGAGTCTCACTCCGTCACCCAGGCTGGAGTGCAGTGGCTCGATCTCAGCTCACTGCAAGCTCCGCCTCACGGGTTCATGCCATTCTCCTGCCTCAGCCTCCCCAGTAGCTGGGACTACAGGTGCCCGCCACCATGCCCAGCTAATTTTTTGTATTTTTAGTAGAGACAGCGTTTCACCGTGTTAGCCAGGATGGTCTTGATCTCCTGACCTCGTGATCTGCCTGCCTCGGCCTCCCAAAGTTCTGGGATTACAGGCGTGAGCCACCATGCCCGGCCTTTATTATTTTTTTTGAAACAAGGCCTTGCTCTGTCGCCCAGGTTGGAGCGCAATGGCACAACCACAGCTCACTGCAGCCTTGACTTCCCAGGCTCAAGCCGTCCTCCCATCTTAGCCTCCCAAGTAGCTGGAAGCACAGACATGCACCACCACCCTCAGCTAATGTTTTTATTTTTGTCGAGATGGGGCCTCCCTATGTTGCTCAGGCTGGTCTTGAACTCCTGGGCTCAAGCAATCCTACTCCCTTGGCCTCCCAAAGTACTGGGATTACAGGTGTGAGCCACCACGCCTGGCCAAGCTTTTATTATTTACATTTAAAGATGTTTTAAAATCCCAGCATTTTGGCTTGTGACGTTCACCTTTCCTGTGTGCCTACCTTTCCTGCAGCTTACTGTGTTGTTTGTGTCAGATATTACCTGGATCTGTGATTGCTGAGTAGAAGTGCTGCTATTCAAAGCCATGGAGGTCCTGCCAAGTCTTAACACCGTTTTAACCTTCATCTTGGGGTTAGATGTACAGAGTTATAGGAGCAGGAAATTAAAGTCCAGAAAAAAATTCTTAAAAATGATTTAGTGCTTTCTCCTTTGGGTTGGAATCCTGTTTCTAGCAATAGTGAGCTTATCTTCCAAAGAAACCACTATGGGATTCTATGGACATTGTTTATTTATTATTATTTATTTATTTATTTATTTATTTATTTTTTTGAGATGAAGTCTCACTCTGTCGCCTAGGCTGGAGTGCAGTGGCACAATCTTGGCTCACTGCAACCTCTGCTTCCCGAGTTCAAGTGATTCTCCTGCCTCAGCCTCCTGAGTAGCCGGGATTACAGGCGCACGCCACCATGCCCCGCTAATTTTTGTATTTTTAGTAGAGATGGGGTTTCACCATGTTGGCCAGGCTCGTCTCAAACTCCTGACCTCAGGTGATCCGCCCCCCTCAGCTTCCCAAAGTGCTGGGATTACAGGCGTGAGCCACCGCACCCGGCCAACATTGTTTATTTTTAAAGTCACTTCTTCCCAGCCGTCTGAGCTGTTATGTGGAACTGTCCTGTGCCTCCATAACAGTAATTGGGTTTTTGGGCTGGGAACAGAATGTCCCTGAAATCCAATGCTGACTTTTCCTCAGAATTGCCCAGAACAGCAAAGATGGAGGAAGTCAATGTGCAAAGGACTTTTAAAGCATAATAGCAAAGGAGCTACAGTTTAGTGAATTTACATTTATGGCCCAAGTGATATCAACCTTTTGTGTGTGTGAGTTCTGTCTTAATTGAGTCACAGAGCAGCCACATGGCTGGTTCTTGTCACCTGGCGAGGCCAGTCCCTCACTCCGATGGCCTTTCCTGGCTTCTGACTTGATTATATTTTAAATCAAACCACTCATCACAAATGAGTGATCTTATGACCATTTTTTCCTCTCCCAAAAACATTTAGAAGGAGGTACGGAGTCAGAATCCTGAGCCCCTGTTTGCCTGCAGCCAGCTCCTGTGCTTTGTCGGCTTCCTGGGATTCATGCCCATCCCAGGAAGAAGCTCCTGTGAGATAGTCCTGGTGGAGGGCCTGTGTCTTCAGCGTGTCCACACCCTGGCCTTGCCTGCTTAAATGAGTAAAGGAGTCCCTTCTCTTTTGTCTCTGAGACTCTTGGGCTCTGTTGCCAGGCTGGAGTGCAATGGCACGATCTCAGCTCACTGAAGCCTGCTGGCCTCAAGCAGTCCTCTTACCTCAGCCTCCCAAGTAGCTGGGGGCGTGCGCCCCCATCCCCAGCTAACTTTTATATTTTTGTAGAGGTGGGTTTTCGCCATGTTGGCTAGACTGGTTTTGAACTTCTGAGCTCAAGCGATCATCCTGCCTTGGCCTCCCAAAGTGCTGGGATTACAGGTGTGAGCCACTGTGTCTGGCCATCCCTGGGACTCTAACTCCTGTTGGCTTGTCCCTGGGACTTGGGATGGGCTGTCTCCCTCCTGGGCTGCCCTTGACTCTGGTTTGTATTTAGTTTTGAATCAAGGCAGCCACCATCCTCGTAGCACAGGGAGGACATTTTTGCCCTCATCAGTGGTACTTTCTCTTGACTGTGCTTTTTTTTCCTTCTCTATAGATGACTTTTCTCCACAAATGGCCTTTGATTTTATTCATGAGATCATTCCCAACATAGTGAATACTTTGTTTTGTTTTTTCTCTCAGGTGACTCTGTCAACCACCAAATACTAACTCTGGCTTCCTTTCCTCTTTTTATCCTTCCTCTTTGCCCACCTTCTTTTCAACTTAGTCCATTTTGTTTTCTTGTGTACTAAACTGCATGTATTTAAAGTACACAGTTTAATAAGTTTTGATGTATGTACACCCCTATGAAACCATCACCACAATCAAGCTAATGAACAGTCATCACCCCCAGAAGTTTCTTCGGACCCCCTCCTGCTGCCCATCCTTCCACCTCCATTCCCATCCTTAGGCAACCACGGCTCTGTTTTCTGTCACGATAGATTATATTTCCTAGAATTGTATAAATGGAATCATATAGTATGTACATTAAAAATTTATTTAGTTTCTGAAAATTGCAGTACAATACATATAAAATTTACCATCGTAACCATTTTCAAGCGTGCAGCTATGTGACATTAAGTACGTTCACATTGTCATGCAACCATCATCGCCATTGAGATCGAGGACTTTTAAAAGTCTGTTCTCAAACTGAAACTCTGTACCCATGAAACAGTGACTCCCCTTCCCCGTGCTCCCAGTCTTTGGAAACCACCATTCTACTTTCTGTCTCTATGAATCTGACTCTCTGGGTACCTCATGTAAATGGAATCATATAGTAATTTTTGTTTGTGTGCCTGGCTTATTTCACTTAGCATAATGCCTTCAAGGTTCATCCATGTTGTAGCATGTGTAGAATGTCCTTCCTTTTTAAGTCTGAATAATCCATCGTATGGATATACTACATTTTGTTTATCCATTCATCCATTGATGGACATTTGAGTTCCTTCCACCTTTCAGCTATTGTAAACAGTGCTGCTGTGAACATGAATGTACAAATATTCAGAGTATATACTCTTTTTAGTCTGATTTCTTTCAGGATAATTATTTTTAGGTTCAACCGTGTTATGTATATGAATAATCAATTTCTTTTTTATTTTTTGTCTATTCATCTATTGATTAATATTGGGTTGTGTCTGCCTTTTGGCAGAACACAAATGGTCAACAAATATGACCATTTGTGCTATGACCATTTGTGTACAAGTCTTTGTGTGGATGGACACTTCATTTCTCTGGGTGAATAACCTAGGAGTAGAATAGCTATTCCATATGTCAGGTGCCAGATTGTTTTCCAGAGTACTGTATGCTTTACATCCCCACTAGCATGTGTCAGTTCCAGTTGATCTTCATCCTAACATTTAGTGTTTTATTTTTTTTTTTAATTAACATTTTTGTTTTAAGATGGGGTCTTGCTATTTTGCCCAGGCTGGTCTCAAACTCCTGGGCTCAAGTGATCCTCCTGCCTCAGCCTCCCAGAGTGCTAGGATTACAGGTGTGAGCCAGTATGCATGGCCAGCATTTGGTGTTTTAAATTTAGACATTTCTTGGCCGGGCGCAGTGGCTCACACCTGTCATCCCAGCACTTTGGGAGGCCGAGTTAGGTGGATCATGTGAGGTCAGGAGTTTGAGACCAGTCTTGCCAACATGGTGAAACCCCACCTCTACTAAACATACAAAAATTAGCTGGGTGTGGTAGCACATTGCCTATGAGCCTGCTACTGGGGAGGCTGAGGCACGAGAATCTCTTGACCCCAGGAGGTAGAGGTTGCAGTGAGCTGAGATCGCATCACTGCACTCCAGCCTGGGCGATAAAGCGAGACTCTGTGTCAAAAAAAAAAAAAAAATTAGACATTCTTATAGGTTCAGTGTGGTATTTCACTGTGGTTTGAATTTGCAGTTCCCTAATAAGCAATAATGTTGCCCTTTATATTTTCTTTGATGAAGTGTCAGTGGAAATATTTTGTCCATTTAAAAAAATTGGGTTGTTTTCTTATTATTGAATTTTGAGAGCTTTCTGCATATTCTGGATCTGAGTACTTTATCAGATATATAATTTGCAAATATTTTCTCCCAGTCTTTGGATTGTCTTCATTTTCTTCACATTGCATTTTGAGTAGCAGAAGTTCTTTATTTTGATGAAGTGCAGTGTATCAGTTTTTTTTTTTTTTTTTATGGATCATGTTTTTGGTGTCATATCTAGGAAATCTTGGCCTAACTCAAAGTCACAAAGATTTTCTCATATGTTTTCTATTAAAAGTTATATAGTTTTAGGTTTTATATTTAGGTCTGTGATTCATTTTAAGTTATTTTTAGTATATGATGCAAGATACGGCTTGAAGTTCCTTTTTTGTGTGTGTATGGATGTCTGGTTACACCAGCATCATTTGTTGAAAGTACTATACTTTCTTCACTAAACTTTTATATGTTTCTGCCCCTTTCCTTCTGCTTCTTTGCATAGTAAGCCTCCTGTATCCAATAATCTTCTCCTGCTTTGTTACCTGTCAAGCACATTATTCCCTTTTATTTTGCCCTGTGCCTTCCTTCTTTGTCTTCAGTTCCACCCAGTCCTTGTCTTCTACTCTTGAGCTGACATCAGCAGTTTGATTTCTGCCTTTATGAATACAGTGGCTTTCTCACAAGCTATGGACAACTTCCTTGGGGTTAGAGTGAGTGGTTTGTCTTTAGGTTTCCCTTTATTGATCTCCTCTGATATTTGATGCCATCAACTGTCCCTTTTCGTTGAAACACATGTGTTTGGCTTCTGTACTTTCCTGATTCTCTTCCTCCCCAACGATTAGTCTTTCAGCCTCTTTCTTAGGCTCGTCTTGTTTCCACCCCTTAAACGTGGGTGTTCTCAAGATTATATCTATAATCAGCCCTTTCTTCTTTCTGCAGTTTTCTCCCTTGGAGAGCTCATCCATTCCCAGAGCCTGAAGCCATACATCTGTGATTCACTCTGACCTCTGTTCCATGCTCTCTACCACTCCCTGTGTTTGGTCCTAGTTTAATTTGGAGTTTAGTTGTCCTAATGTTCTGTAGATCTACCAGCTTCCTGACCTCCTTTCTCTAGGAAGAGTTCTACCATTTTCCTCATTGCCCAAGCTCAGGGCACCTTCTTCCCTTCTTGCTTGTCCAACATGCTCTAAATCATGCTATCACTGTGATTTCCCTTGATATTCTGAACAAAATGAGCACATCCTTAGGAAGCAAGACCTATGAAGTAGTTTTTTTTTCTCTCTCTCTCTTTCTGTATTCTTTTGGAGTGGGAGTGGGAGAGTGGAGGCGGCAGGTGGTCCATGTCCAACTTCCTGCCTGAGCTGGAGCAGGGGTCTGGAGGTAGGTTCTTGTGGCTACTGATGCAGAACAGCGACTCAGGAAGGTGTCACTCAGCTTAGACTAAATCATTCTTTGGAGACAGTTCCCACATCTAAGTGGAGTTTTATTTCACCCTGATGTTAACATTAACTGTGGCTCTGGGTGATGATCAGGAAAGCTGAAGAAGCTTCTGTCAGTGCCAGCAACATTGAGAAGTATACCATCATCATTTGTGAATTAAGTGTAAGACAGAATTACATCACAGTTACTATCTCTCCGGCGCCTCGGGCAGGTGTTCTGGGGGCTCTGTGGAAAGCCTCTAGTTGGGTCAGTAGTCACTCTCCACATCTCCTCTGTGGTCCTCAGGAGTGACCACAGACAGACTGATGAAAAGGCTGCCCTGGCTCTTAGAGGACTTGCCACTGTTCGTGTTCACTGTGTGCTGCACAGACCAGGAATTAATTTCACCTTCTGCCTCCTAGACTGTTGAAATTGGGACAGGCAGGCAGCCGTGCAGCAAAGGAAATGAGAGAAGCCTATTAAGGCCAAGGAGAGTGGAGGCTGAAGGCACATGGGAGTAGACTACAGTCATGCCAGTGAGTATCAGGAAGCTGAGTACTCTGTGGGGAAGCCTATGTTCAGCTACCAAGTGTGGTGGGTGCAGGCGGCGGCCTGACAGGTGCATTACAGCCTGAAGAACTGGGGTGAGGCCAGAATTTGGCTCAGCCACTTAGGGTATGTGACTATAGACCATTCCTTTAGCCTCTGGGAGCCTCCATTTCCCAGAGATGACAATTTCCAAGGGTGTGGTCAATTCTGTGTGCAATCCTGTGTGGCCAGACAGAGGTGCCCCTTGCTGATGGCCTGTCCCTTTTTCTTATTCCCTTCTAATTGATGTCATATGTCTCTTGTCTTCATGTGAACTTGATATCACCTAAGATCCATGGCTTTGAGGAAGGCTAATGCAAGGATGGTGTTTCAGTTCATTTGGGCTGCTGTAACAGAATACTTGAGAGCAGGTGTTTATACAAAATTTTATTTTCCTACAGTTCTGGAGGCTGGAAAATCCAAGATCAAGGCTCTGGCAGGTTCAGTTGTCAAGTGAGGGCTCTCTGCTTCTAAGATGGGCCTGATGCTGTGTCCTTTGGAGGGGTGGAATGCTGTGTCCTCACGTGGTGACAGGGACAGAAGGGGAAGAGAGCTGGATGCTGCGTGAAGCCTGTTTAATAAATGCCTTAATCTAGTCATAGGGGAGGAGCCCTCATAACCTAATCACTTCTTAATACCGTCACATTGGCCATTAAGTTTCCACACCTGAATTTTGGAGGAGACACATTCAAACCATAGTAGATGGGAAACATACGGAAACTTTCTACAGAAGACCTTCGTTACAGTGTTTGTTGGCCTGGGGCAGGCTACTCAGGCTCGTCACTTAAAGAATTATTTTTATTGTCTTCCTCTGGAGACTTTTGGTTTTGTCAGGTGAACGTTGTGGCTGTCAAACTTGCACGGACCATCCCATGCTGAGATGGGACTTCAATAAGTGCGTTAACAGATAGGTATCAGGTCTTCTTCTCCTACCAGGCCTGCCCCTAGGGAATGAAATGGCCTCATGGCGAAGCATCTCTTGGTTAAGGCTCTTCTAAGGCAAGAACTAATTGCTTTTCCTTGGCAGCCCAAGTAAATGTTCTCTGTGAGAAATGACTTTCTGACATTTGTTTCATTGTGGCTGTACTTACCAAAAAACTTTTATATAATTCACTACAGAGAATTCTCAAATGAATGTAATGAACATTGCCAGAAACTGGGCTGGATTTCTGAGGCATTGTTTTACTTACTTATTTTTTGGATTTTCAGTCAAATCATATAATCATGTTTGATGGAGTATCTAGTTCTGCCAGTTAAAAGGGTAATAGTATGGGGATTGCTAATTTACACATTAGTCAAAAATACTCCTTTGAAACACTTTTTAAGGGAGGCAATAAGAAGTGACTATTATGGCTTGAAGTGAGATACGCAGACAGCCCCCTACCCAAATGTCAGATGTAAACTAACAAAGCATGGTCACACCCTGGGCATTGGAAGGACCTGGTTGGCCAGCCTGGGGCCTAGGTTTTGGGGCATCCCTGCCAGCCATCCAGCCACCCTCAGAGCAGGCGTGCCTGGAGGATCTTGGCCCATTTATATGCAGAAGAGGATCAAATTGGCTAACACCAAGGCTTTATAAATAGTAGGACTGTTTCTCCAGCCTGTCTTCATTCTGTTCACAGCTAAAATTTCCTGGCAGCTTGTAACTAATGAGAACGGAAAAGTACTGTTTGCAGAGATTTCAGCTAGCTGACTTGAATGCTCCCATGATGCTTTGTCACTGATTGTTGTACTTACTGCTCTCTGGGGTGGCCATTCCCTTCCAAGTTGAGCTGGGTCTCAGGTAATGAAAACAGCAACTCTTTGACCAAGACCCTAAGATGGTCACAAGGAAAGCCCATTTTGTCCTCATGAGAGTATGACTACACACAGGCTCTCTGGCTGAGAACTGTGACACCCAGAGGTCACAGGCTTGGCTAAGGATGTCTATAGGACTTGAATAGTCCAGCCTCATGTGTCAATTGGGGATAATGTTTGGACTGGCATAGACCCATAGGTAAGTGTGCAGTAATGTCAGCTACAGCTAATAGGTTGTCTTACCTGAGCTCTGCACTACTTCTGCAATGGAAGTGTTGTTTCCCTGACTTTACTGATGAGCAAAGCGGAGGCTTAGAGACACAAGGTTGTATCACCAACTAGTGGCTGGGCAGGGATTTTTGACTCCAGAGTCTGTGTCCTTAAGTACTGGTTTCGGTTCTCCTTTATCTGGAATTCTTGAAAGATGTACCTTGCATTAATCAAATCAGACACGTAAAACCTCTTTGCCTTGGTTTTTCACTTTCTCATTAGAGAACTCATTGCTTCATAGAGCTTTACATCAGCTGAAAGTTGTCGTAACGGATTTCCATGCAGTGTGTGTGACTGTTTGTGTTGTGTTCATTTCTGTCTAGATACACCTTCCACTGTGCACACCTGTGTGCACACACACAACCCACCCCTCCTCCCCTCCAAAAACAAAACAAACAGGAAAAAGACCAAAAACAGTCATTGCGGATGTGGAGCAACCTGCAGAGACCTTGTGAGGCAGATGACATTGGAGGTCAGCAGTTGAGAAGGGGCAAGCACCTGGTCAGAGGGAGGAACCTGTGCAAAGAAATGATACCATTAAAGGGATGCTGATATTCCTGTGTTCCTAGGGGAAGGGAGTGAACAGGGATGGGGCTGGCAGGGACCACACTGTGCATGTCTCTGCCCTGCCAAGACCCTGATTCATGCTAAAGAATTGGGGCTTATCTTTAGAAACTGGGGCAACTTATCTAACTCAAGAGTGTTTGCTCAGATTTGTCAGAAAGTTAATAGGCAGCAGTCAGTCAGGGTGGACAAGGTAGGGGATGTAGAAAGGATACATACCAGGCAGCTGTTGCAGTTCAGGGGTGCATGTGCGGAAGATATAGAGATAGCACTGTGTTCTTTGGAGTGTAAGGGGCAGGCAGCAGGAAGGGTCAGCCAAAGGAAACCAGTGAGTTGGAGGAGAGGGAGAACAGGTGGAGGTGGAGCAGAGGGAGAGCCTGGGTAGTCCAAGGGTGGGACATTCATGTCAGATGTTGTGGAGGTATCAGATGGACAGAAATTCAGAAAGGCAAGTTTGGTTATGATACTTGGAAGTCATTTGTGATTGGCAGAGATTTCACAGTGGGGCATATTGGAAGGTAAGGTGGGAAGAAACTGACTCAAGATGTTTCGCTGGGAATAAAAGGAAGAAGGCAGCAGCCTGAACAGAAGGCTGGTTGAAAGAAGAGTTGTGAGTCCTTGTGTTTGACTGATTTTAAGGAAGAGTGAGGCATGAGGCAAGGTATCAGTGGGTAAGAAGGGCTTGGGGATCCAAGAGACCAAGTGATACTTACGGCACAGGGTCTCACAGAGGGGAGTGGGAGCTTCTCCCAGGCCTACAGGACTCAGCATTACTGATAGTGGGTGCGTGCTAATTAACGTTAAAGTTGGGGTGTTATGTAAGTATTCAATTTGTAGAGGAGTTTTGCTCTGTCAAAGTAATTCTTTGCTTTACCAAAAGGACTTAGTGTAAGATTCTATTAAATAGCAAACTCGAGTTTGTTGAGGTTTTCTCTTTGTGAATGTATATAAATGCTGCACTTGTGTGAGGCTTCTCAGGGATTGGGCCCTGTCTCCCAGCCAGAAAAGCTTTCTGTTCTTTACATCCACCTTCCCCTGTCCCCAGGCCTGGGACACCTCGGACAGGTCTTGGAGGGAGCAAACCTTTGTGATTATCTGGATGCTTTCTCAGAAAGAAGAGGGGCAGAGGGGCTGCTTTACTTTTTCTGGCTTTCTCTTTTTAGATTTACAGGCCAAGGAACAGGTGATAGGATGCCTCCTATCCTATCATCTGTTGATAACCTGTGAGATGAGAAGGTTAAAGTGGCGGGCAGGGACCCTGAGTCTGTAGCCCTCCTTGCACTGGCCTGAGCCTTCTCATTCCAGAAATTCTGTTCTCAATACAGCAAACCTTCGGTTTTGCTCATAGAAAAAGCTCTAGCCTTTTCACATGATAGCGTCTTTTGAAGCTGAGAGGTATCCAAATGCATTAGTCTTAGATGAACACACCTGGAATCTCACTTTTATGAGAATTTCATAGACTATACTCTTGAATTCCAGTTGTACATTTTTGCTTGCAAACACAGGCATTTCAGAGTATAATGAGAGGAGGCTGGTGCTCATAAAGAAGACTGACTTTACAGTAAACCACCTCCCAGGAGAACTGAAGATGGGGCTTGAGCTGAGGTGGGGTCTCTTCTCCACTATCCCGAGCAGCACCTGGGCCCCAGGTCTTCACCTAGACAGTCAAGGACCTCAGCCTAAACAGCATCCAGCTCTTAGAAGTCCTGTGAAATTGGGCCAGGCACTGTGGGTCACGCCTGTAATCCCAGCATTTAGAAGGAGGCTGCGGCAGGTGGATCACTTGAGGCCAGGAGTTCGAGACCAGCCTGGCCAACATGGCGAAACCCCGTCTCTACTAAAAATACAAAAATTAGCTGGGTGTGATGGTGCATGCCCGTAATCCCAGCTATTGAGGAGACTGAGGCAGGAGAATTGCTTGAACCCGGGAGGTGGAGGTAGCAGTGAGCCAAGATGGCGCCACTGCACTCCAGCCTGGGCGACAGAGCGAGACCCCATCTCAAAAAAAGAAAAGAAAAAAGAAAAGAAAAAAAAAGATTTCTTGTAAAATTGAAAACAAAATTCAGACTTTGGCTACTTGAATCTTGTTTAATGTAATAGGAAAGCTGATAATTTAAAGGTAACAAGTTGTGGAATGTCTTCTTTAAGATTAGCATGCAGTCTCATTGTACCTGTTACCTGTTCTTTTTTTTTTTATATTGAATGTGTTCAAAGCTCATCCCACCTGTATGCAGAGTGTGTTAGAAACTGTGCTGGATGTGGTTGTTCTCTTTCTAGAAGGTAGGGCTCCCATGACAGCCATATAGGTTCTCTTGGTTGCATAAGTAAACATAAATAAACCAGTAAACAAAATGCCTGCTTTCTGTGTGAATACGTTGTCATTTGATGTCATGGTGTTAAGTATGAAGGTGCTATAAAGAAAAGGGGAGGCCAGGTGCGGTGGCTCACCCCTGTAATCCCAGCACTTTGGGAGGCCAAGGTGGGTGGATCACGAGGTCAGGAGATCGAGACCATCCTGGCTAATACGGTGAAACCCCTTCTCTACTAAAAATAGAAAGAAAAAAAATTTAGCCAGGCGCAGTGGTGGGCGCCTGTAGTCCCAGCTACTCGGGAGGCTGAGGCAGGAGAATGGCGTGAACCCGGGAGGCGGAGCTTGCAGTGAGCCGCGATAGCGCCACTGCAGTCCGGCCTGGGCCAAAGAGTGAGACTCTGTCTCAAAAAAAAAAAAAAAAAAAAGAAAAGGGGAGAGTCCGCCCCTCTTGTAGTTAGGGAGGAAGTTCAATTTTGTTAAAGACTTGAGGGTAAGAGGAAAGTAATTCAATGAGTGAGCTGAGACAGAAGATGAATGAGGCGAGGTGAGCCTCCATCTTGTCACTTGTCCCCTCCCATCTTCAGCCCTCGTGGGGCTGAAGTGATTCAGCCTGAGTGTCCTTGGCCCTGCCCTGGGTCCCCCAGGTGCATACTCTCCTGCATGTGCTTACACCCTCAGGCTTGCCTGCAGTCTCCATGCTGGTGCCCCCAAACAGCCCCTGGAACTACTTCTTTTGGCATTCTGCAGTCTACTCTCCATGTGGCAGCTGTGCATTGACCTTTTAAAACAACCAAATAACATTGTTCCCTGTCCCAACCTTGCAGTGATTTGCAATCACTTTTTAATTAAATTCTGAACTCTGTTTTAAAAAGCCCTATGCTGATCTTGGCTAGTAAGATAGCTTCTCCTCTTTGATGATAACAATATTATTTGTATTAATAATCTACATCAGTAAAAATATTAATGATGGTGACAGTGATGACTGCAGCTAACACTTACTCTGAGTCGTACACTGTTCTGAGCATTGTATCTATTCACTCATTAACCCCAGGAACATCTTTGAGGAAGGTACTCATGTGCTCCCATTTTGTAAGTTTTATAAATGTGAAAATGGAGATATGAACCCAAGGGCACAGTGAGTTGGAGGCAAAGATGAGCCCTGAGCCAGTGCTGTGGCTGTGGATCAAGGAGTTTGTGTGGGACACTGTCTAGGCTGCTCATCTCTGTGGTCTTCATAGCTGGCCCTGTCTTGCCATTTATCAGAGTTCTGTGTGAATGTCCAGCTCCTCCCAGGGGCCTTCTCTGTTGACCAGAGGCTCTGAGAGCCACTTAATCACTTTTGATTAACTCCAAGTTTGTAAGTCCCACGTTGTTCCCATCTGTGTCCTGGGACCTACAACAGTAAGGTTACCTGGGCCAGTACTCTTTGAGTGGCAGGTGGGGCCGGCTCTGATGTGTGGGCTAGCTATGGAGCCCTGACCTGAAGCCTGGGATCCAAGTGTGGGTAGTCCTAGCTGCGAGGGTGGCACAGAGAGTCCAGAGACTGAACAGAGGCTGGGCAGGGCGGGTAGACATGGCGAGTCTTTGACTGGGCTGTATGTAGGGTTTCTGATGCTTCCATACTCCAGGCAGAATAAATTGGTGCTATTGTTGGCGGGAGCAAAATTGGACAATGTGGAATTCATTTCTCCCTGGAAGACTGGGTGGTTCTTGGTACTGAAAGTCCTCCCAGGATATAATATCTTCAAGAAAACAAAAGATAACCTCACTAGTCATATCAAAGTAGTTTAGTCTAAGAATCCCTAAAAATCCAGTGTTGTCATGCTATGAGTAAAGCTAAGAAACCAACATGACAGTGCCCTCCACATACTGACTGTTGTGAAAACACGTCTTGTTATTTTTGGAAAGTCCTCTTGGTAGACCACTAACATTTTCGCCCCCAAAACAGCAGGAGCAGTAAATAACAACCTTCTAGATAAATCAAATGGGAAAGCATTGCCAGAATTTGCTATATCAAGTGCTGTGAATAGTGGCACCCAGCAGGGAAATTATGGAGAGAAAAGTGCTTTTATTTGCTTTTCAAAGTTGGTGGGACTGTGGGAATATGGGAGATGGGAAGAAAAGGAGGAAAAAGAGAAAAATACTGTCATCTTGAGTTGAAAATGGGTGCTAAACCTTTTTGCTTAGGACTGTGATTCAGTATCAAGGGAAGGAAACTGTTAACTCAGGTATTACTAATAGCCTCATGTTGGTGAGAGAGAGAGCTCACATGCAAGAAGACTAGGTAAGAGCTTATGAGTCTCACAACAGGCTAAGAATTGGGATCATTATTGTTCCCATTTTATAGATGAGGAAATTGAGGCTTTAATGAGATAGAGGAATTTGCTCAGATAACACACCTAGTATGAGCTGAAGCCCAGGATTCAAACTATGGGCTGGCTTCAACCCCATGGTCTGAATTGTCACAGCTGCAGACTTAAACCTCCTCCCCTTTCCCTCTCTTTGAGTGTTAGTTGGCATGATATATTTGTGAAAACTAACTAAAACCAGAAAAATCGAAAAAAAAAAATCCTGTGTCAAGTTAGTAATAATGATCACAGGCTTTTTTTTTTTTTTTTTTTTCAATTTTTCTGGTTTTCTCACTAGTTAGTGTCCCTTTTCTATTCCAGAATTAGGTCCAGGAGTCACCTTGCATTTAGGCATTATGTTCTCGTCACCTTCAGTCTGTGGCAATTTCCATCTTCTTTTGATTTTCATGGACGTTCACACTTTTGAAGAGGCCAGGTATGTTGTAGAATGTTCCCAATTTGGGTCTATGTAGTGTTTTCTTATGATTAGACTCAGGGCTATGGATTTGGAGAGGAATACCACAGAGGTGTCTTGTCTTTCTCATCATGTCACATTGGAGGTACATGATGTTAACATGAATTATTACTGTGACGTTTGCTTGGATCATGTGGCTGAGGCTGGTTGGCCAGGTTCCTCCAATGTCATGTGCCCGTTGTCCCCTCTCTGTACCCTGTTCATGAGAGCCACTAAGTCCAGCCCCACTGAAGGGCGGGGCATTAATCCTGCTTCCTAGGAGGATGGAGGAGTTTCAAATTATTTGTTAAATTCTTAGCATATGTTAAAACCACTACAAGGAATTGATAAATATTTTGGGGGAAGATACTGACTTAGAGATTATGCAAATATCCTGTTTCCTTAAGGTCCTACTGATGTTAGTTAGCATCATCAGTGGCTCTTGGCAATTATGTTTTAATGGCAATTTCCTATTTCCCTCATTCCTTCTACATTTTTAATTGGACTTCCATTAGGAAGATTTGTCCCCTTCCCTCATTTGTTCATTATAATTTATTCAGTTACTTATATCAGTATGGACTCATGGGTGGTTCATTTATTCTTTGCTACTGTATTATTTATTTTGCCCCCCACACTGTTCCAGCTCTGGCCATTGTGGCTTCTGAGTTCTTTGACATCTTTGCATCCCCCTACCCCCTCCCCAACTGTTTTTTTTTTTTTTAAGCACTTCCTTACTTTTTGGCACTACAGGATTCTCTGGGTTTATCTTGTATTTTCTCTGTTCCAGTCCTAGAATCAGCCATTGTCCAAAGGAATTGTCCAGGGAGCCCAATTCCCTTTATTGAATGGTATTTAGAAACCAAGATCTGGGCACTCAGAGGGCACGTGGCTCCTGCTTCTAGGCCCTGTCAGCAGACCAAGCCAGGACATGGATGTGTGTTTACTACCCCACTGTGACACATACCTCTTTTTTACCTCTCTACCTGGATGTATAGGAACTAAACATGAGCTGTCACCTGCATTTAACAACCTCTTTTAATAGGTGAGTTCTTTGTCATGGAGTAGATGTGTCCCTGACAAATTGTTGGCCAACAGAATCCTGTGTCCTCACTTCTGTTGTTGCTGTGGTTATGAGCCCCCAGTTTTTCACCTTCTTCCAATGATGATTGGTATGTCCTTCTTTCCCCCAGGCCACCCGCTCTCACTGCTCAGTGCTCACTCGCTACTCCTCCTCCTGCTGTATGTTTTTGAGTTAGTCATCCTCATGCACTGCTTGTAATTGCTGTTGTGGGCCCCTCTGTTAGTTCATTGCCTCACTGGCCTCCTCTTCACCGAGGTGTAGCAAGAACTTCTGTTCTTACCTCCTTTTCTATGAATGTGATAGGTTTTTATGGCCAGTGGCTTTTAAACTTTGGCTGCAACCTGTAGTTATAGTGAGAAATACATGTTAACAAGGCTTCCAGGTATGCACGTACCTGCATAGTGGCAGTTTCACAAAACAGAGCTTGCTCTTTTTCTGGCAGTGTATCTTGCGTATTTCATTCCATTTTATTCTGTTCTGCTCTGCTAAGGAGATTTTATACCTCCCCTTTGAAAAATACTGTTCTGGGGACTAAATCCTCCAGCTGTGTATAGAAGTCTACAGTCCCCTTCTCTTAGCACTCTCTTGATATGAGGGTGGGGTGTGGATTAGCACTGGGTATAGGGTGGGGTCAGAATTAGCACTGGGTGTGGGGTGGGGTGGGGGGGTCTTGATTAGGGCTGGTTGAGGACAGTCTAGGATTGGTGCAACGTCTACAAGGCCATGATTTTGAGGAAAGGGATTCAGAATCTAGGGTGTAAGCTGTGGATGAATTAGAAAGCTTCCAAGTTTTCTCTACTTCTGAAAAGGACATTTTTGAGAAATAATTGTGTCATTGGTATGCATCTTTTTTGATACTATAGGTACTATAGGTTTGAGTGTTAGGAGTTTTCTTTGGCCTAATTTTTTCTCACATGGGAAGTCTTTTGAGAATTTAAATAGTAAAGCTGGTCTTAATTTTTCTGATTTTGAATGAACAGGAAAATAAAATTGGGTAAAGACTAAGGTAAGATACTTACATAATTCTGAATTTTTTTTTAAGAGATGGGGGGGTCTCTCACTATGTTGCTTAGGCTGATCTCGAACTCCTGCCCTCAAGCAGTCCTCCTGCCTCAGCCTCCTGAGTAGCTGGGATTGCAGGCGTAAGTCACTACACCCAGCTTAGTTCAGAATTCTTATATTGACATATTTATGGCGTAGATTATCTAATTTTGTTTTAAAATATATATTTCACACTTAAATACTGCTAAAAAATTAGGAAGCCTCTTTCCCTCATTAAAATAACACAATTTAAGAAAAAACTCACTGTACAAACTTCCATTTTTACTAAGTTAAAGTAGTTTTATAGTAAATATACTGATTTTTGTTGATGTTGGCTGACCATCTGTCACAGATTGTCAAAAGTATTCCCTAAATTTGCATTTAAATCTATCAGAGTATTAGTGGGCATATTATCAGTGACTCCAAGTATCTTGCCTTATTTATTTTCAGTAAATATAGAATCATCTAGTTCTTTTTAACTGTAGCTACAAAGTTAATTTTAAAATGTGAAACACATTTTCAAATATACTTCTTAAAAGAATTTTTTATTAAAAGGAGCCTTCCTGACTAATCAAACAGTATCAGTGGGGCTGCCCCAACCCCTGTGGCCCCCACACAGGCCAGAGTCAGGTCAGTGACAGGGTAGTCCCTGGGGTCTCTCTCCTCTGTGTTCCTCAGCTGGACTTTAAATGGCAAATACAGAAGATCAGCAAAAGGCAAAAATTGGTTCTTTGAAGGAAAAAAAACATCAACATAGACGAACTTCTGGTACAACTTATTGAGAGAAGAAAAGAGAATTTACAAAGAAACAAAGGTCGAATGGTAATGGCCAGGTGTGGTGGCTCACGCCTGTAATCCCAGCACTTTGGGAGGCCAAGGCGGGCAGATCATGAGGTCAGAAGTTTGAGACCAGCCTGACCAACATGGTGAAACCCCATCTCTACTAAAAATACAAAAATTAGCCAGGTGTGGTGGCACACACCTGTAATCCCAGCTACTTGGGAGGCTGAGGCAGGAGAATTGCTTGAACCCAGGAGTCAGAGGTTGCAGTGAGCCGAGATCGCACCATTGCACTCCAGCCTGGATGACAGAGCAAGTCTCCGTCTCAAAAAAAAAAAAAAAAAAGAAAAGAAAAGAAAAAGGGGTAATAACAAGTAGAGAATAAAAAAAAAAATTATGAGAGCATATTGGTAGAAAAATGATGTAACTCTCTTTTAGACTTTAAGGAAGGAAGGAGTTCTGAGTATATAAAAATGTTAATGTGAATAAAGATTGGTGCGTTTGACTATATTAAAATGAAGAATTTGTGTTGACCAGATAGACGTCTTTAAAGTATGACAACAACTTATAACTAGAAAGAATTTGTAAACTGTAAACCAACAAATAATTCTTATCCACATATATAAAGAACTTCTACACATCAAAGAAATTACAGACAAAAATAGTGAAAGACATGAACTGGAATTTCACAGGTGATGAGACATATATGACCAATAAGTATATGAAGAGCTGTTCAGCCCCATTAATAAGCAGAGAAATGTGAGTTAAAGCTATATTGAGAACTATTTTTATATATATGTAATTGGCAAGATTGTATAAAGTCTGACAGTACAAAGCATGGATCCTGTAGTTCTGTAGCATGACCCACTTTGCTGGTGAGAGTAAATTGGGGCAATCCCTCTGGAAAACAGTTTGGCATTATCTCTTAAAGTTGTATATGTATATATCCTTTGACCTAGAAGTTCTGCTCCTAGTTGTATAGCCAAGACAAACTCTTTAGATTTTCAGAAGTACACAAAAAGGAGGGAATAGCATAATGAACGCCCACGAAACTTTCACCCTGCTTCATCACTTAGCAACACGACATGGTTGTTGTTTCATCTTTCTCCCTACTCTCAGACTTTTGGTTTTGTTTTTGATAGAACAAATCCCAGACATCATGTAATTTCACCCGTAAATACTTCAATAAGAAATAAGGACTTAAATTTAATATAATTATCTTATCTTACAAATTTGTAATTCCTTAAAATCATCTAATACCCAGTCTATATTCACATTTTCCTGATTGTCTCAAAAAATTTTTTTTTCTTCAAATTAGCATCCCAGCAAAGGTCTAAACATTGAATTTGATAGATCTTATGATTCTTAATTTAGGGTAGTTCCCCTTCTCATTTTTTGTCCCATGCCACTTATTTGTCCAAAAAACTTAGAACTTAGCCTGTTATAATTTCCCTGATTCTAGATCTGGCTGACTGTGTGCTCCTGGTTGTGATGGCCATGCTTCTCTGCCCCTCGTCTTTATTGTAAAGTGGTATTCAGACCTGTAGGTTGGAATGGATTCGAGGTCCTGTGTTGGGGGCAGGGGTACCCAATAGGCAGGCCCTCTCAGGAGGTACATGGCATGTGTGTCACAGATATTTGGGGTGTTCTGGATCCTTCTGTCACAGGTTCCTCCTCAGCTTTTCACCTGGTGCCCACCAGGAATGAATGAAAGTTGCCAGACTCATTGCCTTCATTACAGAAGATGGTGCAAGATAGTGATGTTCTCATTGTGTTTTACATTCTTTGCTTATTATCTGGAATTCTTATTTAGGGGCATGGCCTTTCTGAAATTACAGTTCCTATGGAACCATTTTATTGATGACTTTTCAAGTTGAGCTGTTCTCTGATCACCAAAGGTGACCCCTGGAGATTTCGTTTTATGAACTCATGGATTTTTCATATGCTACGTGCTTCAGTCCATTGTGGACTTTATTTATTTATTTCTGATTGTCCCGTCTTTGGCCAGCAGGGAGCCTTCTGAAATTGGCTCATGTGTCCTTTCAGCATGACCCTCCTGGTCTTTGACAGTTCCCCACTTGTAAGGAAGACGGCTAGGCTTACCGTGTGTGTTCTGGTCCCAGGTTGGGGACTAGCTACATCTCCAGGAACTCTGGCTCTCCTCTTGGTGAGTTAGCATTGTCTTTAAAGTAGGCAGGCTACTGTCATTGCAAGACCAAAGTGTGGTAGATGCTAAACAGATAACAATCAGGTATTGATAAAATTATTGATACTAGATTTTTAGAAAAATCTAAAAAAAGTGTAGAATTATTAGGCAATAAAGAAGTGTAGAATTACTAGGCAAAAGACATAACTTCTCTCTCCAAATGTCTCAGAGGGTTCAAGAATCATCCCATAGTCATAAAAGCTGCTCAGTGAGTTCTTTCCATAGCCAAAGACTTTCTAAAGGGAAAGCAGTGAGTGAGAAAGCAATACTGAGTGTCACGAGACCTTGTTTTAGTCATTTTAAATGGTTTGTTCCTCACAGCTACCTTTTGGGAGAGATGCTATTAGTGTTCCCATTTTATAGGTCAGGAGACCAAGGCACAGAGAGGCTGAGTGACCTAGTCACCGTTACCTGGTTGCTGTGCGGGGAAGCTGGGCTTGACCTCAGGTTGGACACCACGGACACACAGAGCATTCAGGGAAACTGCTTGACTGCTAGGGGACTGGCTTGGAGACATTGATTTGTAGGACATACTTGAGACCAGAGCCCGTGGCCTGGGGTGGCTGCTTGCTGCATTGGCATCAAACCTTTTGTGTGTCTGGCTGAGGTGGCAGGGTATCCACAGTTGGCCTGATATTGCGGGGCGGGGGGGTCACATCCCTGCTAGTAAAGAAGCATGAACTTAGAAATAATGCATCCACAACAATGAAAGGAGCCTGGCGGGTAGGGGAACCTCAGTGAGAGCTGGGCAGCAGGCAGGGAGGCACCACCCTCTAGACAGACGAATCTGGCAAGAGTTGCAGGAAGGCTGGTTAGTGTGAGGTGCTTGTCTGTGTGGAAGCCTGGGAGTAGTGACTGGCTCCAGCCTGTCCCTTTGTAAGTGAAAAGGTTGAAGGCTGCAGAGGCCAAGACCAAGGCCCAGGCTACGTCTGGGTTGCTGGCGTTGGGGCAGACCTGGCAGCTGGGGGCCCAGGGCTGGGGTCCAGGCATCGAGTCATTTTTGAGCACTGAAATCAGCATGAGTGGACGAGCTCTCAGGAGTGAACACTCCTAGGAAGATAAAACCGAGAAGTAGGAAGTGGGCCTGGCAGACCATGAGTTTTAGGCTTCAGAAGCAGGGCAGTGGGCCTCAAGGATGGGTCATTTTTATAATAATGCTTATTTTGTAAAGCTTTGAAAATGAAGAAACCCAGAAGAAAATTCACCGTATTTCCATCAGGTGGAAGAAATCTTGAGTTGAGATTGAGCATAGGCAGAGAAGAGTTGACAGATGAGGAGGAGGATTCATTTGTGGGAGCAGGAGGAAAAAGGGAGGAAGGAGTCATGACGACTCAATCATGGGCTACCTCGAGTGCCTTGCTGAGGCCCTGGCCTTGTCTCCTGGGCCGTGGGGAGCCATATGAGGTTGTTGAGAATAATGTAATCACAGTGGCATGTGAAGAAACTGAGAAGAGACGCAGCCATGGCTGCCATCCAGGTGTGGGATGTGCCAGGTCAGTGAGATGAGAAGAAAATTGATAAGAGACAGGTGAGAATTTCAAGGGAGGGAGTGAGCCATGTCTGCTGGTTGCCTCATACCCATGGCACGTACATCACACACATATATACTGCGTGCCCATACTATACCTTATGCACGCATATGCACACTGTGTGCATACATGCATACCACACACATGCACATAGCACACACACACTGCATGCCCACATGCACCACACACACATTGCATGCACATGTGCACCACACACATACACCACACACACAAACTGCACACACAGTACATGTGCCCACATGCACATGCAGGTACACATGCACCAGCCGCATGCATGTGGCACACACACATTGTATGCACACACGTACCCCACACACACATATAGTGCACACATACTTTTACCACACAGTGCACTGCACACATGCCACACACATGTACTATACACACACACACACATGTTGGCCTAGTCCATTTGGGCTACTATAACAAAATAGCATAGCCTGGGTAGCTTCTGTGAGAAATTTACTTCTCACAGTTCTGGATGTTGGAAGTCCAAGATCAAGGCACCAGAAGATTCAGTGTCTGGGGAGGCCCTGCTTCCTGATTCATGGACCTCTGTTTTCTTGTGGTGTCCTCCCATAGTGGAAGGGATGAGGAAGCTCTTTGAGGCCTCCATGTAAGGGCACTAATCCCACTCAGAGCCTCCACCCTCATGACCTAATCACCTTCTAAAGGCCTTACCTCCTACTGCCATCACCTTCGGGGTTAGGATTTCAAGATACACGTTTTAGGGGAACACAAACATTTCAGACCCTAGCACATATATGTACATTGCACCCAGATGTTGTGGGACCTCTCCTGAGGGGACAGTGAGGTCAACAGGTGGTGAGGTGTGATGACAGCTCTTACACCTGGGATAATGGAAGGAGATGAGGGTGACAGGGATGTTGTCATCTTTGCACAGAGTAGTGGCTTTTGCGCAATGTAGTTAAGGGCAATGTAGTTAAGAGTGTGAACATTTAAAGGGTAGACAGGATTGATTGCAAGAGACATGAAAGAACAGCTGTATTTGGGGTGGTGGAGAGGGGGTTGACAAACCGGGCCTCAATCACTGAGCCCCAGGGGGCGGGAAGTGGGGAGCAGCAAGCTTGACATTTCTGTGCAAACACCTCCGCTTTGGAATCACTGGCTGTGACTTGGGGAGCCAAACCTTGCCTTTAGTCAGGCAGTCAGTGCCTATCATAGGCATTCTCTCTCTGGAGAAGAGCTTGAGGTCAGCCCTTGTCTCATTGAATTATAAATCTATTATAGGTTTGGGGCTCTAGCTTCCTAGACAAAACTCTTCAGGTTAGGTCTTTGACCTCCTTTTACTCTTCATTTTACATACTTGCCACTAGCTTTTTGAAAATCAGAATTGTCTGATCCTGTTTTGTTTTAGAGACAGGGTCTCATTCTGTCATCTAGGCTGGAGTGCAGTGGTACAATCATAGTTCATTATAACCTTAAACGCCTGGGCTCAAGCTATTCTCCCACCTCAACCCTCCGAGTAGCCAGCACTACAGGTGTGTGCCACTATGTGTGGCTAATTTTAAAATTTTTTGTAGAGATGGGTCTTCCTACGTTGCCCAGACTGGTCTCAAACTCCTGGCCTCAAGTAATCCTCCTGTTTTGGCCTCCCAAATCGCTGAGATTGATTGCAAGTGTGAGCCTAGCCTAATCCTGTGGTTTTTAAAAACAAATGGAAGGAGGCTGGGCACGGTGGCCCACGCACGTAATCCCAGCACTATGGGAGGCTGAGGCAGGCAGATCACTTCAGGTCAGGATTTCGAGACCAGCCCGGCCAACATGGTGAAACCCTATCTCTACTAAAATATAAAAATTAGCTGGGAGTGGTGGTGCGCACCTGTAATCCCAGCTACTCTGGAGATTGAGGCAGGAGAATCATGTGAACTTGGGAGGTGAAGGTTGCAGTGAGCCGAGATCGTGGCACTGCACTCCAGCCTGGGTGACAGAGTGAGACTCCGTCTCAAAAAAAAAAAAAAAAAAAAAAGGAAGGAGAGAGGACCTTTTTGTTTCTAGTGGCAGCACTCAAACAGGCAGATTGGGTAGGTCAGTTTCCTGACCATGAGTCTCAGGAACCCGGTCAGAAACCTCACCTACTCAGGAACTGCTTGTCTGCATGACAGTGACTCCTGGTGGCAGTGCTGCTAGCTCTCCCTGTGCAGGTGACCCTGGTGCCTGGCTTGCCACACTCAGGAGCGCCTAGGCCTGCAGTCTGCCAGGAAGGGTCTGGCCTATCCCCAAGGAGACAGAGGGCCCTGCTACCCACAGCACCCAACAGAGCCTGTTCTGTGTTTTTCCTTTAACACATTTAGAACCTTGTTATCCCAGCTCATCAGGAGTGGGAGCTGCAGGGAGACCTACTCCATAATCTTCAACCTGACTGCTGACTCACTTTCCTACTCCCACCCTTGGTGCTGAAGCATGGATGCTCCCTCCCCTGCCTCCTACCATGTGCCCAGGCCTGCAGCTGCAGGGGTGACCAACAGTGGCACAGTGGGGGCCAGAGACACCTGCACTTGACAGGATGCTTATTTTTACATACTGTTGGCTGGAAATAATCAACCTTATTTAAATAGAATGTGCATTCAGAGCACTATAAAAAGCACCCAACAACTTGCAAGGGCTGTTTTAGGAGTGATTCTCCTGCTTCCTTTGGAGGGAATCTGCAGGTTCCATGCAAGAGGAGCCAGGCCAGGGCTACTGAGGACACGGCAGGAGGATGGGGTTAGGCAGGTTCTGTGTGATCAGAGCCCTTTCCAAAAGCATACAGCTTTACTGCAGCGTGTAGTGGCAAGGGTGTCAGATGTCCCCCCTCACTCGAAGGCAGAGACTGACAGCCTTTTGCCCTGGAGGAGGCAGAACCCATGTGGGCATCACTGGTGGTATAGGCCAAGTGACTGCACTGTTGCTGGCGGCAGCGTCCCCAAGGATATCCCCCGGCATTATACTCATTCTCCTTTCTTGAGAGAGCCGTTTCTTTTTCCCAACTTTTGAGGAGTCTTCATGTTTACTCCCTGATCTCTGCCAAGTGCTGGGGCCATGTTGGTCTTTTGTGTGTGTGTGTGTGTGTGTGTGTGTGTGTGTGAGTGTGTGTGTGTGTGGGTATTTTATTTATATATTTTCACAATTTTGACTTTTTTCAAATGGTAATGTATGTACAAAAGTGTCAATGAAGAGAAGTCTCCAGTTTCCAGCCATAAAGGTAGCTGCTGCTACCCTATTGTTCTTTTGGAGATATTCTCTGCATGTTTAAGCATATTTATGTCAGATATGAGTCTTAAAGCTGCTGTCAGTGCTCACCTAGAAGGATCCTGTGGAAACTTGGGGTCTGGGTGAGTCCCCCTCTCTGTGTCTGACTCCTTCGTACCCTGCTCCAAGGGTCAGGCTAGTGCTGCTGCCGTGGCCGTGGGACCGCACCTGGGTACAGGGGCTGCAGGGTGCATCACTGTCTCCTGTTAGCATTTTTTAAAGAGAACCATTTTTCTCTTGGCTATAAAAATGTCTACATATTCTAGGGAGTTTGGATAATACCTAGGTACAAAGAAGAAAGATTCCTGTTACTCTACTATCAGAGATAACCACAAAAATTTAATGTGCTTCCTTTCAGTCTTTTTCATATATATGTGCACACTTGTGTGTATATTATATATTTCTTCTTAGAAATTAAAGTCATACCATACTTAAAAGTAATAATACCCACTTTTCAGTTTTATGGTATATTGAAAGCTTTCTTCATATTACTAAATAGTCTTTGAAAATATGTTTATTGGTTGCATCTAAATCTTTCTTTTGCTGTCCATTTTCAACCTATTGAGCATTCTTTAGTTTCCTTCCCCCCACCCTCTTTTCTCATGTCATTCAGTCAGGAATCCTATGTAACTCCTGGTTTCTGTATGTCATCTCTCTGTCCCACAGTGGCCCGCCTGTGTGAGTAGTTTAAGGCTAACATCTCTTCCGATTGGTTAGTGCCTAGTCCTGCCAATATTCAGTGCTGAATTTTGAATATCACCTCTGATTGAAATTAGTTTCCTTAGCCACTGTGTTTGCTCAGGCTACCACAATAACGTACCACAAAATGGCCGGCTTAAACGAAAAATGTTGATTCTTCACAGTTCCTAGAGGGGAAGTCTGAGATCAAGGTGTCAGCAGGGCCATGTTCCCTCTGAAGGTCTTAGGGGAAGATCTTCCCTCTCCTCTTCCAGCTTTAGGTGGTGGCCTGCGGTCCTTGACGTTTTTTGGCCTATAGGCACATCACCCCATTGTCTCCACATGGCCTTCACGTCATCTCTCCAAAGTCCCCCTTTTAAGGACATCAGTCATAGTGGATTAGGGCCCACCCTAATGACCTTGTTGTAACTGCATCACCTGTGTAAAGACCCTGTTTTTATTAAGGTCACATTCTGAGGTCCTGGGGATTAAGATTCCAACATAGCGTTTTAGGGGACCCAATTCAGTTCTTAACAGCCACTATTGCCCAGCCCAGAGGACTCAGGCCGTGGTGGAGGCCCAGCTTCATGCATAGACAGTGTGCAGGGCATACCCACAGTAGGTAAATATGTTCTTGTCTTAGAACTCTGGCCAGAGAAAGCCTGCCCTCTTGAACCACCCCTTCCCAATCCTTGTCTTGTATGTGCATCTATATAGATGTAGATACATGTAGTTTTGTGTTTTCCTGTGTGAACCAGATCATAGTGCACACATTGTTTACAAGCCCATGGGGCCGTCTCCCTGCCAGGTTTTGTCTGCTAATCTCTGAGCAGGCCCTGGAGAAGTTGACTGAGATGCACCTACTGTTGGAATGTTCTGTGTTCATAGCTGCTGCCTTCTCCATGACTAGGCTTTTGTCTGTAATTTAGATCTTCAGTTCACTATAATGGACTTGTGAGTCTAAACTTACATAATGTTTATATTATTAGCATTGTTACATTTTATGGAAAATATTATATTTTATTTTTAACATCAGCTTCTTCTTGGTAGGCCTATCTGTATTTAGTGCTGTGTTTATAACAGGCCTATACAATAAGATTTGCTTGATTGAGTTTTTTAGGCTGTCTCATTAAACATACTGCTTATGTCTTAACAATGATGCATACAATTTTAATGCAGTCCTTTTAGCTGTGATTTATTTACTATGAAAAAATAGAGGCTAGGGGTTGGATTAGGATTGAAGTTTAGCAGCTGCAGGATGAAGTGGTTTTGCCTTTTTTTTTTTTGAGCAGAGTTTTGCTCTTGTTGCCCAGGCTGGAGTGCAATGGTGTGATCTTGGCTCACTGCAACCTGCAACCTCCGCCTCCCAGGTTCAAGCGATTCTCCTGCCCAAGCCTCCCAAGTAGCTGGGATTACAGGCATGTGCTCCCATGCTCAGCTAATTTTTGTATTTTTAGTAGAGACAGGGTTTCACCATGTTAGCCAGGTTGGTTTCAAACTCCATACCTCAGGTGATTCACCCGCCCTTGGCCTCCCAAAGTGCTGGGATTACAGGTGTGAGTCACCACGCCTGGCCTCTTTTTTTTTTTTTTTTTTTTTTTTTTTAAAGATTGACCCTGCCAAGCAGTTTATAAGAAACCAAGGACTCATGAGCCTAAGGATTTTATTAATAAGAGCCCTCTGGTTAATTAACAGGCCTGGATCTCAGTACTGTGAAGGCTGGCAGTACCAGCTATGGTTTGACTGTGGTCACAGACACTTTTCCTAAACTGTAGGATGCTGCACTGGGGTTTCTTTTCTGTAGCTTTGCCCTTGTCCTGTGATTTCCATGGGTACCATGTAGGAGGGTCAGAAAGGAAATCACCTGAAAAGAAGAGGAGTTTGCAGATGCCAGAGCCAGTGAACTTGAGATGAAACTTGAGTTGGTCACGTCTCCAGGATGTAGGAGTGGCATGGGCTAGGCTGCCCATGGGGTCCTCTGCTCAGGCATGGCTGACTGGGATCACATTTTTTATTCTTTCTCAGGATTCAGGAGCAGTTCCAGAAAAATCCCGACAGTTACAATGGTGCTGTCCGAGAGAACTACACCTGGTCACAGGACTATACTGACCTGGAGGTCAGGGTGCCAGTACCCAAGCACGTGGTGAAGGGAAAGCAGGTAATGGCCTTGGCGGGTAGGGGTGGGCGGCTTCACCCAAGCCAGTCAAAGCTGTTGCAGGGAAGACCCACCAGCATCCTTGAGGGAGTGTTGAGATCGGCTTTAGGATGTGAGGTGTGTTCCTTCTCCTGCCCTCGGAATGAGCTGAGCACACCATCCTTGCTCCCCTTATTCTGTTTGTGAGGTTCTCCCAGCTCTTCTGCAGAAACCTCCCTTTGGGGATGGTGAACCCTGTTCACACTGCTTCCTGAGAGAGAAGCCCACACATCTGATGTCTTCACCTCTTTTATAAATACAGCCATAGACTCTCCTGGGGTTCCTATTGTAGATGGCCAGCTTCTCAGTTTTCAAGGGAATACTCAAACATTATTACCTTGGTGAATTCTCTTTTTTCCTAAAGATTAAATCTGCCTTCAGTTTCCCTAAGAAAAGTCCAGTCTACTAAACGCACAGTGATAGCTAACATACATTCACATAGCATCTGTCATGTGAGTTTCCTGGGCTTTGCCAGCCCAGGGTCTAATAAACTCAAATTAGACAAAATGACACAGTGGGTAGCACCTCCCCGTGTATGGTGATGAGCCATGCATCACAGAGATGAAAGGTTTATGATTTAATTCTCCACAACCTTTAATCACAGGAGAGAGCTCTAAGACTCTGCAGTTCTCTCAGGGCAACAACATGGCTGCACAGGAGGGATGGAGGGAGGGACAGGCCCACCTCATCCCAGCGTCCCCACTTGCTTCCCTTGCTATTTTTTTTTTTTTTTTTTTTTGAGACGGAGTCTCGCTCTGTCGCCCAGGCTGGAGTGCAGTGGCGGGATCTCAGCTCACTGCAAGCTCCGCCTCCCGGGTTCACGCCATTCTCCTGCCTCAGCCTCCCAAGTAGCTGGGACTACAGGCGCCCGCCACTACGCCCGGCTAATTTTTTGTATTTTTAGTAGAGACGGGGTTTCACTGTTTTAGCCAGGATGGTCTCGATCTCCTGACCTCGTGATCCGCCCGCCTCGGCCTCCCAAAGTGCTGGGATTACAGGCGTGAGCCACCGCGCCCGGCCTCCCTTGCTATTTTTTTATTTCCTCCATTCACATAGGTGGCATGCATGTGCTGAGGATAAGCTTCCTGATCCCCACACCCTCTTTTCTAAGGTTGACTTGGAGTCCTCTAAGGGCATCCCATCCCTGCCGGGGCCAGCCACCTGGTGTCACTCCCTGTGCCTCTGTTACTGCTTAGCGGCGTGATGGGTAGGTCTGTAGTTTGTGCACTGATACCAACCATTCTCCTTTCCCCAGGTTTCTTTTATGCCTCCTCAGGGAACAGGTGTCAGGCTGTGGGCCTTTGTTCCCCTCAGCAACAAACACAAAATTTATTTTTCTTCAGCTACAAACACCCGGTCACCCCCCTTTAAACTACATCAGGTCATGGGTGAGACCCATTGAAGCCCCATCCAGTCCTGAGAGGCAAAGCAAAGAACCCAGGTCACAGCGATGAAGTGGACGGCCAGGCCTGTGTGCTGTGGGGCTCTTCCATGGAGCAGGGAGCCATGTCCTATAAGTACCGCATGCTAACCGATTGCGCCACTGGAGCCACACCATGTCATGATGTACCTGTAACATTCGCAACTTGAGTTTCAAACACTAAAGTTTCTGAAACCTCCATCTAATGAGTTTAAGTGAGTAGACGTTTAATCTTTTTTAATTTTTTGATAGAGATGACCTCATTCTGTCACTCAGGCTGGAGTGCAATGGCATGATCGCAGCTCACTGTAGCCTTGAACTCCTGGGTTCAAGCTATTCTCCCACCTTAGCCTCCTGAGTAACTGGGACTTCAGGTGCTTGCTATCATGCCTGGTTAAGTTTAAAAAAAATTTTTTGTAGAGATAGGGTCCTGCTGTTTCCCAGGCTGGTCTTGAACTCCTGGCCTCAAATGATCTTCCCACTTCAGCCTTCTGAGTAGCTGGGATTGCAGGTGTGAGCCATTGTTCCCAGTGGAAGTTTAATCTTTTAGTGGGAGAGAGATGTCTACTCAAGGAATTGTGATAAGAATAACATTATCATAGGTTGTTGTAAATAGATAATTTCCACTTTAAAAAATCTCAAGTAACAATGCAAAATGGGACATTACATAATTTAAATCCATAATATAAAAAAATTTGATATATGCCAGAAACTGTATCCATGTTTCCTTCTTCATGAGAACCTGCAACCTGTGAAGTAAGTAATTTCATTCTATTTTGTTGTAAATTTCTTTTTTTAAATTTTTATTTTACTTTAAGTTCTGGGATACATGTGCTGAACATGCAGGTTTGTTACATAGGTTTACATGTGCCATGGTGGTTTGCTGTGCCTATCAACCCGTCATCTAGGTTTTAAGCCCCGCATGCATTAGGTATTTGTCCTAATGCTCTCCCTCCCCTTTCCCCCGACCCCTTGGCAGGCCCTGGTGTATGATGTTCCCCTCCCTGTGTCCATGTGTTTTCATTGTTCAACTCTCACTTATGAGTGAGAACATGCAGTGTTTGGTTTTCTGTTCCTGTGTTAATTTGCTCAGGATGATGGTTTCCAGCTTCATCCATGTACCTGCAAAGGACATGAACTCATTCTTTTTTATGGCTGCATAGTATTCCGTGGTGTATATATGCTACATTTTCTTTATCCAGTCTATCATTGATGGGCATTTGGGTTGGTTCCAAGTCTTTGCTATTGTAAATAGTGCTGCAGTAAACATACATGTGCATGTATCTTTATAGTAGAATGATTTATAATCCTTTGGGTATATATATACCCAGTAATGGGATTGTTGGGTCAAATGGTATTTCTGGCTCTAGATCCTTGAGGAATCACCACACTGTCTTCCACAATGGTTGAACTAATTTACACTCCCACCAACAGTGTAAAAGTGTTCCTATTTCTCCACATTCTCGCCAGCATCTGTTGTTTCCTGACTTTTTAATGATCGCCATTCTAACTGGCATGAGATGGTATCTCGTTGTGGTTTTTATTTGCATTTCTCTAATGAACAGAGATGATGAGCTTTTTTCCATGTTTGTTGGCCACATAAATGTCTTCTTTTGAGAAGTGTCTCTTCATATCCTTTGCCCACCTTTTGATGGGATTTTTTTTTTCTTGTAAATTTGTTTAAGTTTCTTGTAGATTCTGGATATTAGACCTTTGTCAGATGGATAGATTGCAAAAATTTTCTCCCATTCTGTGGGTTGCCTGTTCACTCTGACGATAGTTTCTTTTGCTGAGCAGAAGCTCTTTAGTTTAATTAGATCCCATTTGTCAATTTTGGCTTTTGTTGCAATTGCTTTTGGTGTTTTAGTCATGAAGTCTTTGCCCATGCCTGTTCCTGAATGCTATTGCCTAGGTTTTCTTCTAGGGTTTTTATGGTTTTAGGTTTTATGTTTAAGTCTTTAATCCATCTTGAGTTAATTTTTGTATCAGGTGTAAGGAAGGGGCCTAGTTTCTGTTTTCTGCACATGGCTAGCCAGTTTTCCCAGCACTGTTTATTAAATGGGGAGTCCTTTCCCCATTGCTTGTTTTTGTTAGGTTTGTTGAAGATCAGATGGTTGTAGATGTGTGGTGGTATTTCTGAGGCCTCTGTTCTGTTCCATTGGTTTATATATCTCTTTTGGTACCGGTACTATGCCGTTTTGGTTATTGTAGCCTTGTAGTATAGTTTGAAGTCAGGTAGCATGATGCCTTCAGCCTTGTTCTTTTTGCTTAGGATTGTCTTGGCTATGTGGGCTGTTCTTTGGTTCCATATGAAATTTAAAGTAGTTTTTTTCTAGTTCTGTGAAGAAAGTCAATGGTAGGTTGGTGGGAATAGCATTGCGTCTATAAATTACTTTGGGCAGTATGGCCATTTTCACAATATTGATTCTTCCTATCCATGAGCATGGATTTTTTTTCCATTTGTTTGTGTCCTCTCTTATTTCCTTGAGCAGTGGTTTGTAGTTCTCCTTGAAGAGGTCCTTCATGTCCCTTGTAAGTTGTATTTCTAGGTATTTTATTTTCTTTGTAGCAATTGCGGATGGGAGTTCACTCATGACTTGGCTCTCTGCTTGTCTATTATTGGTATATAGGATTGCTTGTGATTTTTGCACATTGATTTTGTATCCTGAGACTTTGCCGAAGTTGCTTATCAGCTTAAGGAGTTTTTGGGCTGAAACAGTGGGGTTTTCTAAATGTACGATCATGTCATCTGCAAACAGAGACAATTTGACTTCCTCCCTTCCTATTTGAATACGCTTTATTTCTTTCTCTTGCCTGATTGCCCTGGCCAGAACTTCCAATACTGTGTTGAATAGGAGTGGTGAGAGAGGGCATCCTTGTCTTGTGCCGCTTTTCAAAGGCAGTGCTTCCAGCTTTTGCCCATTCAGTATGATATTGGCTATGGGTTTATCATAAATAGCTCTTATTATTTTGAGATATGTTCCATTAGTACCTAGTTTGTTGAGAGTTTTTAGCATGAAGGGGTGTTGAATTTTATTGAAGGCCTTTTCTGCATCTTTTGAGATGATCATGTGGTTTTTGTCACTGGTTCTGTTTATGTGATGGATTACATTTATTGATTTTCATATGTTGAACCAGCCTTACATCCCAGGGATGAAGCCGACTTGATCGTAGTAGATAAGCTTTTTGATGTGCTTCTGGATTCAGTTTGCCAGTATTTTGAGGATTTTCACATCGACGTTCATCAGGGATATTGGCCTGAAATTTTCTTTTTTTGTTGTGTCTCTGCCAGGTTTTGGAATCAGGATGATGCTGGCCTCATAAAATGAGTTAGGGAGGTAGGGAGGAGTCTGTCTTCTTCTATTGTTTGGAATAGTTTCAGAAGGAATGGTACCAGCTCCTCTTTGTACCTCTGGTAGAATTCGGCTGTGAATCCGTCTGGCCCTGAGCTTTTTTGGTTGGTAGGCTGTTAATTATTGCCTCAATTTCAGAACTTGTTATTGGTCTTTTCAGGGATTTGACTTCTTCCTGGTTTAGTCTTGGGAGGGTGTGTATGTCTGGGAATTTATCCATTTCTTCTAGATTTTCTAGTTTATTTGCATAGAGGTGTTTATAGTATTCTCTGATGGTAGCTTTTATTTCTGTGGGATCAGTGGTGATATCTCCTTTATCATTTTTTATTGTGTATATTTGATTCTTATCTTCTTTCTTCTTTATTATTCTGGTTAGTGGTCTATTTTGTTAATCTTTTAAAAAAAACAGCTCCTGGATTCATTGATTTTTTTCTAAGAGTTTTTCATGTCTCTATCTCCTTCAGTTCTGCTCTGATCTTAGTTATTTCTTATCTTCTGCTAGCTTTTGAATTTGTTTGCTCTTGCTTGTCTAGTTCTTTTAATTGCAATGTTAGGGTGTCAATTTTAGATCTTTCCCACTTTCTGATGTGGGCATTTAGTGCTATAAATTTCCCTGTTAACACCGTTTTAGCTGTGTCCCAGAGATTCTGGTATGTTGTCTCTTTGTTCTCATTGGTTTCAGAGAACTTCGTTATTTCTGCCTTAATTTCATTATTTACCCAGTAGTCATTCAGGAGCAAGTTGTTCAGTTTTCATGTAGTTGTGCGGTTTTGAGTGAGTTTCTTAATCCTGAGTTCTAATTTGATTGCCCTGTGGTCTGAGAGACTGTTTGTTATGATTTCCGTTCTTTTGCATTTGCTGAGGAGTGTTTTACTTCCAATTGTGTGGTCGATTTTAGAATAAGTGCTATGTGGTGCTGAGAAGAATGTATATTCTGTGGATTAGGTCAGCTTGGTCCAGAGCTGAGTTCAAGTCCTGAATATCCTTGTTAATTTTCTGTCTCGTTGATCTAATATTGACAGTGGGGTGTTAAAGTCTCCCACTATTATTGTTTGGGAGTCTTAAGTCTCTTTGTAGGTCTCTAAGAACTTGTTTTATGAATCTGGGTGCTCCTGTATTGGGTGCATATATATTTAGGATAGTTAGCTCTTCTAGTTTCATTGATCCCTTTACCATTATGTAATGCCCTTCTTTGTCTTTTTTGATCTTTGTTGGTTTAAAGTCTGTTTTATCAGAGATTAGAATTGCAACCCCTGCTTTTTTTTTTTTTTTTTGCTTTCCATTTGCTTGGTAAATATTCCTCTATCCCTTTATTTTGAGCTTATGTGTGTCTTTGCACATGAGATGGGTCTCCTGAATACAGCACACTGATGGATTTTGACTCTTTATGCAATTTGCCAGTCTGTGTGTGGTTTTTTTTTTTTTTTTTTAGACGGAGTCTTGCTCTGTTGCCCATGCTGGAGTCAGTGGCGCAATCTTGGCTCACTGCAACCTCTGCCTCCCAGGTTCAAGTGATTCTCCTGCCTCAGCCTCCCATGTAGCTGGGACTACAGGTGCACGCCACCATGCCCAGCTAATTTTTGTATTTTTAGTAGAGACCCCTGTCTTCACCATATTGGCCAGACTGGTCTCGAACTCCTGACCTCGTGATCCACCCACCTTGGCCTCCCAAAGCTCTGGGATTACAGGTGTGAGCCACCACTCCTGGCCCATCTGTGTCTTTTAATTGGGGCATTTAGCCCATTTATATTTAAGGTTAATATTGTTATGTGCGAATTTGATTCTGTCATCATGATGCTAGCTGGTTATTTTGCACATTAGTTGATGCAGTTTCTTCATAGTGTTGTTGGTCTTTATATTTTGGTATGTTTTTGCAGTGGCTGGTACCGGTTTTTCCTTTCCATATTTAGTGCCTCCTTCAGGAGCTCTTGTAAGGCAGGCCTGGTGGTGACAGAATCTCTTAGCATTTGCTTGTCTGTAAAGGATTTTATTTCACCTTCACTTATGAAGCTTAGTTTGGCTGGATATGAAATTCTGTGTTTAAAATTCTTTTCTTTAAGAATATTGAATATTGGCCTTCACTGTCTTCTGGCTTGTAGAGTTTCTGCAGAGAGATCTGCTGTTAGTCTGTGGGCTTCCCTTTGTAGATAACCTGACCTTTCTCTCTGGCTGCCCTTAACATTTTTTCCTTCGTTTCAACCTTGGAGAATCTGACGATTATGTGTCTTGGGGTTGCTCTTCTCAAGGAGTATCTTCGTGGTGTTCTCTATATTTCCTGAATTTGCATGTTGGCCTGTCTTGCTAGGTTGGGGAAGTTCTCCTGGATAATATCATGAAGTGTGTTTTCCAACTTGGTTCCATTCTCCTGTCACTTTCAGGGACACTCAGTCAATCGTAGGTTTGGTCTTTTCACAGAGTCCCATATTTCTTAGAGGCTTTGTTCGTTCCTTTTCATTCTTTTTTCTCTAATCTTGTCTTCACACCTTATTTCAGTAAGTTGATCTTCAATCTCAGATATTCTTTCTTCTGCTTGATTGATTTGGCTGTTGATACTTGTGTATGCTTCACGAAGTTCTCATCCTGTGTTTTTCAGCTCCATCAGGTCATTTGTGTTCTTCTCTAAACTGGTTATTCTAGTTAGCAGTTCCTGTAACCTTTTGTCAAGGTTCTTAGCTTTTTTGCATTGGGTTAGAACATACTCCTTTAGCTCAGAGGAATTTGTTATTATCCACCTTCTGAAGCCTATTTCTGCCAATTTGTCAAACTCATTCTCTGTCCAGTTTTGTGCCCTTGCTGGAGAGGAGTTGCGATCATTTGGAGGAGAAGAGGCATTCTGGTTTTTGGAATTTTCAGCATTTTTGTGCTGGTTTTTTCCTCATCTTCATGGATTTATTTACCTTTGATCTTTGAGGCTGATGACCTTTGTATAGGGTTTTTGTGTGGGGGTCCTTTTTTTTTGATGTTGATGTTGTTGCTTTCTGTTTGTTAGTTTTTCTTCTAACAGGCCCCTCTTCTGCAGGTCTGCTCCAATTGGCTGAGGTCCACTCCAGACCCTGTTTGCCTGGGTATCACCAGTGGAGGCTGCAGAACAGCAAAGATTGCCACCTCCTCCTTCCTCTGGAAGCTTCGTCCCAGAGGGGCACTGGGCTAATGCCAGCTGGAGCTCTTTTGTATGAGGTGTCTGTCAACCCCTGTTGGGAGATCTTTCCCACTCAGGAGGTGTGGGGGTCAGGGACCCACTTGAGGAGGCAGTCTGTCCCTTAGCAGAGCTCGAGCACTGTGCTGGGAGAATCCTCCTTGTCAGGATCTGTTGCTCTCTTCAAAGCTGGCAGGCAAGAATGTTTAAGTCTGCTGAAGCTGCGCCCACAGCCGTCCCTTCTCCCAGGTGCTCTGTCCCAGGGAGATGGGAGTTTTATCTATAAGCCCCTGACTGGGCTGCTGCCTTTCTTTCAGAGATGCCCTGCCCAGTGAGAAGGAATCTATAGAGGCAGTCTGGCCACAGCCACTTTGCCACGCTGTGTTGAGTTCCACCCAGTCCGAGCTTCCAGGCCTCTTTAGCACTGTTAGGGGAAAACCACCTACTCAAGCCTCAGTAATGGCAGGCGCCCTTCCCCCCACCAAGCTCGATTGTCCCTTGGCTCCCTGGCTTCAGCCTCCTTTCCAGGGGAGTGAACGGTTCTGTCTTGCTGGGGTTCCAGGTGCCACTGGGGTATGAAAACAAAAACAAAAACCAAACAAAAAAAAAACTCCTGCAGCTAGCTCAGTGTCTGCCCAAACAGCCTCCCAGTTTTGTGCTTGAAACCCAGGGCCCTGGTGGTGTAGGCACACGAGGGAATCTCCTGATCTGCAGATTGCAAGAACCTTGGGAAAAGCTTAGTATCTGGGCTGGATAACACAGTTCTTCACAGCTTCCTTGGCTGGGAAAGGGAGGCCCCCTGCTCCTTGCACTTCCCAGGTGAGGTGACGTCCCACCCTGCTTCTGCTCACCCTCTGTGGGCTGCACCCGCTGCCTAACTAGTCCCAATGAGATGAACAGGGTACCTCAGTTGGAAATGCAGAAATCACCCACCTTCTGCGTTGGTCTCACTGGGAGCTGCAGACCAGAGCTATTCCTATTCAGCTGTCTTGCCAGATCCCCCCATATCATTCATTCTATTTCATAGATGAGAAATTGAGGCTGAGAGAAGTTACTGAATCATCCAAGTTAACTTGGAAAATCCACAGTGTCATCTCCCTTGTTGTTATGCCTGGAACAGTGAGCACTCTGGATAAGTTTTTGAATGAATGAATAGCTGCATGAATGAAGTAGCAAAGCTGTGGTTTGAGTCAGGTGTGTCTGCTTCTAAACCTTATGCTTTTCCCTCTGTGCCACCCTCCTTACTCTATACATACAAGTGGTGCTGGCTTCTTAGAAGGAGAGACTGTCCTGGAACACGTCTCATGTGCATTTATAGGAAATGAACCTCTCTGTATGGTGGGGGCAACTTGGCTTGCACCTTGCATCCCACATGGTGACAGTAAGGTGACTAGGCTTAGTCCCATTCCTGCCTCGGCTGGGTAGGTGTGAAGTCCAGGCTGGCCTGGAGCTGAGTCCCTCTGGCCCTCCTGTCCTGTGCCTTCCGACTCCATGACCACTCCCTCTGCAGTCTCTCCTTCATTCTCCAGGGGCCACTTGAAATAGGTAGACATGTCCTAAACCTGCCCTGTGTGTAGGAGTTTGGGTGGGGTCCATGGCATCCCTAAGAAGACTGAGACTTTTGCAAGTGCCCTGTGCCTTTAAGGTACCACAGGCACAGATCAGTGAGTTGCTGGTGGCCTGGCTTCGGCAGCAAGTAGCTGTGTGCTCAATTTTCCCTTCTTCCCACCCCACATCCCCAGTATATCTCTTACCAGCAACTGGTGACCTCTAGAATCATAGACTTCAGTATAATTTTAAGATCAAAGTCAGACCAGATCACTAGGGATCATCCACACGGAATTCTATTTTCAAATGACTACTTCCTGTCTGTTTTTAATAGGCCAGGAGCAGGAGCTAATAGCTCTTCCCAAGTAGTTTATCCAGAATTTTGGGGTTTTAGTGGGTTAGGTGTTGATTTCCATTTCATTTTTTGTTAGTATTGCCGTGTATGTAGTTGAATAAATTAGGAAAAGCATCGATTGCCATGCTTCATTCACTTGGCTAAAAAAAATTTACAGTTTCCTGGTCCTTTATCTGTCTTCTGAACTGCTCTATGAACCCCTGGGGCTTTCTCTGAAAGGGTTTGTATTAGGCCCAAGCTAAAACTGGTTATTTTCTCTTTTTTTGACTCAAGAGACCCAGGTTAGCTAACAGCTTTCACCATACTTTGCACAGCTACCTGGGACAACTCCCCACTGGAAATGGTGTCTCAGATATGCTTGTTGACTATCTGGGATGTTGATGCCATGATTCTTCCCTGTGGTCGGCACCGTGTTATGAGGGTCCTGCCCTGATGTCTTGTCTGAAGTTCAGATTTACACCTCTCTCAAATGCACTTATCATGACCTCTAAGATGATGTGGCTCTACTATCACCAAGGATAACCCTGGATTTGGCTCATTCTACATTAGACGTTTTCTAAACGTGTGGGCTGTGCTTTGTCCCAGGAACTGGGCATGTGGGAGTCACCAAGACAGACAAGATTGCTGGTTTGGAGCTTATATCCCAGTGGGGTACAGCAGTAAAAGTCAGTAAATAAATGAGCAAGATGGAGGCAGGTGCCGTATAGAACCTAAAAGTGGGTGGTTTGTGTATTTAACCAGCACTCGTGTGGTGCCCTCTCTGTGTCTTGAAATAGTGAGTTGTCCCCCCCAGTCCTCCTATCATGCAGGCAGTCGCTGTGCACCCATGAGGGCTACTGAGAGCTGTGTGTGCATGGTCTCAGCCAATAAGAGCCAGGTCACAATCAAGGCTTGCTCTGGAGCTAGTGCTCTCTCTCACCTCAGAGAAGGGTCGAAGGTGAAGTTTGGTTATAAGTATCAGGATAGAAGGATGGAAGGAAGGGACTTCTTTTTTCAGTGGCTTATTTAATAGTGGCTTGCCTTATTTATTTATTAACACGGTATATCTATGTGACAATAGGCCTTTTGTGATGCTCGCTGACCTAATTTGTACTGGTGACCTGCCTTGGTGGCATGCTTCATCTCCTATGGGGTTGGAAAAACTTTTTTCTCCTTCAATAGTATTTTTTTTCCCCATGTCATTCTTACAACACTGCAGACCTCTTATTTTTTTTATTTTTTATTTTTTTTTGATTTGGAGTCTCGCTGTGTCACCCAGGCTAGAGTGCGGTGGCGCCATCTTGGCTCACTGCAACCTCCGACTTCCTAACTGCAGACCTCTTTTAAAAATTCTTGGCTTGGCATGGTGGCTCAAGCCTGTAATCCCAGCACTTTGGGAGGCTGAGGTGGGCAGATTGCTTGAGCCCAGGAATTTGAGACCAGCCTGGGCATCATGGTGAAAGCCCATCTCTACAAAACAGCACAAAAAAAATTTAGCTGGGGATGGTGGCACGCTGCTGTAGTCCTAGCTACTTGGGAGGCAGAGGTGGGAGGATTACCTGAGCCCAGGAGGTCAAGGCTTCTGCGAACTGTGATTGTGCCACTGCACTCCACCTTGGGCAACAGAGTAAGACCCTATCTCAAAAAATAAATAAAATAAAGTAAAAATAAAAATTCTTGGTCTCTTAATTGCTGAATGATTTTTTTTTTAGTCGTACCTCACTTAAAACTTTGGAAAAAGTTTATTTTGTATCTCTTGGATTTTGCTTGTCTAAGTGTTTTTCTTCAGAGCTGTACTTTCTTTCTGGCCTGGCCAGTTATTCCCTAAGTCTACCTGTCACGGTTGCCTGTCAGCAGTGTTTATTTTTGTTTTTTGTCTGTGGCACCTATGGGACATTGTCACGATGGTAACCCCGGCTGCAACAACTCAACTGATAAAATCAGAATCTGTTCTGGGTTGGTGATTCAGGGGCTTTGCTTAGGCAGCCCAGTGTTTGTGTTGGGGCTGTGGATAGAGCTTCACAGGAGAGCCAGATCCTCTACTCTCCAGCTGTAGCTTGATGCAGGCATTATCAGAGCTTTGCCTCTCCTGGAGTTTCTCATTGATCCCTTTTCTGTAGAATGGGTATGATGAGTTCACACTTGCTCTCTCAAGGGTAGTAGGAGACAAATAAGAGTGTATGCATAATGCTTTATGTTCTTTAGAAGAAAACTAGAAAGTGTTCCTATTTTACATCGTAACATTTAAAAAAAATCATCTTGCTAGTGAATCTGAAAGAAAACTTCTCAAAATGAAGCTTTTAATTTCATACATTAGTAAAATGTGGTTAGGTCTTTTCCATCACATGTTCTTTGCTCAATCTACTCTGCTCTGTTTAGGAAAAGCAGCTGACTCCCTCTCTCTCTCTCTTCAGTGTACCCACAGAATAGAGACAAGGAACTTTGAGTTAATGACAGATGTTTTTGTGATTGCTCATGTCAGACCTGGGTGATTATAAACCTGGCATTTCATTGAATCACAGAATTGGAATGCTTTTGAAAATTAAACTCCAGAGATTTTTAGTTTAACCTCTCATTTTGCAGATGAGAAAACTCTCATGGTGGGTTGATGGTAGATCATAGACCAGAACCAAGGTCCCGTCACCTCCACCCTGTTTTATGGCCTTATTGCAAATGAAGTCATGATTGGATGTTATTGAGTGACAAGTGAATCTGTTTCCCTTGAGTCTTCTTCCTCTCATAGATTGTGAGTGGTCCTGCAGGCTGGTGCAGTCACTGTTGTGACCTGCCATCTTTGTCCTCACCTTGGGTACCTTTTGGAACACCACCTTAGCCACTAGGTGTGTCATTTATGGCTCTAACTGATCCCCAGGCTTAGATTCGTAGTGAGGCCTTGCCTGTGAGCTTGATGTAAGTGCTGGAATTTGTGTTAAAAGCTCCATAACGTGTTCTTAGAAGTTGCTTAGGAAAAAATGCAGGAAAACGTTTTATTATAGGAAACTTCCATAACAGAAAAGACTAATAGACTGCATTATTTTTGTATTTACATAATTTTTGAGTGCATAACACATTTATATGTTCAAAAGCAAAAACTTGTATAACAACACAAAAATCCCTGTCCTGCCTCTGTGTCTTTTCTGTCTTGTCCTGACCCCTCCCCAGCCAGCCCTAACCTAAGTCATCACATAACTGGTTTTGGGGATATTTCAACAAATATTTTTATGCATGTATAATCAAGTATGAACATGTATTGCTGTGTCCCCACCTTTAGCACAGATGGTGCATTCCACTTTTTAAGATGATCTTACTGCCCCTGCCCAGTGTCATTTTGGCCGCACCAAAGTGACTCCCATCTCTTTTTACTTCCATGTCCCCAAGTGCCTGAGGGGTGCCCAGTAAATTCTAGGTAGACTTTGCTTTCCCTGGTCATCTGGCTCAAGTGCCCCAAACCCACCATCCCTCACACCTGGGACTCCTGTTCTTTGCTTTTGCCCCCTTCAAACTATAGGCTGATTATTAAACCACCCTCTTGTTAATGGACATTTAGGTTGTTTCCAATCTTTCCTGTTGTAAACAATAAAACAATGCCCTTTAATAAACTTCATTTTGCGTATATGCATTTTCATATAGAAAAAATTCCATGAAGTGTAGTTGCTATATTGAAAGGTATATGTATTTCTAATTTCTTTCTTTTTTCTTTTTTTTTTTTGAGACAGGGTTTTGTTCTGTTACCCATCATGGCCCGCTGCAGCCTTGTCCTCCCTAGGCTTAAGCAATCTTCCCATCTCAGTCTCCTGAGCAGCTGGGACTACAAGCGTGCACCACCATGCCCAGCTGATTTTTTGTATTTTGTAGAGATGGGGTTTTCCTTTGTTGCTCAAGAAGCTGGTCTTGTACTCCTGGGCACAAGCAGTCCATTTACCTTGGTCTCCCAAAGTGCTGGGATTACAGGCGTGAGCCACCACACCCGGCCTGTATTTCTAATTTCTGTAAGTGTTGCTAAACTATCTTCCATATGGGGTTATACTAACTTACATATCCATCAACAATGTACAAGAGCCCTTGGTTTTTCACAAATTTGCTGACAATAGTATGTTATCAAATTTTGGGGTTTCGTAAGTTGAATAGATGAAAAATAGTATCTATGTGTAGTATGAATTTGTATTTCTCTTAGAGTGAGGTGGAGCATCTTTCTACATGTGCCTATCCTTTGAACTAGTTATATCTTTTGCCCATTTTCTATTAGGTTGCTGTACTTTTTCTTACTGATTTCTAGGAGTTCTGTATATATTAGAGAGATCAGTCCTTTGTAGGTGATATGTATTGCAGATCTGTTTTCCCATTTTGTTATTAACCTTTTGAGTTGATTTATATTGATTCTCCCGTCTCAGCCTCCCAGGTAGCTGAGACCACAGGCACGAACTGCCATGCCCAATTAATTAAAAATTTTTTTTTTGTAGAAATGGAGTCTCCCTGTGTTGTTCAGGCTGGTCTTAAACTCCTAGGCTCAAGTAATCCCCCTGCCTCAGACTCCCAAAGTGCTGGAATTACAGGTATGAGCTGCCATGCCCAGCCTCACCTTACTAATTTTTATGTATTCAAGTTAATTGGTTCTTTGTTTTTTCATGGCTTCTGAAATTTGAATCAGGATTAGATAGGAGCAGATTGCGTTTGGTAGAGTTTCTTTGGTCAGTTATTTGAACTCTTGCTGCCTTATAATCCACTTTGATCTTTTTACCCCATTAGAATAGTTTTGTCTGAATTCTGCCAATGGTCAATGGTTTCTTTCTTTTTTTTTTTCTTTTTTTTTTTTTTTTGAGACGGCGTCTCGCTCTGTCGCCCAGGCTGGAGTGCAGTGGCGTGATCTCAGCTCACTGCAAGCTCCGCCCCCTGGGTTCACGCCATTCTCCTGCCTCAGCCTCCTGAGTAGCTGGGAATACAGGCGCCTGCCACTACGCCCAACTAATTTTTTGTATATTTAGTAGAGACGGGGCTTCACCGTGTTAGCCAGGATGGCCTCGATCTCCTGACCTCATGATCCACCTGCCTCGGCCTCCCAAAGTGCTGAGATTATAGGCGTGAGCCACTGCGCCCGGCCCTGCCAATGGTTTCTAATTTAATTGTTGCAGAAATGAAATGATTTGTTTTCTTCATAGAAGACTTCTAAGTGGCAATTTGGGCCCCATCTCATTTGTTCATAACCAACAGCCTAACATAGTATGAATTGTATCACTTACAGTTGATCTTCCCATTGTATTTGATTAGATACAGGCGTTCTAAAATGCAAATGTTTAAAAAATACAGATAGAACTTGAAATTGAACAAAATTAGATACAACTGAAGCTGAAAATGGACACTTGATTTTTAAAAATTGTAATAAAATGATCTAGATTGTATACACCATCTGTTACAAGTTGTATGTGAATAAGGATTTTGTGCCATGTTGGTTGTGAGTACTCTGGGTTTTAAACCAGTTTTTGCATCGAATATAACTTTAATTATGCTCAGTACACGTGGATGTGTTTTTTGGATATATCCACACACAGTGTACTTGCATGTGTATCTTCATCTTATTTATTGTTTGGTAAGGGACACATTGCTCAGCTTCCTGGATATCTTCCTAGTCTTAGAGGGGCCTCAGTGGTAGAGTTCTTATCAGAACCTAAGGGTGATGACCTCTGGCCTGTGACATGGCATCTGCCTGAACATGAGTGTGCCACAAGATTGTATCTAAGGTGGTCTCAATCTCTTTTCTTCCTTCAGACTGCCTTGCTTGTCCTTTGCTGGCATCTGAGGACTTGTCCTGTGGAATGAGGCTAGAAAGAGGCGTCTCTGTATTTCCCCACTGTGCATCTACTTGTACCTCCAATCTTTCCCTTTACCACCCATACATGGACATATGCTTCCAGTTCTCTGGACATATGTTTTCTGTCTTCACCACTAGGGTATATACCTATGGGTGGAATTGCTGGGTCATGTGGTACCTCTATAATTAACTTTTTGAGGAACTGTCAAACAGTTTTCCAAAGTGGTTGTACCATTTTATATTTTACAGATCCACCAGAAATGTATGAGGGTGCTTATTTCTCTGTATCCTCATCAACCCTTGTTATTGTCTGTTTTGGTTTTGTTTTTTAATTGTAGCTATCCTACTGGGTATGAAGTAGGATTTCATTGTTTTGATTTGCATTTCCCTCATGACTAATAACATTGAGCATCTTTTTATGTCCTTATTTTCCACTTGTGTATCTTCTTTGGCGAAATGCCTATTCAAGTCCATATGCATGTTTTAATTGGGTTGTTTGCCTTTTTATTGTGGAGTTGTAAGACTTCTTTACGTATTCTGGATACTACACCCTTGTCAGATACATTATTTGCAGATATTTTCTCCCATTTTATGGGTTGTCTTCACTTTCTTGATACTACTCTTTGAAGCATAAAAGTTTTAAATTTTGATGAAGTCAATATTTTTTTTTTTTGCTTTGGCTGCTTGTGGTGTTATATCTAAAACCCGTTGCCTAACCCAAGATCACAGATTTTAACTCTTGCATTTAGGTTTTTGATCCATTTTGAGTTTAAAAAATTTATTATATGCTATGAAATAGTTGTCCAACTTCATTTTGAATTATTAGACCAGTTTCATTCTTTTGCATGTGAATACTCAGTTCTCATGGTACAATTACTTGAAAATACTATTCTTTTCCCATTGAATTGTCTTGGTACTCTTGTCTAAAATCAATTGATCATAAATATATGAGTTTGTTACTAGACTTTATTTTGAGATAGAGTCTCGCTCTGTTGCCAGGCTGGAGTGCAGTGACGCGATCTTGGCTCACTGCAACTTCTGCCTCCTGGGTTCAAGCGATTTCCTGCCTCAGCCTCCCGAGTAGCTGGAACTACAGGCACGCACCACCATACCTAGCTAACTTGTGTATTTTTAGTAGAAATATGGTTACCCCCTGTTGGCCAGGATAATGTCGATCTCTTGACCTCATGATCTGCCTGCCTCGGCCTCCCAGAGTGCTGGGATTACAGGTGTGAGCCACCATGCCTGGCCTGTTACTAGACTTTTTTTTTTTTGAGACAGAGTCTTGCTCTGTCCCCCAGGCTGGAGTGCAGTGGCAGGATCTCCACTCACTGCAAGCTCCACCTCCTGGGTTCACACCATTCTCCTGCCTCAGCCTCCCAAGTAGCTGGGACTACAGGCACCCGCCACCACACCCGGATAATTTTTTTTGTATTTTTAGTAGAGACGGGGTTTCACCATGTTAGCCAGGATGGTCTTGATCTTCTGACCTCGTGATCCACCCACCTCGGCCTCCCAAAGTGCTGGGATTACAGGCGTGAGCCACTGTGCCTGGCTGTTTTTAGACTTTTAATTCTGTTCCATTGATCTGTATAGATGCCTGTCCTTATGCCAGTACCACACTGTTTTGATTACTGTAGCTTTATAGTAAGTTCTGAAGATTTTATTCCTTGTTTTTGTTCTGTTCCTTCATTATTGACTTGGCTTTTTTGACAGTTTGATTATGACATCTAGGTGAGGCTGGCTCCCTTTTAGTTTATTTTACTTGGAATTCATTGAGCTTCTTGGGTGTAATTTTTTTCATGTCAAATTTGGAAAGTTTTTAGCCATTATTCTTTCAAATATTCTTTCTTCTTTTCTCTTCTGTATGTTGGTATGCTTAATAGTGTCCCTCAGGTTCTGTGACTCTGTTTATTTTTCTTCACTGTTTTTTCCTCCTGTTTCGCAGTTTGGGTAATCTCAATTGACCTGTCTTCAAGTTTGCTTGTTCTTTCTTCTAAATGCTAAAAAGTGGTTTTGAGCCCCTTTCATGAACGCTTATCTTTTCCCCCTTTTACTTTTGAACTCCAGAATTTGTATTTGATTCTTAAAAAAATGGTAATAATAATTTCTATCTCGTTATCAGTATCAATAGTGATACTGATATTTATTGATATTCTCTACTTAAAAGACGTTATTCCCATACTTTCCTTTAGTAATTTTTGCATAGTTTTCTTAGCTCTTTGAGCATATTTAAAATAGGTGATTTAGAGACTGTTTTCTGCTAAGTTCTTCATATGTGGGCTTCCTCAGGGACAGATTTTATTGATTGCTTTCTTTTTCCTATGTATGGGCCATACTTTGTTGTTTCTTTGTCTAATTTTTTTTTTTTTGCTGTTATTGAGAAATGGATTTTTAAATAACACAATGGGGTGACTCAGGAAATCAGATGCTCCTTTCTTCCCATGGTTGCTATTGGTACGTGATATAGTTGTTCTTGTTTAATGACTTTTCTGAACTAATTCTGTAAAGTTTGTATTCTTTATTGTGTCTGACCAGTGAAATCTGTACTTGGTGAACTTAGTGGCCAAGTAATTATTAGATGGCGATTTCCTTAAACTCCTGGGATCAGTAAACACCTGTTTTTGTCGAGGGGCTTCATCTACCTGTTGGAGCATACCTTCATTGCTTGGCCTAACAGTTAAAAACTGCCTTAGCCTTTATTTCCTGCTGATGTTGAGTCAAAGTCAGCCAGAGGTGAGAGCTTAAGGCCTTCTTAGGTTTTTCCTGAGTGTGCAGTGAAGCTCTGTACATTCATGTGTCTTTCTAGATTCCTGGGAAAATGTCAAAGCTTTTCAAAGCCCCCACGGACATTTTATTTCCCACCTTTGCCTTTGGTTTGCCTCAGTTGTTATCTGCCACCTCAGGAGGCTGCAAAGTTAAAACACTTGCCGTATTTTCAACAGACACTCCTGGGTTGGGAGGAAGGCTTTTCTGAGTTTAGCCAGAAACAGTCAGTCAGTCTTGCAAATGAGGTCTTACAGGGAACCATCAGACAGGTCAAATGATGACAGTTCTTTGAGAATGAAGCTTTGAAAGAGCTCTAAGAGCACTGTTTTCTCCAGCGATGGCTGCTACGCTGTACCAGGAATGCGGCCTGCTGAGAGCCTGGAGAGTGGGGATGGGTCTAGGCCAAATTAAAATATCACAGAGCTCACTGTTCTTACTGAGATGTGGTTGTTTTCCTTGAATTAATGCTCCCTGGGTTCCTGCAAACCTTTGGTTAGTTTCCAAAATCCATAAGAAGTTGATACTGACAATTTTTGCCAACTTTTTGGTTGCTTTTATGGAGGAGAGCTTTTTGGAGGCCTGTAGTAACCACCATTTTCACTGACATCCTTTGGATCAGGAATCTCTTAAATCTTTTTTGTTTTCCTGAGGGTTCTTGCTGCCCTTCTTTTTTATCTTGTTATCAAAAATAGTATACTTCATCATAACCTCAGAATTACCCAGATTCATTAATACTGAGTATTGTCTAGAAATCTCTTTCTGCCTGAACTCCACTCTAGACTGGTTATTTCCTGTTCTGCTGTATAGCTACACTCCTGGTATTTTCTTCCTGCGTTTATAGATTAAATGCAGTTTTTGGACTTGAGTTGGATATTCCTCTTTTTCAGTTTTCATCCTCATTTTGTTTTTCTCAAAGTGATATATAATGTAGAATTGTTGTATATCTTAAAATGCATTTATTTTAACTTTTCACTTATTTCTCAGTTTGGGTGTATGTAGAATTCTAGCTTAAAAATAATTTTCCCTTGTTAGGATTGAAAGGGATATCTTCTTACACTCTGTGTAATTGATTCTGGAAGTCTATTCCATCTCTTTGTGAGTAAGCTTTTTCTCCTCCTTGGAACTTTCAGGACCTTTTTAAAAACACCCAGTGTCATAAAATTTCATGAGTCTTTCATTCATTCTGCTTAGCTCTTGGTGGGACTTTTCAATCTGGAGGCATATTTTCCTTTGGCTCTGGAAAATTATCTTATTACTGTCATAATTTCTGGAATGCCAAATTGATTGCCTGAATTGATCTGTGTTTCTACCTTGATTTCTTTGACTTTATCTTCCAGCCTCTTTATTGAAGTTTAATTTTAGCTACTGTATTTTAAATTCTTGTGTTCTTTCTTTTTGGCCTAATTGTTCTATTTTCATATTTTATTCTGGTTATATGGATATAGTGTCTTCTCAGATCTCTGTGAAGACATAAAATAGAAATATTTTTGGATATCTTTTTTCCAAATTAGCTCTGTATTTTTTTTTAACTTGTTTTCATCTGCCTGTTTTTTCTCACAAGATGCAGTCTTCAGTTCTCTAGTTTTTTTTTTTTTTTTTTTTGAGACAGAATTTCACTCCTGTTGCTCAGGCTCCTGTTGCAATGGTGCAGTCTCGGCTCACCGCAACCTCTGCCTCCCAGGTTCAAGCGATTCTCCTGCCTCAGCCTCCGGAGTAGCTGGGGTTACAGGCATACAACACCACGCCTGGCTAATTTTGTATTTTTGGTAGAGACGGGGTTTCTCCATGTTGGTCAGGCTGGTCTCGAACTGTCAACCTTAGGTGATCTGCCTGCCTCGGCCTCCTAAAGTGCTGAGATTACAGGTGTGAGCCACCATGCCCGGTCTTTTTTTTTTTTTTAATACAAAAATATTTTTCTCCCATTCTCTTGAGTGTGGGACCGTATTGATGGGTTTGTCTACTGTGTGTCTGAAACCTGCTCGTCCCACCACCACCGACAGCTGAGTGGATTGACCAGTCAGCTTTGCTTTATAGGACATAGGGTCTTGGCATCCTAATGCTTGAGTGAGTAGGACTTCACTTGACACACAGGCATCCACACTAGGTCCTCAGACTGCTGGTCAGTGTCTTTGGAGCAAGGTCCTCCATTCTTCTGTAGCAAACAGAGGGATTCCTGTCCCTTTCAGTGGGGCGTCCAGGGCCACAGCAGTTCCCACATGTGCCCCTGGCCTTGCTCCTGCTCTGCATACCTGCCGACTCCCAACTGGAGCCTATGTAGCTGTGGCTTCTGGATGTCTCCTACCCTATAGGATTTGTCTCCTGTGCCCCTCCTCCTTTTGTCTTCTGCAGATTTGTTGACATCTCATCTGTTCCTGGCCTCCCTCTTCCCCCATTTTCACTGTCTGGGGTTTTTCTCTTCATGCCTATTATGCCTGCAGTTCACAAGAGGTCAGAGAGATGGCTGTCTGTTCCCAGTGTGACATCTTCACCTGGGACCTCTGGAAGCATTTCTTGTCTGGTTTTCTCCCTTGATGATTTGGTTCATTCCCCTGGGTAGGCAGTGTGAGAAGCTTCCCCAAATTTGGAAATTATTATGTTATATAGAGCTGGGTGGGAGAATTATATTTGTTAAGTGAGCTTGTTCTTGTGAAGGCAGGCTGAGGAGCCTTGGGCCCTCTGTGTCGTGTTTCCATTGCACACAAGTTCATGGTTAGACATGATTTGGCCCAACATGTGTCTGGATCATTTCAGGAGTGAGTGGATCTGTTGTTCCATTTGCTCACGTTCCTCATGGTGTTAGAAGGTAGGGAGTGAAGCTCAGTTGCCTATTGTTCAATAGGACTAGCCAAGTAAATACCCTTTTCCGTGGTAAATTCCCCTATGAAAGGTCATGCAAGTGGAACTGCGATCTCATGAGAGGATGCTTCCTTGGAGTCTGCATGTGAACCTGGCAGAGCCGCCTGTGGTTAGCAGAATATCTTCGCTGTGTCCCCCAGTGGGCAGCCTTCTGCCACCTTCTCCCCTCACTGCATGGCTCAGGAACTATCTTTCATTTAGTAACTATCTGATGGGCTGGATGTGGTGGCTCACATGTGTCATCCCAGCACTTTGGGAGGCTGAGGCAGTAGGATCACTTGGGGCCAAGAGTTCGAGACCAGCCTGGGCAACAGCAAGACCCCTGTCTCTACAAAAAATAAAAATAAAATTAGCCAGGCATGGTGGCACGTACCTGTAGTCCCAGTTACTCGGGAGGCTGAGGTGGAGGGATTGCTTCAGCCCAGGAGTTTGATGCAGCAGTGAGCTGGGATCACGCCACTGCACTCCAGCCTGGGCAATGCAGTGAGGCCGTGTCTCTTAAAGAAAAAGAAGAAAAACTGACAGCGGTGACTCCTGCACATCATTTCTCCCATTTCCATTTTTTATTTACGAATATTTAAACTACAGTTAGGTTATGGTATTGTATTTCATTGGAAATACTAAACTCCAGTTTGGAAAATCTATCAGTTTGGGTTGTCTTTTTTTCCAATCATTTTATAAGCGTTTAATGAGCCATCTACCAAATGACATGGAGAGTAGCTTCCAAATTATTTTTATTCCACATACCTATTAGAAAAAAGTTTTAAGTACTTGATCCCAGTGTCTTCTTAATGCATACATTATACAGATACAAAATGTAAATGGAAGTTCTGTTTTATTTCCTCTTCTAATTACTGACCTGTGAACCTCCTGGGGTATGCATACCCTGCTTTGGAGACTGCTGGCTGGAATACATGATATGAAGTAAAAGGAACCCTACTCCCACAGCTGCCAGTCCAGTTCTGGAGACGGACAAGTGGTGGGGCAGGGATAGGTGTTCCTAGGGCGGTGGGGAAGGCCATGGGGCCAGTCTCTGCCTAGGACAGGCTCAGAGGGAGGAGGGTGAGCTGAGGCTTTTAGAGGCTTGGTTTTGTAAAGAACCAAGACAAAATGCAAAACCATGTGCGAGTGTTGGTGGTATATTGGTGAGCATAGCTGCCTTCCAAAACCAAAGGAGTTGGTCTCATACTCTTGGATGAAGACCAGGCTATAGTCAACCAGGCAGTGCAGTGGCTCATGGAAGGAAGAGGTGGTGCTTGTCTCTTGTACAGCAGTCCTGGGGTGAGCAATTCAGGGTGTGCAGCCCCCTCAGCTTTCTTGGTTGCTGTGGTCCAGGGCTGGGCTCCTGCGTCTCCCAGGTAGCCACAAGGGGAGGCAAGGAAGAAATACCACTTGTCTCCTCTGCTCACTTTTTGCTGTGACAATTGGTCTCCGTTAACTGGAGAAGGGAGAAGAAGATTGGGTCACAGCAGCTTCCACCACAGCATTTTACGTTACCAGTTATGCTGAGAAAGATTTTCTGGTGGATTTACTAAATGAGCTGACATCTTCAGGTTGCTCTAGGTATAAATTAGGCTGGTATGGTTTTCTTCACTGAGATGCCTGGTGAGCCTGATGACAGCGCTGTAGTGTGCAGTCAGGTACCTTGGAAACCATCACCACTCCCACCGTACAGCACACCAGTGGTCACCCTGATAGGAGAGATGATTTTCTTCTGCTGTGTCCCCAGGTCTCAGTGGCCCTTAGCAGCAGCTCCATTCGTGTGGCCATGCTGGAGGAAAATGGGGAGCGCGTCCTCATGGAAGGGAAGCTCACCCACAAGATCAACACTGAGAGTTCTCTCTGGAGTCTCGAGCCCGGGAAGTGCGTTTTGGTAAGTTTGGGCACCTGTGTGTAGGGCTCCCAGGTGGACTTCAAACCTGCAGTGATGCCCCTTTTGACCAACAAGCCTATTTACACTTAAGCAGTGAGGTTGTTAATTTCAGCTGCTGGGGCAGATGGGTTTTCCTGAGCATTTTCCATACTGCTCAGAGATCGTCTCTGTGGGCACTTGAGCTTTGGCCCTTTGAGGTCTTGGTCATTCCCAAGAGCTCCACTGTTCTTACATCTAAGGCAAAAACAAGTAAATTGAAAATGAAAAGCTAGGTTGAATTTTTACAGATGCTACTCTGGAGGGTACAGAGTTAATAAATTCAGAGAATCAGGCTCATTGACCAACTGGCTGTCCTTAGCCAGCTGCTGGTTAGGCATAGCTAAGAGTTCAGGACAGTGAGATTAAGGTGTGACTCCAAATGAACAGCTCACATGTTACCAGTTAGCAGACTCGCTCACAAATTGGGCTGCACGCCTGGGCCAGATCTGTTGGTGGCTCAGCTCCTTCTCCCCTGTGAAAGCTTTGAACCTTGTCAGTGGTGGCTCTGTGCTGGTGCCCAAGTGGAGGTCACCTACAGATAAATTGAGGCACAACATGTTCTGAACTAACTTGTTTCCTTTTTTTCTCCTACTGGGGTGTTTACAGGGCATGGTAAAAGGAATAAAGGTGAAAAGAAAAATATAATGTCTGGACAAAAGTCTTTAGAATTTTATACAGATATATTCTTCATATGTGCAAAGTATGCAATAAAGGTATCTGTTTTGGTTTCTATAAGACATGCTTGGCAGGCTTCTGCCTGGGCTTCCCTGGCCAGTGCTGACTGGCAGGGACAAACTATCTCTCAGGCTCACAGTGACTCTGTCCTGGCTGTCCTCATGCTCGGAGGGACATGCAGGCCAGGTACCGAAAGGAGTGTATTCTGTCAGTGCTGCAGAAACCTGGACCAACCTTGACTCTGGTCTTGATATCAAACCTGGACAATGGAGCTCACTCTGGCTACACAGAGGTGGGGCCAACCTGGGCACAGACAACATGCTCCTTGGTGCTGCCGTGGCCTCAACTGCTCACTCTCCTAGTGAGTGTTTCATCCTAAGCAGGGCCTCCTATTTAGGCCCTACGTGAGGCCCTATGTGTGATGTGTAGAGTTTCCAGCAATGGGGCTTGGACTGGCCCATCCCAGTTCTGACTCTCCTGGCCACCCAGGGCCTACCTCTGCTGATGGCCAGTGGTAGATGGCAGTGGTTCTTTTTCTAAATCTCACCCTGTGTGCTCCCCTGCCCATGGCATTCAGCAGCCAAAGACCAGAGAAGTGCTCTTCTCCTGCCTGCAAATACTGTGAAGATCACCCCATCACCCAGCAGTTCAGTTCCTCATCCTTTGACCCCAGACATATAAAGCCTGTGCATTATGACACAGCCTGGAGCCTTTTCCCAAGCTATAGGCTCCTGTGACTACTACCAGTTCCTTTCCTTTATGTCATACTTGACTTTGCAGATGCCATTACGGCCTCTCCCTCACTTGAGCTTCACGTGGTTGTGGAGGTATGAGAGCATGAGTGATGCACTAGTAGTACTGGGGCCGGCTAGCTTGCCCTCTGAAGGTGCAGCCCTGGCCGCCTGTATTACACTAGTGAGCCCGTGATCCTGGGGTTGCCATCTCCATGGACTGAGAGGTCGTGATAGCCCTGCCTTAAAACACTGGCCTTGACTCTCCTGCCTTCCGTTGGGTGAACTCAGTGCAGATCATGGAGCAGGTCACGATGCTCTCAAGTTGGTTCCCTCTGAGCGAGGAGCTCTTGGTGAGCAACCCCGTGTGTGGTCCGGTTGCACTTTTTAGATACTTCATGCAGAAGCCCAAAGCCTTAGTCACTGGTCTCTGAGCCCATAGCCACCGTATTTGGAATCTTTTGGGATTACAATCAGGGTACCAATGATTCCTTTTACTTTACACTATTTGCATAAATATGTGATTATTAATACATAGCTCAACTCTTAAGGGTTTTGTTGACGGAAGTAACTCTAACTTCTTCGTGGATATTTCAAAGCCATGTTTCTTTTTTGTGTGCGTTTTGTACACTTGTATGTATAATACAAGTGGAATAGGGATGTGACTAGTGGCCAAAACATTAACTTCTTTTAATAATGGCCGCCATTCAATGAACACAGTCTTTGGGCCAGGCTCTTTGTGAGGTGCCTTACAATCTGTTTAATTCTCTGCAAACTTATTTTACGTATTGGGACATTGAGGCTATGAGAAGGTAAGTAGCTTGCGAAGCGGGTAGAGCTAGACCTCAAACCCATGCCTGCCTTGTCCCAGAAGGCTTTTTCCAGTGCTGTGAGAAACGGGAGTCTCTGGAGAAGGCTCAGACCTGTCGGGGCTGGGAAGCATTGCTCCGTTTCAGCTGAAAGGCTCTGTGGAGCAGAACATGAGGGAGGAGTGTGGGTCCCCATTGTGGGTTTCAGAGTCTTCCCTGTGTTAGGTAAATGTGTGAGATGCAGCCACCAGGCAGGAGGTTGGGGGAGCTGTGCCTTAAGAGGATAGCTGGATGTTTAACTTTCATGCCAGGGCCCCCGGGGCCATAGCACAATCCCGGCAGGCCTGTCTCCACCTGTGTGTTCTGCTTGAGTCCAGGCTTCATTTGTGCCCTGGCTGCCTTTAGTTTTTTTAGTTAGCTTTCATGAAACACCTGCTACTCAAAGAGCTTGTAGAAATTCAGCAGAACCATTGCAGACTGAGGGGCACCTGTCACTGCCCGTGAACACGGCTCCTAAATATTCTCTGCTAAAAATTCCTCTACAATTGAAACACTGCATGAGTTCTTTCCCATGGTTCCTTAAAGTGCCTTTATTATCAATAGATGGCATTGCGTTCCTAATGCACCTTCACCTGTGAGAAATCAAGTACCTGAATAAAGAGGAGTTATGGAGAGCATTTAAACTCTTCCCATAGTGCTCCCGTGCAGGGCTCTGCCTGCCTCCACCTCTTTCTGGACCACGTAGCCTCTACTGCAGTAAACACAGAGTATATCACAGAAACTTTGCTGTTTACAGGAGCTAAGGCGTTTGTTGTCTTCTTGATATAATTATTTATTTATGTGTGACCTTTTAAGCCCACATTGTTTCCTCTGATTACATATCTGAGATAATATTGTGAATTAATGAGCCGATTGCTTTGATTCACGAAGATCCTGTTTGCCTCCCGCTTGCTGCATCACGTCTGCTGTGTGGAGCTTGGCACACTGCTTTGAGCGTGTGGATGCAGAGAGGGACTGCAGGTGAATCAGAGGGGCTGGCTTTGGGTTGCAGCTCCCTGTCAAGCAGCTGCCAGGTTTTGGGTCATCTCTTTAGCCTTGCTGTACTTCCATTTCTCACCGTTCAAACAAGGTTGAGCACTGTAGTCTTGTTGATCTCCAATGTTTGTTGGTTTCTTATCATTAAGTACCCAACCCTGTGCAGGCACTGGGAATGGCTAAAGAAAGTGAGTTGAGGGCTTTGCTCTAAAGGGTTGGAGATATCCTGTGAATGTGGCCTTATTTGGGAAAAGGGTCTTTGTAGATATGATTAAGTTAAGGATCTCTCAAGATGGAATCACCCTGGATTATCCAGTGACACCTGTCTTTATAAGAAACAGGAGAAGACAGAGATAGACACAGAGAAGGCCATGAGAAGATAGGGCAGAGATGAATGATATAACCACCAAGCCCAGGAACACCTGGAGCCACCAGAAGCTGGAAATGGCAGGAAGGATCCTCCCCTAGAGTCTCTGCAGGAGCATGGCCCTACTGACACCTTGATTTCAGAGTTCTGGCCCATGGGGCTGGGAGATAATAAATTTGTATTGCCTTGTATCGCCTGGTCTGTTGTTCCCTGTTAGGGCAGCCCCAGACACCAGTGCAGGTCTCCCATCACAGCACTGCTGTGAGGCTGCATGAGATGAGAAGGATGCAAAGGGATGGCGTCCAGAGCTGCGCTGCTGCCACCACCCTCAGCTCCTTGGTTAGATATTCTGACCTTCTGACCTCCTGGCAGCCCAGTGCAGACATGGCCTTCGCTTCCCAGCTGCCTTCCACATAACCTGCTCCTCCCTGTGCCGTGGATCCCACATCAGCCAGCCAGGGCAGGCAGGGGTGGCTGCTAAAACCGTATGACAGTTCTTGCCTCCCTCCCTCCCTCCCACACTTCAGAATGTTAAATGAGACTTCTTGACTCAGGCAAGCTCCTTTCTTGGTTACGAAGATGTAAAATCAGCCGTGGCAACGGCACCAGCTCTTTTTTCCGATAGCTCGTTCAGTCCCCAAAGCTAGGCAGTTGGCATGCGCACCATCCTCCTTTCTTCCTGCAGTCGGGGGAGCTGACAGGCTGTCCTCCATGCTGCCGTGGGTGGCTGCTCTGCTGCGGGGGCTCTTGGACATGGCTATGCTTGAGATGGTCGTTGTAGCTGTATGTGAGGTGAATGCCGTTCCATATACACTTCTTCATGTATTGACGTGGTGCGCACACAAGTCATTTAAAATCAGTGAAATTGCTCTGGAGTATTCTTTGAGGAGTTAGACCTTGAAGCTCAGGCTTTAAAACTCATCGTAATATATTTGTTTATGATTTTTGAACCCTGTGAGTGTTTTTGTGCAAGCTGTATCCACCTCCTCCCCTCAATTTAGATTATTTCTCAAGAGTGGAATTCTAGTGTAACTGCAGCCTCTGAGCTGTTGCTGTGGTTCTCCCTGGTGGATGAGTTGTTTCTGGAGTGTCGCCGATGACATTAGCCCTATATCCCCACATCCCCACCAACAGTGGGCTTTTCATCTTCACTTATCTTTGCTAATTTACCCAGATACTTCCAGTGTCACTTCTTAGAACAATTGTGAGGATAAAATGAAGATGGGTGGTTTATTGTCTACTTGTCCTCATTGGCGAGCCACTTTCCTGAGTCCCCACAACTTTCCTGGCTCATTGAGGCCATCCCATGGATTACTTAACATACTTCTTCATAAACTCAGAGTGGGAACTACAGATTAAATTACCTTAGCATTTTGGCAAGAGCCCAGAGCCTGGAAATTAGTATGTGAATGTAATGTGAGCCCTTAAGCCTTCAGTGCAAGTGATGTCTCTAGGGAGAGCCCTCAGCGTTTTTCAGGGGAAATCAGAATCCTTCATCAGTTCCAGTAGGGAAGAGCTGAAGCTTACAGATTTAACAGAAGGCGGTAGCCCAAGGAAACCTGTTCCAGTGTGAGTGGAAGGAATGTGCTGAGCAGAGCCGGCTAATGGTGCCTCTTGGTGGCACCATGGACAGGGTGCTGGGCACCCTCGTTTCATGGGGTTGGAGGAGAGGAAAGGAACGCAGCTCGGCATTGCTTTGTCGGCCCCATCCCTGGAATACATGGGCCTTCCAGCCACACTCAGACCACAGCTGGGTCCTATCTGGCCTATACAGTGTCTTAATTTTGTTTCTAATTTTCAAGCTTAAAAAAATATTTGACAGCATTGAAAATCAGGAGATTGCTCATAACAGTGCTGACTTGTGGTGTGTCCTGAGAAGCCAGATCTGCTCCATTGTGGCCCACATTCCCCCAGCAGCAGGTGCTGAGCAGGTGCCCTGGACCTCTGCCACGCTGTCGTCTCACCCCGTTATCTGCCCTCGCTCTGAGGTGCCTTCCCGGAAGGAACGTCCCACAACATTCCCATAAGTCTCATTGGCCCAGTCTCGATCACGCGGGCAGCTGTGAGGAGTAAAGTCGTCCTCGCTGGGCACATTGCTTCCCTGAATAGAAATGAGGTTCCGTTACTAAGGAAGGAAAGGGATATAAATGCTGGTGAGTCATCAGCGCAGATTGGGGGATGCTGAGGTAAGTTTATTCATGTTGAGGTGGAAGTTTCTGTGAGGACATTTTGGGAACACTGTTCAGCCTGCAGTCTGGGGTCCCTCAGAAATGGACTGATTAGAGGTCTGGGACTGGGTAGATAAAAGAGGAACCTGGAGCATTTTGTTATGCTGGAAAATGAGAACGTGCCAGGGAAATGATTGAGCACCATCAAAGTCAAGCAACCTCCACCAACCTTGTCTGGGATTGTTTCACACCAACATAATTAAGCATGGTAATGAGTTATAAGCCATTGAGAGACCAGAGAGGCCAGGAATCCAGGGGTCAGTACTGACAGCAATAGATAGATAATTTCATTGCAGAAGAGAAGGTGCTTGCTTCAATAAGATGCATAAGCCATCAGTCAGTGTGGAGGGACTAGGGCAAGAAAGTCAGCATTTCCCAGCCTTCGTGGGACAGATGGGACCGGCAGATGCTATGCGGGGCAGGGTGGAGCAGGGATGCAGGGGTTCTGGAGAGGAGAGTTTGCAAGTCAATAACTACAGTGGAGAAGTCAGACCTCCCTTTGGCCAGGTAACCTGAGTGAACACCCCACCCACTGAGGGCTGTGGATGTTGTGTGCCTGCAGGTGGAACACATGTGTGTCCAGCTGGGTGTGCACACATGAGTTAATCAGGAGATGTCAGGGGAGGAAAAAGGCTGTGGAAATGTCCTAGATTAAAGAGGACAGGACCCCCAAGATGCAGGAAGGACTCTGGACTGGACCCTGTTCCGTAAATCATCATAAGTTATTTCCTTGTCCTTAGGAAATAACTCAGGACAAAGGGCCAAGATGAATGCAACCTATTCTTAAATGATTCAGAGAAAATACTATGTTATTATATATTATACATACAGCATACATATAGAGTGAGAGAGCTGTGTACAGACACACAGCTGCTAAACACTTGTATGGGTGTCTTTGTACTTATTCTAGTAACTTTAAGCTTAAAATTCTTTACAAATAAAATGTTAAAAAAAATGAGAAGGCTAATAAGCACATGAGAAGCTTAACGTCATGATTCATTAGGGGAATGCAAGGCAAAACCATGATGAGATGCCCCTAGACACCTCTTAGAAGAGCTGCTAAGAAGGCAGACAGCACCAAGCGCTAAATGAGATGGGGCACCTGGTGCTCTTCTGTGCTACTGGTAGGGGTGCAGCAGAGTGGTCAGTCTGGACAGTAGCTGACATCACGTGACCCAACACACGCATTCCTGGCTACTTACCAAGGAGAATAGAAAGCAGGCAGATCTCTACAGCAGCTCTCTACCTGATTGCAAAACAATGGAAATGCCCACATGTCCACAAACAAGTGTGTGGTCTGCCTGTGCCATGAAGCACAGTGTGGCTGAGCGTCAAGAGTCCCCACACTCAAAGGAGGCAGCAGATACAGGGCTGCACACTGTGTGATTCCACACATGTGACATTCTGGACACGGACATGCTGGATGGCAAAACGAGCATCGGGCTGAGAGGACTGCTGAGAAGGGGAACGGGGCTGCTGGGATGTGGGTTGATTGTAGCAGTAGCTCATGGAGATGTGACCTCAAAAGAGTGATTTTTACTATGTGCATACTATACCTCCACAAACTTGACTTTAAAAAAATAAAATATTCACAGAAAAAAACAAAAACAAATGTAAAACCATCAGACTACTTTATCAGAGGTGTTATTTTTAGATAGAGGTCTTTGAACTCCATCCTAGGAACATTGTACCCATGTCCTCCCAGAACTGCATCTTGCACTGGGTGTCGGAAGACAGCCCTGCAAGACCTGTATGCTCTGTACCATTCAGTGGTTTTTAAGGTTAACTACCAGAAGTCATATCTGAGGCCTCCCAGAAGCATTACTCTAAGGAAAGTAGTTAAATGTGGACAGTGACAGCAGAAACATTTACACATTAAACCAGTTTATAGAACATGAGAATGTTCAGAGCATAAAGAAGCTTGTCAGCTCAATGACTTACGAGGCGTGGGCCATTAAAAAAAAAGGTCTGGAGTTTGGGAAGGAGAAAGGAATGGGGATCTGCAGCTCAGAGTGAGAGATGGAATTCTGTAAAGGAACAGTGTGGAGAGGGACTCCAGGCAAGTCAATAACGATGTTAGAATGCCCTTGTTTAGAATAATTATCATGCTAATAATATTGTTCATATTGTTTTTACTAATATGCTCATCCTTAAAAATAGAAGATATTCTAAGGGTACTAAATAAATAAATAATTAAAATTTTGCAACTGAGACCTTCCTCTTCCAGAGCCTTTACAAGAACCTTTATAGACAACACCTCAGGTCCTGTTTGCTGCCCCAGCATGGAGGGCAGCCCACTTGGTTACAGTGATGACAGATGGAAACTTGACTGGAGCAGGTCTGGAAGGCAGAGGAGGCAGGCCTGTGTGTATATGGTCAGGACAAAGGACCAGTGGTGCTAGCCACACCTGTGGGATGGCTGTAATTAAACACACACACACACACACACACACACACACACACACACAACAGAAGATAACAAGTGTTGGTGAGGGTATGGAGAAACTGGAGCCATTGTATGCCGCTGGTGGGAAGGTAAAGTGGTGCAGCTGCTTTCGAAAATAGTATGGTAGTTCCTCAAAAAGTTAACTGTAGAATTACCATATGACCCAGCACTTCTGGGTAAATATACAGAAGAATTGAAAACAGGGACTCAAACAGATGTATGTACATCAATGTTCATAGCAGCATTATTCACAACAGCCAAAAAGTGGGGGCACCTGAAATGTCCATCAGTTGATGAAACAAAATGTGGTTTATCCATACAGTGGAATATTATTCAACCTTAAAAAGGAATGGAGTTCTGATTCATGCTACAACATAGATGAACATTGAGGAGGACATTATGCCAAGTGAAATAAGCCAGACAAAAACAAACAGATAACTGTATTATTCCATTTGTGTGAAATGTCCAGAACCGGCAAATCTGTAGAGGCAGAATCATTAGTAGTTGCCAGTGGCTTGGTGGGGTTGAGGGAACAATTTAGAGGAAGGGTTAGAGCAAATGGGGAGTGACTGATAATTGGCACAGGGCTTCTTTGTGAGGTAATGAAAGTGTTTTGAAACTAGATAAAGGTGATGGTTGTGCACCATTGTGGATATACTACATGCCATTGGTTCACTTTTGAATGGTAAGTTTTGTGTTAAGTGGATTTTGCCTCCATTAGAAATTGTTCAATATAAAGTCGGCTCACATCTCCTCATAAAATACCACACTGATGCACATGCGTGACGTCTGTGAGTGAGGATGGCCCCCTTGGAGAGCTGCACTGCCCAGCACAGTAGCTGCTAGCCACATGTGGCAGCTGAGTAAACACTTGACAGGTGGCTCACGTGACTGGAGAACTGAATTATTTTATTTTAATTAACTTAAATTTAAAACCTACTTGATTTAGTTACTGGAAAACCTTGAATATTTTTGAAACAACTTGGGCATGTGAATATACCCTTTCAATTGTAAATATTATGAAATCTGAACACAGATGAAGTATTTCTGATGAAAAAGTGCAGTGCTCATCTTAATTTTTGTTGGGTTCAAGTGTACTTCTGTGTCCAAAGTACACTTGTGGACACAGAAGATTTGGGGATGTTCCCCTCCTTCCTGTTGGGCAGGTGGCTCATTGTCTTCAGGTCCATCTCCCACTGTGCCCAGGAGCCCTCCACTCTGGGTGTGTGTTTGGACCTGGCCAGTGAAACCCTGTGTTGGGGTCTGTGGAGTGCCAAAAGGCCTGAGAGCACCAGCACCGTCCCCTGGATGGTATGTAGGCCGACCCCCTGCCCACATGGTGCTGATGGTGGGCTGTCAGCCCCAGTGTAGCTCTGCTTTGCCTCTTCATGCTGGGCAATCTGGAAAAGGCCCTTACTTCCAAGGGTTTGTCCTCATTTTTAAATACAAAAAATGGTATGTATGGTAAATGGTAATGGTATGTGTTTTACAGGACTTGTGAACGCTAATAAAATAAGTTACATGGATCACAGTAATAACTACTGGTGAAGATAAAAAATTCGTAAAGGATCTCTTCTTTCCAGAGATTTACAGTTCTGTGAGTTCCTCTGAAGTCTTCCCTGGAATAGAGAAAACAATGCATTTCCCTCTTGGAAGGTTTTCATTGCATCAGCTTGGTAAAGACGAGGTAGAGTTTGTAGTGTTGGGGTCTCTGAGGGTGAGTCAGGTCCCCGTCACACAAACTGTAAAGTCAACGACAAACCAGCTTAGCAGAGTATCTGGAAATGGAAGATTCATCCCAAATTTAAATTGCACACTGGCAGAGCAGCGTCATTTACTGGGTAGAGCTGGCGTGTAGGGGAGCCACCCACTCCCCCTGTTCACCACTCCCCCTATCTGCATTCGGAATGTCAGACAAGATTTCTGGGATGCTGGCTTCAGATCATGATTGCAGGTTTTTGTCTTGCTCTTCCCAGTTCTGGAAAATCTCCACTGTGTGCTCTCCCGCACCACATCGGTGCCCACCCTCTTCATTAGTAGAACACATTCTCGGACTTGATCCCTGGGCTCTGCAGAGTCTGGTGCTGAGTACCTTCTTTGGTGTGGGTAGGTTTTGGCAGCAGGAGCTTGGAGGTGGGAAGGTGGAAGGTGCAGTGTTAGGACACTGCTCTCTCAAGCCCGTGTATACTGGTGAGTCTCCAGTGCTCCCTCTTGGGGGGACGTGGTGTCCTGTGGACTCACTGTGACCTCTTGAGTGTCACAGTTACCCTGAGTGTGGCTTGGTAGGTTTTGCCCACCTGGTCAGTAAGTGTCCTGGTGGCTGCCACCTCCATGGATGAGAGCTGCTCTCACTTGCGGGCCCTTTGCTACCTTTTCTCCCTTTCTGTGAGCACCTAGTGGTTTAATCCCATCAGAGAGTCCCATCACACTTGGGCATGTGAATGTACCTCTTTCAATTGTAAATATTATGAAATCTAAACACAGATCAAGTATTTCTGTTGAAAAAGTGCAGTGCTCATCTAGGGCAAAGTAGACAAACCCACTCTGTTGCTTCTTGGCCACTCTGGTAAGAATTTTGAGCCCAGCCACTGACCACAGCAGATGCAGCCAGTTTTCTTGTTTTCTGTGTCTGTATGACCACTGATAACAGGGCATGGTGTGGCCAGGGCCCTCCTCTGTGTCCCTGGGACAGGCCAAGCAGCCAGGGTCACCTAGGTACATACAGCACCCCTCACGTTTGCTCTCATACTGCAGTTCCAGTTGTCTTTTAAGTTTTTATGGTAATGACATGAGTCTCACAGACCCCAACACTGAGGGCTGGATCTTAAATGCTGGGTGCTGCTTCCTTTGACCAAGGGATGTCTGTGCCATCCCCACAGAGGTGCCCAAGGAGGCCTCTTTTGGGGTTGTTTCTTGATGGTCGTTTCTCCTTCCCAAGCCATCAGAGAACTTTAGGGAATGGGGCTGGAGGACCCCCTCATGCAGCAAGCTTGGCCCCAGTGAGGAAGAAGTGGGGACAGGGCATGGTGCCCTGTCATGGGGTGAGGACTCCCCAGGAGATTCTGTCATGCATTAGGCTGAGCCCTAAGTCTCATAGGTCCCAGCTTACCCCTAAGATAGCAGAATGTTGGATGTTGCTCTTGGAAGCAAGAGAGATCACTGGAGAGGTAGTTGGTTGATAAGAGCTAAGCAGAGCCTTCCATGGCAAGCATGGGGGCAGGCTGGGTTGGCCCAGGACAGGTCCTGGTGTGGGGGGGTGTCATGGGTCTTGGAAAATAGCCTTTCTTCATGAGAGTGGGCAAGGTGTGCACATGGAACAGGCACTGTCCTGAGTATCCAGGACCTGCTGAAGAAGGATAAAGGCATCTTCCAGAATGTCAGTCCCCTCAGGTATGTGCCTCCTAGCTCTTCCCTGGGATATGTTAGCACAGGCAGCAAATGCATTCCCAGGCACAGAGGGTCCTGCCTTGGGTTCTGGCACCCCCTCTTGTCTGTCACCTCCCTTTGTGTAGTTGGTCCTGAGCTTATCCTGGACACCCATCCCTCAGTGGGCTCTGCTCTGTCCCCAGCCCTGGACACCTGTCTCAGGTCTCTGACTCAGGTCTCTGTCCTGCTTGTCCCCAGGTGAACCTGAGCAAGGTGGGCGAGTATTGGTGGAACGCCATCCTGGAGGGAGAAGAGCCCATCGACATTGACAAGATCAACAAGGAGCGCTCCATGGCCACCGTGGATGAGGAGGAACAGGCGGTGTTGGACAGGCTTACCTTTGACTACCACCAGAAGCTGCAGGGCAAGCCACAGAGCCATGAGCTGGTACGAGCATGGCAGTCCTGGAGAGTCCACCCTTTAGGCCCTTGTGCTGGTGACAAGGCCGATAGTGGCAGAGGGGTTGGTGATGACGGTGGGGAAGAAGGTTGTGTGGACCAGCTTCCTGCCATGTCCTAGCCTAGCAAGGAACCTGTCTTACCTGCTCTTGTCCCCAATCACTGCCTCACAGGTGCACTCTGGTCTTTCAGCTGTGTTCTCATACCTGGGCTGAGAGCCCAGTTAACAGGACCTCGAAGGGTGTCATGAGATCTGCCCTTCCTGCACCAGAGCCTGGTAACATCAAGTGTGTTGATGGCTTTTGTTTGTGCCTCATCTGCACATATCTTCCCATGAAGAGTCGCTTGGTGGGACCTTTGGTAGAGGAGGGGAGGGAGCCAGATTGCAGAGCCAGTTTCTGGATGTTGGAGGCCAGCATGTGAAGACTCTGTGATGTCAGCAGTGGGTTAGGGAGGAGGAAGAGAAAGGTTCCTGTCTGACCAGTGTAGTGCCCAGTGTAGAGTTTGCTCATGGCCAAAGAGAATGATTAATTAGATGTATACATTCTTTCTTCCTATTTTAATAACTCCAAGAGTAGCTATTTAGGGAAAAAAGGGTTGCTTTCCTCAGATTATTTTTAACTTCCCGTGTCCCATATACCCAGCACGTGGGTTTGGGCCGCAGTACAGCAGGGCACGCGGACGCAGTGCAGCCTTGAGTCAGTGGGGAGGGGTCATCTGCTGGGCACAGTCTCCTTATTTTTGTTCTGTAAACACGGACCGCCTCCTCCCCCTGAAGATCGCTGATCGATATTTTCTTCTCATTTTGTCTCTTGGAGGAACCTTACCTTGTGGTGTATCTGGATTGTCTTAGTCTTACCTTCCGGTACAGCACGTATTAATACATCGTAGGTGGTTCTGCAAGCCCTGTTGCTGTGTCTCGTCCGTTCTTGCCTATTTTCACAGACAGGTGCATCCTGCTCTTATGAGGTGAAGGAGCCTGCGGAGAGGAGTGTCAACATGTTCTCCTCACCTGGCCCTGCCACACCAGGGGCATGTCCTGAGCACTTAGTACACACAGTTAAGGTGGGGTTGACTGGCTGCACAGTACCCCTGAAAATACAGTTTGTTTGTTTTTTGTTTTTGTTTTTGTTTTTTTCCCCCCACAATAGAGAGATTGAATTTCTGAGGTTGTGACTCAGTAGCTTAGGCAGCAGGGATGGGGTTTGACCTCTGATTTGATTTCACACCTGTCTGTCCTCACAGCCCTGTCCACCCTGGCCCTTGTCTCTATGGAAGAGAATGTTCCTCTAGGTTTGGCCCCCTTTTCCACCCGGGGCATGGCAAGCTTAAAGGACATCTTTGCTTGGCCTACGTCCATGCAGAGTTTGAAGCCTCAGGTAGTATTGCAGCACCTGCTCAGCTGAGCTCAGCTCAGGTGCTTAGACAGCCAGACCTGCCTGGTTATGGCTCATTCCAGTTATGCTGCATTTGCCTGTGGCCACTAGATGAAAGGCCAGCCTTTGAACCTTTGCCCTGTGGGTAGGGCTTCTCATGGTAGTGTTTGGGGATGGTGTATGTGAGGGTCTGCCCACTCTGTGCCCATATTCAGCATTGGGTCCACAAAAGGACTGAGATGTATTCATGAGTTGACCTTCGGGAGAAAGAGTCTGTTTTGACTGGAGAACATGAACCCAGATGCCTTTTGTTCCAGAAAGATAAGAAGGCAGTCTTACCATGTACCCCTTAGAAGTGTCTTTTTGTGCCACAGGATGGAGGGACTAAGGTCAGGTGGTTTCTCACATCTTCCCCAGACACTGACACTGAGCCTTTGTTACAGAGAGATGATAAAAATTATTGTAGTTTGAATGGTATTTGTGCGTTTGTCAAAGCCTTGATGAAGTTTTTGTAGACTTTATTTTATTTTATTTTTTAAATTTTTTGAGACAGAGCCTCGCTCTGTCACCCAGGCTGGAATGCAGTGGTGTGATCTCAGCTCACTGATACCTCCGCCTCCCAGGTTCAAGCGGTTCTCCTGCCTCAGCCTCCTGAGTAGCTGGGACTACAGGCGCACACCACCACGCCCAGCTAATTTTGTATTTTTAGTAGAGACGGGATTTCACCATGTTGGCCAGGCTGGTCTCGAACTCCTGACCTCAGATGATCCACCTGCTTTAGCCTCCCAAAGTGCTGGTATTACAGACGTGAGCCACCACGCCTGGCCAGTTTTCTGTAGACTTTAGCTGTTGAGGCATGAGAGAAGCTAGGATGCTCTGGCTGTTTTTATCTGTGAGCCCTCATGTTTCCTGTGATTGTATCTCTTACAGAACTTTATATTCAAAAACAAAATAGCAGGAATACCTGCTCATCATTGGAGTTGCCAGTAGTGCCAAAGACACGCATGGAGGTGTCAGGGGCTCCACCAGCCTTTTCTTCTCTACATCCTTGCCCCTCCCCTTCCCTCCTTTCTTTCTGTTTCCCTTTTCTTTCCCTTACATCCTCCCCTCTCCTTGACCTTCCTCTCAGTCTCTTTCCCCCATCCTTTATGTTCTGTGCCAACACCTTGTAACATTGCATAGTCTCACCCCTCTATTGGGGCACGTCGGTGAGGAAGACAGACACAGATCTGCCTTTGTGGTGCTAGGATTCCAGCCATTTTAATCTTACCTTCTCCAAAGAGTATTTCAGTCCTGCTTTGCAGTTTCATTGATAATCCTCCCCAGGAAGCAGCTGCTCTTGTCTCTCCATTTCTGGAGGCCTAAGGCCTCCTTATTTTGTATTTTTGTATTTTTAGTAGAGACGGGGTTTCACCGTGTTAGCCAGGATGGTCTCGATCTCCTGACCTCGTGATCCGCCCGCCTCGGCCTCCCAAAGTGCTGGGATTACAGGCGTGAGCCACCGCGCCCGGCCGGCCTCCTTATTTTGATGGCTTGTTGCCAAGCCCACTGCCCAGGACCAGGAATGGGGAGGTCTGTTCATTCCAGGTAAGCCGAGGCAACTTCCAGGCAGTTCTGGACCTCAAACCCCTACCTGGATCCTCACTGTCAGTTCGGGACAGGCCAACCTCAAGGGGTGAAAGATGGCAGCACTACACATTGTATGTATGCACCATGCACATACATGCTTGCACACATGCAGCATCATAGGGTGCAACTGGCATCCCCCTTCATGCCCTGCTGCCCTGCTCTGAGGGCAATTCAGTGGGGTCATCCTGTTGGTGTCCTCTTGGCAAGCTGTTTTTTTGGCCCCTAGGGCACTGCATAGCCCAGGCGTGGAACAGAAAGTCCCTGTGCCTGCAAACAGCTTCTTGTGACCTAGCATGGGGGAGCCCGTAGACTGGGCAGCGACCCAGTTAGGAAGGATTCAAAGAACCTTGAAGATGCTGTGGTCCAGTGGAAAGAGCTCTGTGTGTTGAATCTAAATCTATTCTGCTGTAGACTTGCCATGGGGCAGCATCCTGACCCTTGAGAGGATGTGTGTCCCTCCCCAGAGTAAAGTGCCCTGGGAGATCTTCAGCGACATGCAGGAGCCCAGGGCTGGTGGCGCGGGGGTAGGTCCCAGAGTGACCCTCTCCCTGAGATTGACCTGCTCCTCAACAGCCAGGGAGCCTCCAGCTCTCAGGTGACAGCTATAGACAGTAATGAACTGACCTCTCAGGGCTATGGTCGTTCACTGTGTGTGTCCAGGCACCTGCCTGGTGCTGATGCTAAAGTCTCAACTCCTTCCTGGGCATGACAGTGTCTGGGGCAGGGTCTGCAGCATATGGAGGCTTGCAACACGCAGAGGTTTCATGTAAAATGTCCTTAGTGACTGTAGCCTTTTTTTAGAAAATCAAATGAGGAAACACCTAGAAGGTAGGTGTGTGCCCTCATGTGGCCTCATGTAGCAGGTTAGCCACATTTTATTCAGGCGTCCTGAGGGATACCTCACAGGCAGAGAGACTATCGTGAGAGTTAGGGGGCCGGAGTTGCTTCACTGGGATCACCAGGCTTCGCTAAGGAGAGAGAGTGGAAAATGGGCCAGGTTCTCCTGTCAGCCTCCATCTGCCGTTCACGTCGGCATAGTCACAGTTACCAGCGTGCTCTGGCATTGATGCCCATTTATGGTGTGAACTCAGAGTTTTCTAAATTTGCCAAGATTTCAAATTGTGCTTCTAATGCCACAGATGCTGTGTATTTTGAAGCAGTTTTATTTTGAAATGACAATACTTTTATTGTTTTAAATTCTTTGGTGTCACTAACCTTTTTCCAAAGTCAACAAATTTAAAACCCTTCATCTTTTCCCTAATTTAATTTTTTATGAGCAGGATTCCCCCATCTAGAAAGAGAATGTGGAATGTACAGGTGCCATTGCTCTGTCTGCGCTCAGATGTGTCTGTGTCTAGGATCTCTTCAGCCTGGTAGGATTCACCCTAACAGTAATTGTGACATCTCATAGGCAGATAGCATTAGCATGGTCTCTGGTCATAAGAGTGAATTTGGTGACACACAGGAATGCCTGCTCTCCACTTTTGCCTCAGGAAAGGTCTGAGTGCTGATCTTGGCACCCTAGGATCCCTCTGTTGTAAGATCAAGTCTACTAATCTGCCCTTTGCACTCTGGGCATCCTACATCGGGCCCCCATGCAGCAACCCGGGTTCCCAGGGTAAGACTGTGGTGGCTGCAGGGCTCCACAGGTGTCATTTGCCCTACAGCTGGCTGGGGTTCTGTTGAAAGGTTCAGAGGCTTCATGCAGCTGCCTGCTGAAGTCATCCATTCTTGTGTTTTGTTGAGGCTGTGCAGAGGGGCTTCATGTAGTCTTCTCTGCACCCACAGCCACTCCATGTGAGCTGCAGCACTTGTTCTCAAAATGGTCTTTCCAAAGTCTCTGATGTGAGTTGCCTGTAAGAAATTGATAGTAATGTCAATTAATCCCTAGTATATAGTATCTGTCTTTGATATGCTTGTTGTTGCATCACTTAGGTCTTAAAAAAAGAAAATGAAGCTGGGTATGGTGGACTGCACCCATAGTTTTAAGTACTCAGGAGGCTGAGGTGGGAGGATCGCTTGAGCCCAGGAGTTTGAAGCTGCACTGAGCTATGACCACACACTGCACTGTAGCCTTGGAAACAGAGTGAGACCCTATCTGTAAAAAATAAAAACAGGAAAAAGAAAACCCTCTTGTTAGGAAGATTATGTTTTATTTAAGGAGAAGCCCTGGTGCTGAGAATCCCACAGCCTCGTTTTCTGGGCCTATGCTACAGGGTTTTGTGCAACAGGGACTGTGGATCATATTGGTAGAATAACTACTGGCCCTACATAGTCTCTTTTGTCTCTTGTGGTCAGAAGGTTAGAAGGAAGGAGAGATCATCCCTAGCCCTCAGTGTACTCATGGTGGCCAGGTGAGGAGGGCAGATATAGAGTCCCTTTGAGGAGAAGAGGGCCTGCCAGCCCAGGTACAGATGCTTCCCTCAGGGTCCAATCTCCCTGATGTCCCCTGCCATGGCCACACACTGAGCCTTGCTTCTGATCCTTGGAGGCTAGATAGTTCCAGAATGGCCACACGTTGGCGAGGGCTTAGTCAACCAGCTCTGACTGCATCTGCAAGGATGCAGTGGGGAATTCCTGACTGACGGGTCTACCACTGGACATTCTGAGGTTTCTTCCTCCGTGCCACATCCTGGGTCAACCCTGGATTGTCTGATGATATAGTTCTTGATGCTGATAACTGGGGTGCTAGGGTATCTCCTCTGCACACCTTAGTCATGACTCAGGTGGGGCTTGAGCACTTTCTCTACGCACCTTCTCTACAACCCTGGTGGGCTGGGACACTCCCTCTTAATGCCTTAGTCAGTGCCTGGTGGGACCATAGATGTTGCAGGGTGTTTGGAATTTGGACAGAGATCCTGGTGGAAAAGGGACAAGATGAACCATAAAGAGGAGCCAGTGCTTGCTGGGGACAGAAGATGGAGGGTTAGAAATTCAGTCTGTGGAGCAGTCTTGGAGAGAAATTGGCAGGCACCCAGTACCTCCCTTGGTCGAAGGCTGCTCCAGGGTAGTACAGTTCTCTGGCCAGCCGGTCTTGCCAGGCAAGTGCCTGAGCCCTGAGGAAGCAAGAAGGCTCTCTACCTGCAGTCAGAGTCTGCTCTGGGAGAAAGTACACAGTGCGTTGTGATCCCCTTTAATCTCTCTATTTTCTGTTTGTAGAAAGTCCATGAGATGCTGAAGAAGGGGTGGGATGCTGAAGGTTCTCCCTTCCGAGGCCAGCGATTCGACCCTGCCATGTTCAACATCTCCCCGGGGGCTGTGCAGTTTTAATGACCAGAAGGAAAGGAAACCCTCGCCGGTGGGGAGGCAGAGCCTTATCCTCGGCTGCCCTTCTTGGCTCCCTGCATTCCAGGGACTTGCTCGTCTTGTTTACCCCTAGCCATCCTTTCTTTCAAGGGTGAACCAGGCCTTCCACCCTGACCTTGCATCTCCAGACTGTTCCAGAGAAGGTGCGGGGCCAGCTGCTATGTGGTGGCCGCTGTGGCTGACACTGAGTGAAGGTGTTTGAAATGCAGGAGAGGATATCCCAGCAAATTGGGATCACATGCTTTTGTCTCCACAGCAACCAGCCACTGCAGGCAGCATGTCTTTCCTCCCCTGCTCTCTGCTTGCTGTTGTTTTGACGCTATTCTGCTTGCATGTCTTCTGGTTGGGATGTGGAGTTGTTGCTGGACTCTCAGGCGAAGCTGAAGTCATTGAAGTGTGTGAAGCTCTGTGCTTGCATGAGGGCAAGCAAGGAATGGCTGTGCCTGAGGCTGCTCTGGGAAACTCCTTGCCCCTTGACCTCTTTTGAGAGCATTCACGTGGTCTTCTTGCTCATCCCCTTATAAATGTGCTTTGCCTGCCTCAGCCTCATGGTCAGAGCAGTGGAGACTGGAGCCCTGTTTGCACGTTCTAGTTGTTCGGAGAAAGCCTAGGTTCTGGGCTCAGGTCCAGATGCAGCGGGGATTCTGTTCTCTGACTGTGGCGACCTTGCTTTGGTTCTTGTTGAAGTGAACCAAGCCCGGCCACCACGCATGGCATGCTGTGCTTGGCTCCCCATAAGACGTCCTCTTTGGGTGCACGGTGTCAAAGTGTGGGCAGGAGTGGAGAGCTGGTGCCCTCAGGAGGAGACCACAGCATGTCCATCAGCTCAGCAGAGCTCGACAGCCACAAGTCCTGAGAAGCTTTGACCTTGAAGGGCTTCTGGGAGAGGAGGAATTTCTGCATGGGGCGTGAAGGCACACTGTCCCACCACAACTGAACCAGAAGAGAGTGAAGACTCCCCTCTTCCCATCCTCTGTGCCAGGTGCCAGACTGTGCTCCTTGGAACTTATGGCCCAATCTTACCTGTTCTCCAGGGACTGGTCACTGCCTCAGGACCCCCAAGCCTATGCCCTGAGCCATGGCTGCTGACTGACTCCAGCCAAGGTGCAAAGACGAGATTATGAGACAGGTCCTCAGGCCTGTGTTCCAAGTACTCACAGGGGCTCTGGGTGCCCATCGCCGGGAGTATGGTTCAGCTGCCACCGGCACTGTCCATTTGCCTGTCTGTCAAGCTCAGAGCATGGATAAGCCACACAGCAGGGCAGTGCACCCTGGCACCATGCACGGCCAGCAAGAATCAAGGCCCGCAGATGCTAAGAGGGCCTATTGTCAGGGGAAGGTCCCCGCTCCTGCACACTCTCTATGGATACTTGGGTTGTGGGGGCTCTCTTGGAGAGTAAGTTTGTGGTTTGTTTCTGGTTTACAGTGGTGGCTGACACCCCTTGTAAGAAAGCATTCCTGGGAAGTCTTCTGTGGGTCCAAACATGTTGCTCCGATCATCACAGGAGAGCAAAAGGCCCTAGATACCCCCTTTGGAATGTGAGAGTCTTGTTGTCTGATATTTGCCACTGAGCTGGTGAAGCCCCTCTAAAGAGATCTCGACCCTGGGGAGCAGAATTCTTGTCATCTATGAGGGGTCCTGAGAAAGACTTGTCATTTTTTTTCCTGGAGTTCTTCCCATTGAGGTCCTAGGATTTGCACACCACTGTCCCACAAGAGCTTTCCTGCCTAATGAAAGGAGGTCTTGTGGTGTGTGTCTCCTCTCTTCTCTATAGTTCCCGAGTTGGCCCCCATTGCAGCCCCCACCCTGTGGGTAGTCTTCCAGAAGTGATGCAGTGGTGTGAGATGCCCTACACCTTGTTATTTGGGAGACTTTGAGAGTCATTCACTTCCATGGTGACTAGTGTTTGTTTTGCCTGATTTTATATTCTGTGTTGCATTTCTCCCCACTCCCTGCCCTGCTTTAATAAACAGCAAACCAATATCTAGGAAGAATGACTGAGGGATAGTATTGGGTATTGGCCCCATGGCAGGAACAGCCACTTGCATCTGGTCCCGGTGCCACACTGCGGTGCTTGGTGTGGTTGTGGAGCCTGTCCCTGCGCGCCTTGCTCCCGTTGAGCCACGCTGTCTGGTGGGTGATTCTCTGCCCTGAGCCACCACCCTGGACTGGCCCAGTCTCCAGAGCTGGCACACCCTGCCTGTTTTCTCTTTTTAGACACAACAGCCGCAGTTTGGCCAGCCACTAAGTCCCACCAGCTGAGGTCCGAGGAAAGCGGGGTGACTCATTTCCCTTGTCCAGGGCCCGAGGAGAGTGAGGTGTCCAGCCTGCAAAGCTATTCCAGCTCCTTGGTGTTGGTTTGCAATAAATTGGTATTTAAGCAGTTCTGGGTCTGCGTGTGACATTTGCTGCTGAGACAGTTCTGTCTGTGCATGGTCATTATTGTTGCATTCTAGCCTTGAGGTCCCAGGCCAACGTACACAGCAAACACCAGCATGGGGAATTCTTAGGGGTTGTTTCCCATCTGGTCTGAATGCACTGGGCAAGATCTCAATACAGCTTTAGAAATCCTGTAAGATTTTGACCAGTGGGGAGAAAAAGAATGTAGCTATAGATCTTACATCCTTTCAAACAGGTTCTGGAATTCTGTAGTTACTGGAAAGCTTAGGGTGAGTGCAGAGTTGGGAATGATTCCACTGAAGGGCCACCTTTGCCCACCAGGCTCCAAGGCCCTCCTTGGTCTCCAGGTGCATACCTGCTGTTAACTTTGCTGAGCCCTCGCAATGGGCTTCCTCCAGGACATAACGCCGTGTCTGACACAGAAGTCTCCCAGGTGGCTGGCCACCTGCTTCTTCCTCAGTCAGATCTTTGACTCTCCTTCTCTGTGCCCACCCCATCTCCAGCCTCCTCTGACCCTGCTCACCCCTGGGGACAGGACCTAGGGGTGTGAGAAGTACTTGGCTGAATAAAGACTGTTTCAAAGGCAATCCTTAGAATTGCCTAGCATACTCCCAGGGCCAGAAATAACCCGCCAGAAAGGAGAGGCGTATTTGCCCCTGAAGAGTGCAGGAGGGAGAACAGTTGAGAAGTGTTTTGTGTGGAAATGTGTCCAAGAGGCGTCAGCTGCTGCACAGAGAACTCACTGCCCAGAACACTGCGCTTGGGGAACAGACCTCACCCCCACCTCAAATCTGCTCTCCACTGGGCCTGTTGGCAGCCAGCTCAGCTGGGGAAGGGACAGCATGACTCGCTTTGTCGATGAAAAGCACGAAGTTGTCAGCACAGAACCTGGCCAGTCCTTGAGAAACTCCCTCCTTGGTGGTCAGAGGTCAAGCAGCCCATGTGGCCCACGGTCCTGAAGAACTGGGCTATGTCCCTGAGGCTCCTCTCTACCGTCTGACTGTGGGGTCTGGGGAACAGGCATTTAAACCAGGCTGCTGCCCTGGGGAGTGCCCACTGGACGCCAGGGTGCCCCATAGGGACAGGGTCACAAAGCCCTGGGGCTTCCCCTGCCAGTCCTGGTGAGGACAGTGTGGTCACTATCTCAGAGAGACGAAAAATGAATATTCTGTCATTTCAGACTAAACTACTCACCCAGCTCACACTAATATGGATTTGTTAATTTTACCTTTTTTTTTCTTTCCAACTTTAGGTTCAAGGGTTGTTACATGGGTAAATTGGATCATAGGGGTTTGGTGTACAGATAATTTTGTCACCCAGGTAATCAGCATGATACCTGATATGTAGTTTTTCAGTCCTCACCTTCCTCCCACTCGGTTTTATTTTTTAGTACTGAAAGTTTAACAGATTGGTCTTACCTCAGAGGGAGGGAAGAAACCCCCCCATCGCTGGGCTCCTTGGTGTGACAGGGGTCTGGTAGGGGTTTTCAATCCCACCACCCATTCCTCCACACCAAATGCCTGAAGTCCCCACTTTGCACAGGGAGACAGCATCGTGCCAGGGAAGAGAGGTCAGGCCCGGCTACCCCTCACAACTTCCTGCTTCCCCCTCAGAGGGTGATGGGGAGACCAGAGCCCATGGCAGGATGAACTGTCACTGAACCCAGCTGGCACAGGTCTGCCAGAACACTCTGGGGGTATGCGCTGGGCTTTCTGGGTAAACCCCTGGCAAGCTGGCGTTTGCTGTCTTCTCAGTGCTGATGGAGATAGGCACACATGGGGTGTGGGAATGTGGCCACCCTCAGGCAGGTTCACGAGGGTACTGTCAGGCGCTCAGGTGTATGCCGCCTCCTGTCAGGCAGGGCTGAGGCTATTCTCCCTGGAGAAGGACAGCTTAGGAAACACTTGCAGGAAAGCTGCCTGGACCTGGGAGGTGACCCTGGCCAGCCTCCCTGCTGCCTCTCTCAGTCCTAGGCCTTCTTCCCCAGAGCTGGTCAGGGCCTGAGGGACTTTGTAGTCTAACCCCTCATTGTGCTACAATCACAGGAGTAAGTAACACTCCCAAGGCCATGTGGCTGGTGACTCGGGGGGCCCAGGTCCAGGATCCTGCCCCATCTGCAGGCCAGTGGTTCCTTGTCTCCTATTTGCTTCTTGGAGCAGCCTCCTCATAAGCCAACAGCTCCTTCACCTGAGCCCAGTCACTTTGCGCTCCTCCCCAGAACCAAAGAGCAAGACCATCTGCCCCAGGTACAGTCCTGGCCATGCCACACTCTCTGTGGCATCATGACCAAGGTGAGTGGCAGATACTGAAATCATCCAGGGCCACTGCAGGCCCCATTCCCAGTGGACTGTTCATCAAGGGACCCTGTCTCAGGCCATCTCAGCCAACCTTGTTGCCCAGCACAGGTCTGGCACATTGGAGATGATCTGTGTTGGATGGGGAAGGCAGAGGGAGGATCCTCCAGCATTGATCACCCATCAAAACCCTCAACAACCCAGACATTGCCGCTGCACTGACCCCATGCTATGAGGAGGTCACTCAGGCTGTTAGGAGCCTGCTGACTCAGGCATTGGGCTGGGGCCCTGCCTGCCTTGTCTGCCTGCCAGCGGAGCACTGCCCCAAGCCCTTCTTACTGCAGAGACAGGCTCTTGCCTCCCAGTGTGCACTTTGTGCAAGACACAGGCAGGTAAGGGTCTACCAGAGGACAGGAAGTGTTGTTGGGGCACTGTGGGGTTTGGAGGAGGCCCCTCTAGCAGGGAAAGCGAGCCCTAACCTCTGCTGGACTAGGGAGTTTAGGAAGCTGCTCTGGTTCAGGGAACTGGGGATCCAGATAACTGGGGATCAAGGCCATCTTGTGACCCCAGTGGTGGTCCCTAGTGGGACTGCTGAGCTCCAGCCTGAGAGTTCATGAACTCAACAGTGATTGCTTGTGGGTACTAATGACCCAGTGTGTGGAGACCTCATTTACCAGGTGTGCCTAGCCTGCAGGCAAATCCCAAGGCAGTGACCCTTAGGGAAGAGACAGCGTTTGGGGTCATCAAAGGCTGGGAAACCCAGGTACCTGTCAGGGAATGGGCTACAGACTGGAGCTAAGCCTTAAGGTGGGGAAGATTCCAGCACCCCTGAGTGACCACCTCTTTTGGTAATGCAAAGAAGGGATTTTGTGACTCCAGGGTGACATTTCTAAGCTTGGCATCATGCAGGGTGGGCTTGGGCTCAATATGGGTGACTGTTAGTCTAGGGCTGTCTCAATGAGGCTGTCCAGGCAGAAAGGCTTACACACCTGGCAGGCAGAGGGTCTAGAGAGGAAGGGGCAACAGGCCTAAGGAGGGGACAGCCAGGCAAGGAGGTAGAATAGGCCTTGTCTGGACAGTGGTCACCTGTTAGGTCCACAGCTTGTCCTCCCTGGCCTGACCAGCCAGGTGAGGAGAGATCCAAACCATCCACCTGAAAGCATTCAGGGTGCCTGATGACAAGACCCCAGCCACTGTGGGCTCTCATGTCCTGGTAGGAAGGTATACCTAAAGCAGGTGGACCTGGTAGTGGTGGACGCTGTCTGCCTCCCCGGGGCTTGTCTGTTTATGCCAGACCGTTTTCCCATTTGCTTCCACCTCCAGCTCAGAGAGGAATCACCTTCACACCTCTGCTAAAACTAACCCAGCTCTGCACCCACCATTCCCCACTGTGCAACACCTGCTACTGGAGAACCCTGCCCCCTCAAATACACGTCATCCTCAGGGCCCTGCGATGTGCTGTGGTCTCCCTGCCACCATTCAAGGGGCCACAGCCAGGTCCAGCCTGTCTTCCCTGGCACCAGGCTCTATGCAGTGGGGGAAACTCGGGCACCCCTAAACTATTCTCCAGTGTTCTCACCAGAGGTGGTCAGCCATGTGATGGCAAGAGTCACTTCTTAAGCTTTTGCTATCCCCAGAAACTTAAAGCAACACCAACCACACCCAAAAGTCAAGTGATATCCAGACAGCAACAGTAGAGCATTAACTGAGTGCAGGGCCGTGGTGACTCCTCGACACTCCAGGCTCTCCTGCTGGTAACCTCCCATTGGCAGAGCCAGGCACTCAGCAAAGCCCTGGACAGTCAGCAGCCTCCTGAACAGGCTCTGCTGTCCCCACTCACGACTTCAGAGCAGCTAGGACTCCTGTGACCACCCCTGTCCCCTGTTCCCCCCCACCCCGCCCCGCCCCGCCAACTGCCTCATCTCTGTCCCAAGATAACTGCTCTCCAGAATTTTCCATGATATGGTCATTTTAAAAGTTTTTTTTTTTTTTGAGACAGAGTTTTTCCTGTGTTGCCCAGACTGGACTCAAACCTCTGGGCTCAAGTGATCCTCCTGCTTCAGCCTCCCAAGTAGCTGGGACTGTAAGTGTGCACCACTGTGCCTGGCTTGATGGTGTCATTTTTCACTGTACGTGTATTTGTAAACCGTATAAATCAGTATCTTTGTGAGTTGCTTTTCTTTCTCCCTTACCTTCATGAGCTGTCTGTGTCCATACACAGTCTCCTCTGCTCCCCTAGGTGGGGTGTGATATTCCATTGAGTAGATATCACAGTTTATTTAACAACATCCTGTTGGTGAGTACTTAGGTTGGCCCCAATTTCTCAATATTACAACAATGCAGCAGTCATTCTCAAGTGTGAGAGATTCCCTAGGCATTTCCTGTGAGTGGAGTTGCGGGGTCACAGGGCATCCTCTGTACCCCTCCTGCGAGTGGGTCTTGTTGCTCAGCTCCTCACCATTTTAATGGACTCTGTAATGTTTGCAGTCATGCTGAGTGTAAAGTTGGATTGCCCATGCATTTCCCTTGTCATGGTGAGGTTGAACTCCCATTTATATTTTTATTAGGCATTCAGGTTCCTTCTGTGAATTTTGTTTCTATTTTTCACCATTTATTCTACTAAGCTGTTTGTCTTTTATTGTTGACTTGTAGGAATGTTCTGAATACAACCCTTTGCAAGTTGTATTTATTCCAGAACTCCCAGCCTGGAGCCTGTCTTTGCACTTTAAACTCCCCTTCCACCCTCCTGGTCCTCCAAGGTGGGGGGCATACTTGAGGATCACTCCTTACTCTCTGCTCAGGCCACCATGAGTCCCTAGACTCAGGCTGCATTTCCCCTACATTTCCCATCTGGGTGGGACTGTAGGGCAGGCACATTTCCCAGAGGCAGGGCAGGGCTGTAGGGCAGGCATTTGGGATAGAAGCTGCCTCTACTCCCAGGATAGAGCCCAGATTCCCCAGTAAGTCTGCCTGTGCCCAAGGCCTGTTCCCTCAGGTTTAGAGACCTGCTCTCCTGGCTGTGGCTGGTGGCAGCACCCAAGCCACCTGTGTTGTAGGTGGGCCCATTCGTGACCTGTCAGACAACCAAATGAGCAGTCTATCCCACTGCCCACTTCCTCATCGCAGGGCTTTGGGGGAAGAAAGCACTAAGCAGTTGAGATGGTCTGAGTTTCTTGTCTCACATCCGGCTTGCATGGAGAACAGAAAGTGAGTGCCATGAGCAAGACTGGGCCTGCAGCCCTTGGAGAGAATCCCAGCACCATGGGCCCAGCAGGAAGGACTGATCCCACCAAAAGCATCTCTGGCCCCTCCTGGCTCTCAGCCTGGGTAGTGCCTACCCCTCACAGAAGTCTGGCCACCTGGCACTCTACCTGGGAGCTCTCTGCTGCTGACTCTGGGAGAATACCCAGGTGGAGATACAACCCAACCCTCCACATCCCACCTGCCTTCTCCCCCTTCCCAGGAACCTTCAGGACAGGGTCACCCAAGTCCAGAGCCTGGGAGCCCCTGGCTGCTTCCCCAGCTAGCATTGACATCTCCAGCCTCCACCACGTCTGGGAGGAGCCCCTGACAGTCGGGAGCATGGAAGGGATTCCCATCTGAACAACGAAACCGCTGAGCGGAGAATCCACATTTCTCAGATCCATCAGAGAATCACAGTCACACAGCACACGCTGTCCCCAAACCAGAGAGACAGGCAGGTGGACACTGAGAACCACAGCTGACTGGAGCAGAGGCTGCTGCTGGAGCCCCATGGGAAGGAACATGGAAAGGGGAATGATGTGGGGACAGAGAGAAACTCATTTTCACCCAGCTCAGTGGAATCCTCTACTGAAGTCCTGAGAAGCATGCACTCAACTGTGAGGAAGACACCAGCTGGGGGTCAGCTAGGCCCATCTCTTCTCTGAGAACTGACCCCCTCACAGGGATTGCCCTGTCCTTCGCCCCAAGGAAGCAGAACATCAGTCTTGGGATGTAAGACCAGCACCCAAAGCTGCCAGCCAGGGCTGAGTGGGCACCTAGGGAGCAGGGTGGGGACAGAGTGGATAGACCAGAGACATTGGCTGCAGTGTGAGAGGCCAGTAGAGATCCAAAGAGATCAGAGACAGGGAGGAAGAGGGACACTCAGAGAGGGACCCAGGAGGGACAAGGAGGGAGAGGGACACTCAGGGACACAGGAGGCACAAGGAGGGAGAGGGACTTAGAGATGGACACAGGAGGGACAGGGAGGGAGGGAGACACAGAGATGGACACGGGAGGGACAGGGAGGGAGGGACACAGAGGGACGTGGAAGGGACAGGGAGGGAGAGGGACACTCAGATGGACACAGGAGGGAAAGGGAGGGAGAGGGACACTCAGATGGGACAGGGAGGGAGAGGGACACTGAGGGGACAGGGAGGGAGAGGGACACTCAGATGAGGGGACAGGGAGGGAGAGGGACACTCAGAGGTGAACATGGGAGGGTCAGGGAGGGAGAGGGACACTCAGAGATGGACATGGGAGGGTCGGGGGGAGAGGGACACTCAGAGATGGACACAGGAGGGAAAGGGAGGGAGAGGGACTCAGGGTCTTAGAGATGGACACTGGAGGGACAGGGAGGGAGAGAGACTGACAGGTGCACTCGGAAAGGACATGGAGGAAGTGTACTTTGGGTGCTCAAGGCAGGCCTGCAGGGTTTCAGGGTCCTCTCTGTGTTCAAGATAAATATTCCCGTTTCTAAAGGTTAGTCATTTTTGTGTCTTGGAGAAAAAAAAAGAGCCCTAACTTAAGGCCACCGTCATGTCTGCTTTGCAGGGTTTGCTGATTCCCTGGGAATGTCACCTGCCGCTGGCACTGGAGCATGTAGCAGTGGGTTTAGTCTTCAGAGGTGGTCTCACGTTGGGGTTCCAGTGGAAGCCACCAACACCTGAGTAGATCAGAGGTGCAATTTCCCATCTTCCCCTCCCCAACAGGATCAGAACCCCTCGGGGGGGGGTTGGGGGTGGAGGCTTTGGGGGTGAGTTTGAGAAGCACTGCCCTGAACAATGCCTGAGGTGCATCCTACCCATACCCCACATGACAGCTGAGGAAACCAAGGCAGGTGGAAGGTGCCAGAACCTGAAGGTGAGCATCTCCGCAGCGCCATGTCTGACTTTTGGTTAGCGATGGGTTAGGCATTACAGAAATGTGGGCTGATGGCCCCACACATGAAAGAGGAGGCAACACCACCCACTCTCTGCGGGAAGACGCGGCCATAGGTTCACCCCAGGACACAGAGCCCTGCTGAGCGGGTAGGCAGGACAGCGTGGAGCCCATGCGATCTACACCAGGGCGGCTGGTGTGGGAGAGTCCCCGCTCCCTCAGAACAGGAGGACAAGAAGAGCTTCCTGCGGATGCACAAGCTGTTGTGATTTGGGAATTTCAGCATTAGAGACCGTGGGTTCCAGGACTAGGGTAAGGAAGGAAAAAGAGAAAAAGGACCCCCAGCCATTGGGGTTCAGTTCAAGGAGCTGTCCATCCTCCTGCCAAGAGGTGGGGTGCAGGGGTCCCTGGGGGTGTGATCAGAGACCCCCTGCCCCTGGCTTGGGAGGGCCCCCTCATGTCACTCCTCACCCCATCCCACCTCGCTCCACCTGCCATGAAGCCCTCCCAGGCCCCCACCCTTCCTTCGGGCTCAGAGCCTGGGTTCAGCTTTCCGAGAGGGACACCTGTCCAGAGGGCACCACCCAGTGGTGGGCACAGTAGTGCAGGCTCCAGACCCCAGGCCTGGTCAACAGGTCACTGTTGTTGCCAAACACAAGCCTGTGGACTTAGAGGTGGTGATGGACACTGTGTTGAACCTCTGCTAAGTGGAAGGCAGGCAGTGTGTCTGGTGGCCGGGAGGCATCGGGGCAGAAAGTGGACGGCCGCCTCTGCTTCAGCCTGGATCTACCTGCCACAGGCAGCCACTCCCGTGTTCAGGACCTTTGTGAGCAACACAGGCCACTGACACCCCACATTTCCCGTGTAGTGACAAAAGATAAAGGACTCTGCCATCATGACTCAGGGAGGACTGGGCTCTGGTGGACTCCACAGGGCCCGGGGAGCAGGCTGGGCTTAGTTTGGGTCCCTGGGAGGGTCCCCTCAGAGGGGAGAGGGCCCTGGAGACATGGATGAGAAAGGAGAGTGGGGACCCTGGGGGCTAGATCTTAAAGGCCATGGTCTGCTGTTTGGAGTTTATCCCAAATGTCTGAAGGCAGAAGAGAGAAGCAGGGCAGGAGCCAGACCCCAAGGGAGGGCACTGGGAGATAGGGATACCACAACCCTACTTGGCCCTTGAGAGTGGGGCCACCCTCAGTCCCACCACTGCAGCTCTGTGCAGACCCAGGCCACCTCTCCCCTCCCCTGACCCTAACCCCCTTCTCCCCTGCTCCTCTTCCATCTTCTTCCTTTTCTCCTTTTCATAGGCAGGTGGCTTGGCTCACCACGTGTGATCCCCAAGGATCCCCAGGCAGTATCTCGTGCTCCACACGTGAAGGCAGGTGCCAGAGGCAAGGTGGAGGCCTGGGCACAGCTGTATATGGGGTGGCAGGCCCCACAAAAGTACCCCTTGGCCACTAGATAAAGGGGCTGTGACCCCAGGAGCTAAGAAGTTCCTTACGACCTGTTCTCAAAGGGGTGCGTGTGATCCTTGCCATCCCCCGCTCATCTCGCCCAGCCCTCACTGTCACCTCCACACTGAGCAAGGTGGAGCACAGCTGGGGTCTCCCTGACTGCTTGCCCAGAGCCAAGGCTACCACAGGAAGTTTAGGGAGGGGGCCTGGTCTCCCTATGCTTCAGTTTCTTCAGCTGCAAAATGACCAACATTGAGTGGGAAGAACCCCAGCATTGAGCATCCAAAGGCACTGGCAGGCTTCCTGGGGGTCCCACCGCATGAGGGCATCAGCACCCTCGAGAGCACCACCTGTCTCTGGCCTCCAGTGAATGGCCTCCTGCCACCTGGGGCCTGCAGACCGGAGGTGAGCGACTGAACCCAGGATCACCTGCCCTCAACCCCCACCCCTCGACCACCCCCTGAGCCCACTGCTCTGCTGAATGATCACACTCTCCCTTTCCCCCACACAATGCAGCATACAGACCTGGACACACGTCAATGGCCCCTCCTTCAGGACCCCTGCTACCCATGGGCAAGACCCGGCCTGGCCCTAACCCAACCCCTGTCCTCCCCTACCCTTTCTGATCCCCTGCCCTACCCATCGTCACTGTTTACTACACTGCCCTCACCTGAGGAGGGGTGTTGGGAAACCCCCACACACTTTAAATTATTTTAAGTGTAATAAAATATACATAACATAAAATGTATCCTTTTAACAATTTCAAGTGTGCAAGCTCTGTGGCATTAAGTACATTCACATGGTTATGCAACCATCACCACCATCCAGCTCCAGAACTTTTTCATCTTCCCAAACTGAAACTCCATAGCCATTACAATTTTGAGTTGTTGCTGGCATTGAAAAAAACAAGAGATTTTATATAAAGATCTGGTTTCTGAGCTCTTTTGAAAAAGTAAAGAGTCCAGGCAGTGCTGGGTGGGATCCTTCTAGGGACAGCCTCAGCTGTAGCAGGTAGGCAGGGCTGAGCACCACAGTCCTCACCACTCCCCACTTCATACCACAGCTCCCCCGCATAGGGACATTCAGGGCAGAGGGGACCCACTGCCCTAGAGGCAGTATCCCCTGGCAGATTGGTTGTCAGCCTGGTCAGCCTGGCTGCAACACTGCACTGGGAGGAACTGGAGACCGAGCAAGGGATGCTACCAGGGTCCAGAGGGAGAATGGAGTCAGACTGCCTTGGCAGAGGGAACAGCCCAGGTAGAATTCACAAGCAGGTATGTGCATAGGGCCTTGAATGGCAAACTAAGGGGTGTGGATAGGTTTGTGGTCAGTTGAAGGTGTGGAGAGCCCTCACAGGGGAGGGCAGGTCTTGGATTTAGCACCATGGCAGAGCAAGGGGCTGGGTCAGAGGCAGAGATAGGAGATGCATTAGTAGGGAGGGCGGCCTGGGCGCTTCTCACCTTTAGCTGCTTTCTCTCATAACCCTCTTGTCCACCCAGAAAGGCTGAAGGGATGCCAGGACGAAGGAACTGTCTGAGGCCTGACTTCACAGGCCACCCAAGTTATCTTCCGCACATGAACAAACATAATCCTAGATGGATTTCTTGGATTAATTTTTAACTTCTTATTTCTCAGAAGAAATTTTAATATATAAAGTACATTTTGATGTACAAACATCATAAAAGATGAAAGAATACTGTCACACAATACTGTCCTTTTAGCAAAATGGGATGGTCCAGGATCTTGTGAAATATTGTGTGATGAAGTCCTTCATGCTGAGTGATTCACTGAATGAGAATGTCATATTTCATTTTTGAAATTAGAAATATATTGTTCATCATTAATTCTTGAGTTCAAGAAAATTTATCTGGGATGTTATCATTTGAAGACTCATTCTAAGATTTCCCTTGTACTTTCATTTTCATCATTATCATTAGAGAGTGCTGCTGTCTTTCTATGTCATCTTCTGAATTGCCTAATAATAGTGAATGTCATTCTCTGCAAATTTTCTAATCTTTGCTGATATAGGCAGCAAATGAAAAATTCTGAATCCTTAACTGTATTCAATGAAAGCTAAATGTGGCTATCAACAGTCTTCGTTTGTGTCTTCTCCTCCTCTTTGTCTTCCTCCTTCTTTTATGACTACAGAAGTTAAACTTTTTAAATCCACATAGAACATAATAATAATGTACCTAGAAAATACTAACAAATCTACCCAGTGATAATATATATATAACATAAAAACATAAAATTTACCATTACAAGCTCTGTGGCATTAAATACATCACGTGGTTGTGTAACCATAACCACCACCATCCAGCTCCAGAACTTTTTCATCTTCCCAAACTGAAACTCCATATTCATTAAAATTTTACTACTACATTAATAAGTGAATTTAGTAAGTTTGAAGAATACAAGATCAATGTACAAAATCAATTGCATTTCTGTATACTAGCAACAAACAAGTAGAAAATAAAAATTTAAATGCCATTTACCATAGCATCAAAAGTGAAAAGTACTCAGGAATTAATTTAACCAAGCATGTATAGGACCTGTATACTAAAAACCACAAAAAATACCTACTTAAGGAAATTAAATAAGACTTTTTAAAAATGGAGAGATATATTTGTGAATTGGAAGACAATATTGTTAAGCTGTCAATTCTCTCCAAATTGATATATAGATTCAATGTAATCCCAATAAAATTCTCAGCAGGGTTTTTTCCCCCTTTGATGGGAGACTTTTTTTTTTTTTTTTTAGACGGAGTCTCACTCTGTTGCCCAGGCTGGAGTGCAGTGGTGCAATCTTGGCTCACTGCAAGCTCCACCTCCCAGGTTCATGCCATTCTCCTGCCTCAGCCTCCCGCGTAGCTGGGACTACAGGAGTCCACCACCACACCTGGATAATTTTTTTGTATTTTTTACTGGAGACTGGGTTTCACCGTGTTAGCCAGGATGGTCTTGATCTCCTGACCCCATGATCCTCCCGCCTTGGCCTCCCAAAGTGCTGGGATTACAGGCGTGAACCACCGCGCCCGGCCATGGGAGACTTTTTATTACAGATTCAATCTCACTGCTCATAATTGGTTTATTCAGGTTTTCTATTTCATCTTGGGTCAATATCAGTAGGTTGTATGTGTCCAGGAATTTATCCATTTCTGCTAGGTTTTCTAATTTGTTGGCATGCAGCTGTTTGTAATAGTCTCTGATGATCCTTTGTATTTCTGTGGTATCAGTTGCAATGTCTCTTTTTTATTTCTAATTTTATTTATTTGGGTCCTTTTTTTCCTTTGATTTGTCTAGCTAATGGTTTGCCAATTTTGTTTATCTTTTCAAAAAACAAATTTTTATTTTGTTGATCTTTTATTTTTCTTAGTCTCCATTTCAGTGATTTCTGCTCTGACATTTATTGTTTCTTTTCTTGGACTAATTTGGGGTTTGGTTTGTTCTTGCTTTTCTAGTTCCTTGAGATGCATCAATAGGTTGTTTTTTGAAATCTTTCTACTTTTTTGATGTAGACATTTATTGTATAAGCTTGCCTCTTAATACTGCTTTTGCTGTGTCCCACAGGTTTTGGTATGTTGTATTTCTATTTTCATTTGTTTCAAGAACATTTTTAATTTCATTCTTAATTTCTTCATTGATCCATTGGTCATTCAGGAGCCTGTTGTTTAATTTCCATGTATTTGTACAATTTTGAAACTTCCTATTATTATTGATTTCTAGTTTTATTTTATAGTGGTCAGAAGAGATACTTGATATAATTTCAGTTCTTTTAAAATGGTTGAGACTTGTTTTGTGACCTAACATGTAGTCTGTCGTGAAGACTGTTCCATGTGCTGATGAAAAGAATGCATATTCTGCAACAGTTGGAATAAATGTTCTGTAAGTGTGAGGTTCATTTGGTCTAAAGTGCAGTTTAAATCCAGTGTTTGTTGATTTTCTGTCTAGATGATCTGTCCAGTGCTGACAGTAGGGTGTTGAAATCCCCAACTATTATTATATTGGAATATATCTCTCCCTTTAGATCTAATATTTGCTTTATATATCTGGGTGTTCTGGTGTTGAGTGTGTATATACTTAACAATTGTTATATCTTCTTGCTGAATTGATCCCTTAATCATTATATAGTGACCTTCTTTGTCACTTTTTACAGTTTTTGACTCAAAGTCTGTTTAATCTGATACAAGTATAGCTATTCCTGCTCACATTAGGTTTCCATTTGCATAGAATGTTTGTTTTTTTTCTTTCATCCCTTCACTTTCAGTCTATTTATGTCTTTACAGATGAAGTGAGTTTCTTGTTGGCAACATATAATTGACTCACTTAAAAAACCTATTCATCCGGTCTATATCTTTTAAGTAGGAAATTTAATTGTTTACATTCAAGGTTTATTATTGATAGGAGAGGACTTCTATCATTTTGTTAGTTGTTTTGTGGTTGTTTTGCATATCCTTTGTTCCTTTATTTTTTCTCTTAACTCTGTTTCATTGTGGTTTGGTGGTTTTCTGTAGTGGTAAGGTTTGATTTTTTTGTCTTTCTCCTTTGTATATCTGCTCTACCAATGAGTTTTATACTTTTGCATGTTTTCATGATAGTAGTTATTGCCTTTTTACATCCAGATGTAGAACTCCTGAGCATTTCTTGCAAGGCTGGTTTACTGGTGAATTCTTTGTTTTTACTTATCTGGGAAATACTTTATTTCTCCCTCATTTCTAAAGGGTAGCTTTTCTGGGTTAATATTCCTGGCTGGCAATTTTTTTTACTTTCAGCACTTTGAATATAACATTTTATTCTCTCCTGGCCTCTAAGTTTTCTGCAGAGAAATCACCTATTTATCTAATGGGGATTCCTCTATATGTGACTTGGTGCTTTTCTTTTACTGTTTTTAGAATTCTCTCTTTGTCTTTGACTCTTGACAGTTTGACTATAATATCCCTTGAGAAGTATCTTTTTGGGTTCAATCTATTTGGGAATATTTGAGCTTCCTGGATCTGGATGTTCATATCTCCCCCAGAATTGAGAAATTCTCAACTATTATTTCATTAATTAGGTTTTCTATACCTTTTCCCTTCTCTTCTCCTTCTGAAATTTCCATAATATAAATATGTGTTTGCTTAATGGTATTCCATAAGTCTTACAGGCTTTCTTCATTCTTATTTCTTTATTGTCCCCCTCTGACTGGGGACTTTCAAATGACCTGTCTTTAAGTTCAGTGATTCTTTCTTCTGCTTGATCAAGTCTGCTGTTGAAGCTCTCTACTGTATTTTGAATTTCATTCACTGAATTCTTTAGTTGTAGGGTTTCCATTTGGTTCTTTTTTTTTATGATTTCTATCTCTTTGTTGAATTTCTCATTCATATTGTAAATTGGTTTCCTCATTTTGTTGAATTGTCTATCTATATTTTCTTGTATTTTGTTGAGTTTCCTTAAGATCATTATTTTGAATTTGGCAATTAATTGATTTCTTTTTTATTGGGGTCTGTAGCTAGAGAGTTATTATGTACCTTTGGCGGTGTCATATTTCCTTGCTTTTTCATGTTTCTTGTGCTCCTGCACTGATGTTTGTGCATCTGTTAGGACAATAGCCACTTCCAAACTTTGTAGAGTGACTCATAGAGAAAGACTTTCACTTGCATTTGGGTTTTAGTGGGCTTGCTGGAGAGGGTGTGGTGACTCTGCTTCCAGATAGATGCAGTGATATAGTTTTCTTTGTTGAATGAAGTCTTCTTCAGCTTCATTCAATGCCAGCAGTAACTATGGACACTTCAGTGACCTAGGCTGTAGAAGTTTGTGGCAGCAGTGTAGGATGTTAATGTCCTCAGTGTCAAGGGCTTTTGAGGTCCTCCTATTCTCATTTTTTCCCCACAGTGGGGGGACCTGTCTGAGGGGTTCTCCTTTGCCATCAGGTCTGACACAGCCTACAAGCAGCTACAGTGGTGCTGATTCCAACTGCAGGTGCTCAGAGTGGCCATGGGGCTGGGATCCTAGGCTCAGCATCTGTGAACCTACTGCAGCACCTGTGCCTTGTGGTATGTGGCAGGGTTTGGTGTAGGTTGCCCACAGAGCCAATATCTGTGACTCTGTGGCAACCCCTAGCTGCTTGGGCCCAGGGGCTGGTTTATAGCTGTGATTCTACCCCTGGGGACAAAGCATAGCACTGGCCTGACTCCTGGGAAGAAGGGCTGCTTTGCAGATTTGAGCCTGAGGAGCAGAATATGGCTGCAATTCAGGAACCTGGGCCAATAGAGCTCATTGGCAACTCAGGTCCCAAAGGATGAGGCATCGTGTAGTGGTGACTCTAGACCCTGGGATGGTGGGGCTTAGCAGTATCCTAGATTCTGTGACCCCAGAATGCCAGAGCACAGCTGTCATTTGGGCCTTGGGGTGGTGGGGGACAGGAAACAAAACAGCAGTGACTCCACTCCCCAGGGAGAGGGGTGTCTCAGCAGCTCAAACTCTAGGGGGCTAGTCCAGCTCCAGGGAAGTACTTGAGTATTATGGCCTGTGGGGGGTGCGAGTGTCTCAGTTCAGCCACTGCTCTGTTTCTCTGGGACCCGGGGTACTACATAAGCTCAGCCCTGGGATGTACAACTGCTCAGCTTAGCCAGGGCACTGATTGCCCAGGGGATGGTATGCTAGTTCAGCTCAGGCCTGGGGGATATGACTATTCTGGGAGGACCAGGCACCATTTCCTGGGATGCAGGGTGCTGCTTCAACTTAGGCACCAGGAAGGTGTGATTGCTCTGAATGGCCAAGATACTGTTTTTCCAGGAGAGAGGGTAGTGCTTCAGCTCTGGCCTGGGGTAGGGAGGGGTAGGTAGAGTAGCTCCACCCTTGATCCCATGGGAAAGAGTATAACAGCTGTTTGCAGCTCAGCTTGTGGATGTTGGGCTACTAGACTGGGGTAGTTCAGTGATGACTTAGCTTCAGGGATGAAGAGGAGTTGTGGCTACTCACCCGCCGAGTAAGACACTCTAGCTGTAGTTGCAATTCCAAGATGGTGTAGCACAGTAGCTACACAGGCCACAGGGGGCGAGGCACAGTGTCAGCGTCTCCTCTGGAGGGAGCATAGGTATGTGGACTGGAGGCAGCTCCCTCAGCTGGGCTTAGTCCTTGTAAAGACTGCAGGGCACCCTACTGATGAGGTCTGTATGTGTTCGAGGTGTTGGTGGGGGTTGCTGGGATCCTCTTGCTTACCTTCTTGCTGTAGGAAGAAGTTCCTCCTGGTTCCCAGATGATCCTGGTTTGGGGATGGGGTAAGGCCCAGCATTTCTTCCTTTCTTTATTTGACTATTCCAAGTTTCTGTGCTCACCAGGGTTTCTGTTACTTCTCTGATGCACTCCAGTGCTCTCCCTGTTTTTTGTTTGTTTGATTGTTTTGTTTCATTAAAATGTTGCTATTCTGGCTTTCTTTGTGAAGGGGACAAGTGCTAGGAACTTCCAGTTGGCCATCCTGCTGATGTCACCATGTATTTTGCACTTGATCTTAGCCAAAAGGCCGAGAAGCAATCGTCACCACTTATTTTGAAACAATTATAGAGTCACCGGAAGTTGTGAAGAAATACTTCATGCACCCTTCACTCAGACTACCCCAATGGAAACATTTTATGAAGCCACAGCACAGCATCAAAACCAGAAGATTGACATCAGTACCATTTACAGAGCTTATTCTGATTCCACCAATTCTACATGCACTTGTGTGTGCGCATGTGTGCTTATAGCTGTATGCAATTTCATCACATGTAATTTTATAAAACTGCTACCACAATCAAGATACAGAACTATTTGGTAGCCAAAAGGTTCCCTCGTGCTGCCTCTTTATAGGCACGGCCCCTCATGCCCAACCCCTGGAAACCACTAATCTGATCTCCTTGGCTATAATTACATTGTTTCATGAATGTTATATAAATGGAATTATGCAATGTTTATCTTTTTGAGATTGGCTTTTTCATTCACCATAATTTCCTTGAGGTCCATTCAAGATGCTGTGTATATCATAGTTTCTTTTAATTTTTGAATAATATGCCATAGTACATGGATGAACCACAATTTGTTTAATGGCCTACCCATTGAAGGACATTTGAGTAGTTTCCAATTTTTGTCTATTACAAATAAAACTGCTGTGAATATTCATATATAGAGTTTTAAAATTGAACATAAAATTTCATTTCTTTAGGATAAATACCCAGGAGTGCAATTACTGGGTCATATGTTTAAGTATATGTTTAACTTTATAGAAAATTGTCAAACTTTTTCAGAGTGCCTCTGCCATTTTACATTCCAACCAGCAATATGTGAGCTCCAGTTTCTCTGCATCCTTGCTCACATTTGGTATTGTGATAGGCAGAAAAATGGCTCCCACAAAAGTCCACATCCTAATCCTCCAGACCTATGAAATAAGTTATGCAAGGGAGAATTTTGGTTGCAGATGGAATTAAGAGTGCTAATTAGTTGACCTTAAGAAAATATTATTCTGGATTATCTAGGTAGACCCAATATAATCACAATAATCCTTTAAATGTGGAAGAAGGAGGCAAAAGAGTGATGTGAAGTGAAAAAGACTCAACCAAGCAGCCATTGCTGGCTTTGAAGGATGATAGCCACAAGCCTCATTAAACTCATTTTGGACTTCTGACCTCCAGAACTGTAAGATAATACATCTGTGGTGTTTTAAGCCACGAAATTTGTGGTGATTTACTACAGTAACACTATGAAACTATTATAGGTACTGTCAGTATTTTTTATTTTGACTGTTCTAACAGGTGTGCGGTGATATCTTATTGTGTGATTTAATTTGCATTTTACCAATGGCTAACGATGCTGAGCATCTTGTCATGTGCTTTTTGCCATATGTATATTTTCCTTGATGAAATGTTGTGTCAAGTCTTTTGGCCATTAAATATCAAGTTTTGAGCATTCTTTATATATTTTAGATAAAAGTCCTTTGCTGGATATGTGATTTACAAATATTTTCTCCTGGTCTATAATTAGTTTGTTCATCCTTTTAACATAGTCTTTTCAGAGCAATAGCTTTTAATGTTGGTGAGGTCCAGTATATCAAATTTTCTTTTTATTCATCAAGCTTTGGTGTCAAGTCTAAAAATACCTTTGATTAGTCCTAGATCTCACAGTTTTCCTCCTATTTTTCTAGAAGTTTTATAGCTTATGTTTTACATTAAGTCTATGATCCATTTTGAGTTAATTTTTTGTATAAGGTGTGAGGTTTATTTATTTATTTATTTATTTGGCTTATGAATGTCCAGTTGTTCCAGGAGCATTTGTTGAAAAGGCTGTCATTTCTCCTCTAAACCACTTTTGCTCCTTCATCAAATATTATTTTATTATTTATTTAATTATTAATCAAATGTTTGTGTAGGTCTATTTCTGGGATCTCTGTTCTATTTCATTAATCTATGTGTCTGCTCCTCTACCAATACCACACTGTCTTTATTACCGTCGCTATATGGTAAGCCCTGACATCATGAATTTTCTTCTTTTTCATACGTTTTGGCTATTCTAGTGTCTTTCCCTTTCCATATAAATTTTAAAATAAGCTTGTCTATGTCTACAAAAAAATCTTGCTGAGATTTGGGTAAGAATTGCATTAAACCAGCTAGGCATGGTGGCTCACGGCTGTAATCACAGCACTTTGGAAGGCTGAGGCAGGAGGATTGTTTGTGGCCAGGAGTCTGAGACCATCCTGGGCAACATGGTAAAACCTTGTCTCTACAAAAAAATACAAAAAATTAGCCGGGCATAGTGGCAAGAGCCTGTAGTCCCAGCTACTCAGGAGGCTGAGGTGGGAGGATTACTTGAGCCCAGAAGGTCGAGGTCGCAGTGAGCCATGGTCGTGCCACTGCACTCCAGCCTGGGGGTGACAGAGCAAGACCCTATCTCAAAAAAAAAAAAAAAAAAAAAAAGAATTGCATTAAACCTGTAGATCAATTAGGAAGAATTTTCATCTGTACTATATTGAGTCTTCCAATCTACAACCATGGTGTATTAGATCTTTTTTGATTTGGTTCATCAGCATTCTATAATATAATTTTATTACATAGATTCAGTACAGGTTTTGTTAGATTTATACCTAAGTATTTCATGTTCTTTGGGTCAATTGTATATGTTTATATGTTTTAAATATATATTTCCTCTTGTTCATTGTCACTTTATATAAGTGAAATAGACTTGTGTGTTGATTTTGTATCCTGTGACCTTACTAAACTCATTAGCTCTAGTAATTTTTTTTTTTTAGGTTCCTCAGGATTTTATTTTCTATGTAGTTAATCATGTCACCTGCAAATAGCACAGTTTTATGTTTTCCTTTCTACTCTTGACACTGTTTATATATTTTTATTTTCTGATTGCAGTGGCTAGAACTTCCATTACTATGTTGAAAAAGAGTGGTCAGAGCAGATTCCCTTCACTTGTTCCAGAACTTAGAGGGAAAGCACTCAGTCTGTCCCCATTAGGTATAATGCTTATAGTAGGTTTTTGATAGATGCTCTTTGTGACACTGAGGAAATTAATCTCTCTTCCTAGTGTGCTGAGAGTTGTTTTTTTGTTTATTTGTTTTTGTTTTGTTTTGTTTTGAGATGGAGTCTCGTTCTGTCGCCAGGCTGGAGTGCAGTGGCGCGATCTCGGCTCACTGCAGCCTCCACCTCTCGGGTTCAAGCAATTCTCTTGCCTCAGCCTCCCAAATAGCTGGGACTACAGGCGTGTTCCAGCTAATTTTTGTATTTTTAGTAGAGACAGGGTTTCACCATGTTGGCAAGGATGGTCTTGATCTCTTGACTTCGTGATCCACCCACCTTGGTCTCCCAAAGTGTTGGGATTACAGGCGTGAGCCACTGCGCCAGGCCCGAGTTTTTTGTTTTGTATTGTTTTGTTTTGTTTTAATCATGAATAGATGCTGAATTTTGTCAAGTGTTTGTTCTGGATCAGTTTATATGATCATATGATTTTCTTCTTTTGTCTGTTGACATGGTGGATTACAATGATTGATTGACTGATTTTTTTGAGACGGAGTCTCGCTCTGTCACCCAAGCTGGGGTGCAGTGGTGCGATCTCGGCTCACTGCAACCTCTGCCTCCCAGGTTCAAGCGATTCTCCTGCCTAAGCTTCCTGAGTATCTGGGACTACCGGCACTCTGCCACGCCCGGTTAATTTTTTGTATTTTTAGTAGAGATGGGGTTTCACCATGTTAGCCAGGATGGTCTAGATCTCCTGACCTCGTGATCTGCCCACCTTGGCCTCCCAAAGTGCTGGGGTTACAGGTGTGAGTCACCACACCCAGCCCGATTTATTTTTAAATAGTGAACTAGCCTTGCTTACCTGGAAGAAATCCCATTTAGTCTACACATTGTTGTATTCAATTTGTTAGTATTTTGTTGAAGTTTTTTTTGTGTCAAAGTCCATGAGAGATTGTATAATTTCCTTTTTTTATGTTCTTTTTCTTTTGGGACAAGGTCTCACTTTGTTACCCAGACTGGAGTGCAGTGGTGCAAACATGGCTCACTGCAGCCTTGACCTCCTAGGCTCAAGTGATCCTCCCACCTCAGCGCCCCAAAGTAGCTGGGACTACAGGCACACACCACCACACCTAGCTAATTTTTGTATTTTTTGTAGAGACAGGGTTTTGCCATGTTGCCCAGGCTGGTCTTGAACTCCTGGTCTCAATCTGCCTGCCTCAACCTCCCAAAGTGCTGGGATTACAGGCATGAGTTACCATGCCCAGCCTGTGCTATCTTTTTTTTTCTTTTTGGTTTGATATCAGGGTAATCCTGGCCTCATCTGTTCTGATAGCCCCTGTTTCACTCCTGATACTGGTAATTTGTGTCTTCTCTCTTTTTATCTTCATCAGTCTTGCTCTAGGTTTATAAATTTTGTTGATTTTTTGAAGAATTTGTTTTTTTTTGTTTTATTAATTTTCCTTATAGTTTTCCTGTTTTCAATTTCATTGATTTCTGTTCTTATCATTTGTAGTTCCTTCTTTCTGTTTGCTTGGGGTTTATTTTGTTCTTCTTTTTCTAGTTTTTTGAGGCAGCAACTGAGATTATTGATTTGAGACCTTTCTTCTTTTCTAATGAAGTGCAGTGCTATGAATTTCCCTGTCAATACTGTTCTAACTGTGTCAAACAAATATGGATTTTTTCCATTCAGCACTAAGTATCTTTTAATTTTCTTTGGGATTTTCTCTTTGACCCATGGATTATCAGAAGTGTATTTTTAACTTCCAAGCAAGTGTTTGGAGGTTTTCCTGTTGTTTTTCTCTTATTGATTTCTATTTTAATTCTATTATTGTCAGAGTGCATACTATATGTGATTTCAGTTCTTTAAATTTAAGGTTTGTTTTATAATCCAGGATATGGTCTATCTTAGTGAGTGTCAAGGGACACTTAAAAAGAATATGTATTCTGCTCTTGTTAGGTGGAGAAAGTGTTCTATAAATATTAATTAGATCCTGTTGGTTAATGATGTTGTTTAGTTCTTCTGTATCCTTGTTCATTCTTTATTTATTAGTTTTATCAACTGCTGAGAGTGGAGTTCTTGAAGTCCCCAACTATAATTGTTGTTATGGTTTGCATGTTTGTGTCCCCTCCAAAATTTATGTTGGAGCTTAAACCCCAATGTGATAATATTAAGAAGAAGGGCCTTTGGGAGGTGATTGCATTATGGGGCAAATCCCTCATGAATGGAATTAGCAACTTTATAAAAGGGCCAGAGGAAACTAGATAGGCCCTTTTTGTCCTACTGCCCTTTGCCATGTGAGAACATGGCATTTGCCCCTTCTGCCATATGAGAATGCAAAAAGACACCCCTCACCAGACACCTGATGCCAGTGCTTGGATCTTGGACTTCCCAGCCTTTAGAACTGTAATAAATAGATTTCTTTTATTTATAAATTACCCAGAATGAGTTTTTATTATACCAGCACAAATGGACTAAGACAATTGTGGATTTGCTTATTTCTCCTTTCAGCTCTACTAGTTTTAATTTATGTATTTTGAAGCTCTATTATTTGGTGCATATACATATACATTTAGTATTGCTATACCTTCTTGGTGGATTGATCTTGTTATCATTAAATAACATCTATTTACCTGGTGGCCAAGATGGCTGACTAGAAGCAGCTAGTATGTGCTGCTCTTATGGAGAGGAATGGAAGGGACAAGTAAATACAACACCTTCAACTGAAACATCCAGGTACATGCATTGGGACTAATCAAGGAAACAACTCAACCCATGGATAATGGAGAAAAGCAATGCAGGATAATGGCCCACCGGGGAGTGATATGGAGTTGGGGGAACCTCCCCAACCTAGGGAAGCATTTAGTGAATATGCAACCCTGGGAACCCACACTTCTGCCATGGATCCTTCCATGGAGTCAAGGAGATCCCCTCATAAACTCACTCCACCAGGGCCTTCAGTCTGACACACAGAGCTACATGGAGTTTCAACAGAGCAGCCACTCAGGCACATGCAGAGACCCCGGAACCTTAGATACCTGGATTTTCTGGGCTCCCCGGCAAAAGCAGCTGCAACTCCAGCAAAATGGGAGGCTAGACCCCCATACATATCCCTAGGAAAGGGGCTGAATCCCGGAGGCTGAGCAGTGACAGTCTGCAGGCTCCCTTTCCATGGCACCTCACAGGATAAGACCCACTGGCTTAGAACTCCAGCCAGCCACCTGTAGCAGTGTTACACCTCCCTAAGATGGAGCTCCCAGGGGGAGGGGCAGGCCGCCATATTTGCTGTTTGGCCAACTTAGCCATTCCAGCCTTCAGACTTTGGAAGGTCCAAGGCAACTGTGGGCTAAATCAGATCCCCAGCATAGCACCGTAGCTCTATGAAAACATGCCAGACTGCTTTTTTAAAGCAGGTCCCTGATCCCATCCTCACTGGATGGGAACTCCCAAGTGGGGTCTCCAGCTATCCCCACCAGTGTCCCTTGGCTATCAGAGATTTCCAACCTCCCTGAGATGGAGTTCCCAGAGGGAGGGGCAGGTCTTCGTCTTTGCTGTTTGGGTGACTTAGCCGTTCTGCCCTTTGGGCTTTGGAGAGTGCAAGGTGACTGGGGGCTGGAGTGGATTCCCAGCACAGCACAGCTGCTGTATGAAAACATGGCCAGACTGCTTTTTAAGGCTGGTTTTTGATCCCATTCCTCCTCACTGGGTGGATTTCCCAACCAGGGTCTCCAGCCACCTCCTACAGGTGCGTTTGGGCTGGCAACAAGTCCGTACCTCTCTGAAACAGAGCTCCCAGAGGGAGGGGCAGGCTGCCATCTTTGCTGTTTCACAGCCTTCACTGTTGATACCTCCAGGTGCTGGAAAATCTGAGGTACCTAGGGACTGGAGCAGACCCCCAGCATATTGCAGCAGCCCTATGGAAAAGTGGCCAGACTGTTAGGTGGATGCTTGTTCCCACAGCTCCTCACTGGGTGGATCCTCAAGACCTGGGCCTCTAGCCACCTGCTGCTGGGGCTATCAAACCAGTGGAAGCTTTGCAACTTCCTGGACAGAGACCCTATGGGCAACTGAAAGCCTCTCTGCCACTGCCTCTGTAGTAGAACTGCCCTTGCCACCCTCAAACTAATGAAAGAGTAAAGACCATAAGTGCTTTATCCACACCTCTAACAAGGTACAGTTGACCCAAGAAGAGGAGGCCAGTCTGTCTCCCATGGGTTCCACCTCCCCATCCCCACTCATCACCAGACCAGGAACCCCCAGCTTGGGACCATAGCACAGACCCTCCATCCTGGGATGATTGCACTGAATGACTGCTGACTTACATCTCTCTGGGGCGGAGCCCCCAGGAAACAAGCAAAAGACTGTTGGCCACAACCACTACTAAGATCCCTTCCTCTGCTGCCTCCAAGGTGGGGGAGGAACATAAATCCTGAGATTGCCCCAGAACTGCAGCAGGCAGCCCAGGAGTGCCAAGCCATGATCCAGCACTCAGAGGGGAGAGGAACCCATGCTTTCAGAGCATTGAAACTGTGAGGAAACAGGGGAGCCACACAACCCAGCAAGTGTCTACCAACTGACCAATACACCAAAGCACCACCTACTGGATCACTCCAAAGCTTCAACACCAAAAATACCTCGCTAACATACCTCTTGTGAAACCAAGAACAAGAAGTCAGCTTCAAATAAAGACCCTGCACAAAGCCTTGGCCCTGTGAAAACATCCAGAAAAGAAGTTTATTGACTACTCAATCTACACTGCAGCTAAAGGAACACCCACATGCAGAGATGAGAAAGAACCAATGCAAGAACTGTGGTAACTCAAATGGCCAAAGTGTCATATGTCCTCCAAACAACCGCACCAGGTCTCCAACATGAGTTCTTAGCCAGGCTGAGCTGGCTGAAATGGCAGAAATAGAATTCAGAATATGGCTAGGAATGAAGATCATTGAGATTCAGGAGAACAGCAAAACCCAATCCAAGGAAACTAATAATCACAATAAAATGATACAGGAGCTGAAGGATGAAACAGCTAGTATAAAAAGAATGTAACAGATCTGACAGAGCTGAAAAAACACAATACAAGAATTTCACAATGCAACCCAAGTATTAATAGCAGAATAGACCAAGCTGAGGAGAGAATCTCAGAATTCAAAGAATAGCTGTCTGAAATAAGATAGACAAAAATAAAGGAAAAGGAATGAAGAGGAATGAACAAAACCTCCAAAAAGTATGGGATTATGTAAAGAGGCCAAATCTATGAATCACTGGCATCCCTGAAAGGGAGGGGGAGAAAGCAAACAACTTGGAAAACATATTTCAAGATATCACCCATGACAATGTCCCCAACCTTGATTGAAATGTCAAGAGTCAAATGCAGGAAATACAGGGAACTTGCAAGATTCTACACAAGAACATCATCCCAAGATACATAATCATCAGATTTTCCAAGGTCAAAATGAAAGAAAGAATGCTAAGGGCAGCTAGAGGGAAGGGGCAGGTCACCTACAAATGGAACCCCATCAGGCTAACAGTGGACCTCTTAGCTGAATCCCTACAAGCCAGAAGAGATTGGGGGCCTATATTCAACATTCTTAAAGAAAAATATCTTCAACCAAGAATTTTATATCCTGCCAAACTAAGCTTCCTAAGCAAACGGGAAATGAGATTCTTTCAGATAAGCAAATGTTTAAGGGATTCATTACCAGCAGACCTGCTTTATAAGAGAACTTGAAAGGAGCACCATATATAGAATGGAAAGACCACTACCAGCCAATACAAAAACACACTTAAATACACAGACTGGTGACGGTATAAAGCAACCACACAAACAAGCCAGCATAACAGCAAGCTAATAACACAATGACAGGATCAAATCCACACATATCAATACTAATCTTAAATGTAAATAGACTAAATGCCTCAATTCTCTTAAAAGGCACAGAGTGGCAAGCTGGATAAAAAAGCAAGACTCAATGGTATGCTGTCTTCAAGAGGCCTATACCACACGTAATGACTCCCATAGGCTCAAAATAAAGGGATGGAGTAAATTCTACCAAGCACATGGAAAACAGAAAAAAGCAGGGGTTGCAATCCTAATTTCAGACAAAACAGACTAAACTAACAAAGATCAAAAAAGACAAAGAAGGGCATTACATAATGATAAAGGGTTCAATTCATTAAGAAGACCTAACTATCCTAAATATATATGCACCCAACATAGGAGCACATGGATTCATGAAGCAAATTCTTAGAGACCTCTAGAGACATAGACTCCCATACAATAATAGTGGGAGACTTCAACACTCCACTGACAGTATTAGAACATCCTAAATGTATATGCACCCAACATAGGAGCACATAGAGTCATGAAGCAAATTCTTAGAGACCTCCAGAGACATAGACTCCCACACAATAATAGTGGGAGACTTTAACACTCCACTGACAGTAGTAGACACATCATCGAGGCAGAAAATTAACAAAGATATTCAGGACCTGAACTTAACATTGGACCAAATGGATCTGACAGACCTCTACAGAACTCTACACACACACAAACACACCACACCACAACAGGGCCAGGTGTGGTGGCTCACACCTGTAATCCCAGCACTTTGGGAGGCCAAGGCGGGTGGATCATGAGGTCAGGAGTTCAAGACCAGCCTGGCCAAGATGGCAAAACCCCGTCTCTACTAAAAATACTAAAATTAGCCGGGCGTGGTGTGGGTGCCTGTAATCTCAGCTACTTGGGAGGATGAGGCAGAGAATTGCTTGAACCCAGGAGGTGGAAGTTGCAGTGAGCTGAGATCACACCACTGCACTCCACCCTGGGTGACAGAGTGAGACTCCATCTCAAAAAACAAAACAAAACACACACACAACAGGATAGACATTCTCATTTCTACATGACACGTACTCTAAAATTAACCACATAATTGGACATAAAACAATCCTCAGCAAATGCAAAATAACTGAAATCATACCAAACACACCCTCAGACCACAGCACAATAAAAATAGAAGTCAAGACTAAGAAAATCTCTCAAAACCATGCAATTACATGATTACATGGAAATTAAACAATATGCTCCTGAATGAGTTTTGGGTATATAATGAAATTAAGGCAGAAATAAAGAAGTTCTTTGAAACTAATGAGAACAAAGATACAACATCCCAGAATCTCTGGGACACAGCTAACGCAGTGTTAAGAGGGAAATTTGTAGCACTAAATGCCCACATCCAAAAGTTAGAAAGATCTCAAATTAACAACCTAATATCACAACTGAAAGAATTAGAGAAGCAAAAACAAATCAACCCCAAAGCTAGCAGAAGACAAGAAATAACCAAAATCAGAGCTGAACTGAAGAAAATTGAGACACGAAAGCCATTCAAAGAGCAAAGAATCCAGGAGTTGGTTTTTCAAAAAATTAATAAGATAGGCCACTGCTAGACTAATGAAGAAAGGAAAAGAGAGCAGATCCAAATAAACACAATTAGAAATGATGAAGGGGATGTTACCACTGACCCTACAGAAATAAAAACCTTCAGAAACTACTATGAACACCTCTATGCACACAAACCAGAAAACCTAGAAGAGATAAATAAATTCCTAGACACATACACCCTCCCAAGACTGAACCAGGAAGAAGTTGATTCCCTGAACAGACCAATAACAAACTCTGAAATTGAATCAGTAATAAATAGCCTACCAACCAAAACCATCCCAAGACCAGATGAATTCACAGCTGAATTCTACCAGATGTACAAAGAAGGAAGAGTTGGTACCACTCCTACTGAAACTATTCCAAAAAATTGAGAGGGAGGGACTTCTCCCCAACTCATTCTATAAGACCAGCATCATCCTGATACCAAAATCTGGCAGAGACACAACAAAAAAAGAAAACTTCAGGCCAATATCCTTGATGAATATTGATGCAAAAGTCTTCAACAAAACACTTGGAAACCAGCCGGGCGCAGTGCCTCATGCCTGTAATCCCGGCACTTTGGAAGGCCAAGGTGGTCAGATCACCTGAGGTCAGGAGTTTGAGACCAGCCTGGCCAACATGGCAAAACCACCTCTCTACTAAAAATACAAAAATTAGCCAGGCGTGGTGGTGGGCACCTGTAATCCCAGCTACTCAGGAGGCTGAGGCAGGAGAATCACTTGAACCCGGGAGGTGGAGGTGGCAGTGAGCCAATATCGCGCCACTGTACTCCAGCCTGGGCAACAGAGCGAGATTCCGCCTCAAAAACAAAACAAAACAAAAAAACACTTGGAAACAAAATGCAGCAGCATGTCAAAAAGCTAATCTACCACAATCAAGTAGGCTTCTTTCCCAGGATGCAAGGTTGATTCAACATACACAAATCAATAAGTGTCATTCATCACATAAACAGCACTAAAGACAAAAACCACATGATTATCTCAATAGATGCAGAAAAGGCTTTTGATAAAATTCAACATCCATTCATGTTAAAAACTCTCAATAAACTAGGTATTGAAGGAACATACTTCAAAATAATAAGAACCATTTATGAGAAACCCACAGCCAACATCATACTGAATGGGCAAAAGCTGGAAGCATTCCCCTTGAAAACCGGCATAAGAGGATGCCCTCTCTCACCACTTCTATTCAACATAGTGTTGGAAGTCCTAGACAGAGTAATCAGGCAAGAGAAAGAAAGGCATCTATATAGGAAGAGAGGAAGTCAAACTATTCCTGTTTACAGATGACATGATTCTGTATCTAGAATGTGCTGCTGGATTTGGTTTGCAAGTATTTCTTTATCTAGAAAACCCCACAGTCTCAGCCCTAAAGCTCCTTCAGCTGATAAACAACCTTAGCAAAGTTTCAGTATACAAAATCAACATACAAAAATCACTAGCATTCCTATACACCAATAACAGCCAAGACAAGAGCCAAATCAGGAAGGCAACCCCATTCACAATTGCCACAAAAAGAATAAAATACCTAGGAATACAGCTGATTGGGGAGGTGAAAGATCTCTGCAATGAGAATTACAAAACACTACTCAAAGAAATCAGAGGAGATACAAACAAATGGAAAAACATCCCATGCTCATGGATAGGAAGAATCAATATAATTAAAATGGCCATACTGCCCAAAGCACTTTACAGACTCAATGCTATCTCTGTCAAACTACCAATGACATTCTTCACAGAACTAGAAAAAAAGTATTTTAGAATTCATATGGAGCCCAAAAAGAGCCTGAATAGCCAAGGCAATCTTAAGCGAAAAGAAAAAATCTGGAGACATTACTTTACCCAACTTCAAACTATACTACAGATTACTGTAACCAAAAAAGCACGGTACTGGTACAAAAACAGGTGCATAGACCAATGGATCAGAATAGAGAGCCCAGTAATAAGGCTGCACATCTAAAACCATCTGATCTTCGACAAAGCTGACAAAAACAAGCAATGGGGAAAAGACTCCTAATTCAATAAATGGTGCTGGGATAACTGGCTAGCCATATGCAAAAGATTGAAACTGGACCCCTTCCTTACACCATAGACAAAATTCAACTCAAGATGGATTAAAGACATAAATGTAAAACTCAAAACTATGAAAACCCTTGAAGACAACCTAGGCAATATCATCCTGGATATAGGAACAGGAAAAGCTTTCATGAGAAAGACAACAAAAACAATTGCAATGAAAACAAAAATTGACAAATGGGATCTAATTAAACTTAAGAGCTTCTGCAAAGCAAAGGTAATTATCAACAGAATAAACAGACAGAATGGGAGAAAATATTTGCAAACTATGCATCTGACAATGGTCTAATAACCAGCATCTGTAAGGAACATAAACAAATTTACAAGAGAAGAAAACCCCATACAAAGTGGGCAAAGGACACAAACAGACACTTTTCAAAAGAAGGAATAGATGCAGCCAATAATCATATGGAAAAAGCTCAATATTACTGATGATTAGCCAAATGCAAACCAAAACCACAACGAGATACCATCTCACACCAGACAGAATGGCTATCATAAAAACAAACAAACAAACAACAACAACAACAACAAAACCTGATGCTGGTGAGGTTGTGGAGAAAAGGGAACAGTTGAACACTGTTAGTGGGAGTGTAAATTAGTTCAACCATTGTGGAAAGCAGTGTGGTGATTCTTCAAAGAGATAAAAGCAGAACTACCATTTGACCCAGCAATTCCATTACTGGGTATATGCCCAGAAGAAAAGGAATCATTCTACCATAAATATACATGCATGCAAATGTTCACTGCAGCACTATTCATAATAGCAAAGACGTGGAATCAACCTAAATGCCCATCAATGACAGATTGGATAAAGGAAATGTGGCACATATATGCCATGGAATACTATGCAGCCATAAAAAAGAATCAGCTCATGTCTTTTGCAGGAACATGGCTGGAATTGGAGGCTATTATCCTTAGCAAAATAATGCAGGAACAGAAAACCAAATACTATGTATTCTCACTTATAAGTAGGAGCTGAATGATGAGAACTCGTGAACACAAAGAAGGGAACAAAAGACACTGGGGTCTACTTGACCCCAGGGAGGGTGGGAGGAGGGAGAGGAGCAGAAAAAGATAACTATTGGGTACGTGAGGGATGAAATAATCTCTACAACAAACCCCCATGACTTGAGTTTACCTACATAATAAACCTTCACAGGTACCCCAACCTAAAAGTTTTTTTAAAAAAACCCATCTTTGTCCCTAGTAATTTTATTTGCCATGAAGAAATTTCTACTTTCTTTCATGTTAATATAATTATTCCATCTATATTAATAAAACTTTTTAAATTGTATTTTTGATTAACAGTTTTTCAATATACTTTTTTCATTCTTTTATTAATACTTTCAGTGTATCTATTTTAAAGTAAGTTTTTGGTAGATGGCATATAGTTAGGTCATTTTTTAAAATCCATTCTGCCAATCTCTTTTAATCAGTGCATTTGACAATACACATTTAAAATAATTACTGATATGTTAGGCATTTATACTGTCATTTCAGTATTTGTTTTCTGTTTATTCCCTTTGCTTCTCAATCCTCTGTTTCTTTTTTCTCACCTTTCTGTAGATTTCTTGAATCTTTTCAAATTTTTAATTTAAATTTATTTGTAATTTTTTGGTACATTGCTTTGTATATTTTTCTTAGCAGTTGCTCTGGGTATTATTATCGTATACATATACAACTTGTCACAGTCTGCTGGTGTCAAGATTTTCTCACTTTGAGTACTGCAGAAACCTTACTTTCATTAAGGTTCCTTTATCCTTTCACATTTATTTTTTACTTTTTATTTTTTAGAGACAGAGTCTCACTCTGTTGCCCTGGCTGGAGTCAATCACAGCTCATTGTAACTTCAAACTCCTGGGCTCAAATGATCCTCCTGCCTCAGCTGCCTGAGTAGCTAGGACTACAGATGTGTGCAACCACACCCAGCTAATTTTTTAATTTTTATTTTTGTAGAGAGGAGGTCTCACTATGTTGTCCGTGCTGGTCTTGAACTCGTGGCCTCAAGTGATCCTCCTACCTCAGCCTCCCAAGGCACTAGGATTACAGGCAGAAGCCACTATACCTGGCCTATCATCTCAAAATTAGAAATATAATTATCTTAAGTATTTTCCATACATTGAGGAACCACATCAGATGGTACTAGAATTTTTGCTTTAGCCATAAAATATTAAAGAAATTGATAAAGTAAAGAATAGTCTATTATATTTACCTTTATTTTTATCCTTTTCATTGTTTACCTTTCTTTGATGAAAATTCTAGCCGCCTTCTATTATACTTTCCTTTCTGTTTGGAGAGCTTCCTTTAGCCTTCTCACCACCCCTCACAATGACCAGAACCTTTTTTTTTTTTTTTTGGAGACAGAGTCTCAGTCTGTCAACGAGGCAGTGGTGTGATCTCGGCTCACTGCAACTTCTGCCTCTCGGGTTCAAGCGATTCTCCTGCCTTAGCCTTCTGAGTAGCTGGGAGTACAGGCATGCACTGTCTAACTTTTGTATTTTTAGTAGAGACAGGGTTTTGCCATGTTGGTCAGTCTGGTCTTGAACTCCTGACCTCAAGTGATCCGCCTGCCCCGGCCTTCCAAAGTGCTGGGATTACAGGCATGAGCCACTCCACCTGGTCCCTTTAGCCATTCTTTAAGGACAGTTCAGCTAGCAACAAATTCAGTTAGTTTTTCATCAGGGAATGTCTTTATTTCCCCTGAATTCCTACAGGATAATTTCACTGGATATGGAGTTTGCTGTTGACAGGTTTTTTCTTTCAGCACATTGTGCCACTCACTTCTGACTGCGGTGGTTTCAGGGGAGAAATCTACTGTCATTTGACATAGTGTTTCTCTGTTAGTTATGTATCATTTTTCTATCTGCTTTTAAGATTTTTTTCCTTTGTCTTTAGTTTTCAGAAGTTTAATCATTATGTATCTTGGTGTAGATCAATTTGGGTTTTTCCTATTTGGGATATTCTCACCTTCTTAAATCTATAGATTTATATCTTTTATTAATATTGGGATGTTTTCAGACATTATTTCCTTGATTATTTTTTCAGCCCCACATTTCTTCTTCCCTCCTTCTGGGACTATGCTGATATGAATGTTGGATCTTCTGTTTTGTCTCATAGATCCCTGAGACTCTGTTTTTGTTTTTTTGGTTGTTTGTTTGTTTGTTTGTTTTTTTGAAACAGAGTCTTGCTCTGTCATCCAAGCTGGGGTGCAGTGGCATGATCTTGGCCCACTGCCACCTCTGCCTCCCAGGTTCAAGTGATTCTCCTGCTTCAGCCACCTGAGTTGCTAGGATTACAGGCATGTGCCACTATGCCTAGCTATATTTTATGTTTTTAGTAGAGATGGGATTTCGCCATGTTGGCCAGGCTGGTCTCAAACTCCTGGCCTCAAATGATCCACCCTACCTTGGCCTCCCAAAGTGTTGGGATTACAGGCGTAAGCCACCATGCCTGGTCAATTCTGTTTATTTTTTTCCAGTATGTTTTCTCTCTGTTGTTCAGAATTAATAAATCCTATTGATCTGTCTTCAAGTTTACTATTCTATTCTCTATCATCTCCATTCTACTATTGAATCCATTTAGCAAAGTTTTGAATTTGGCTAGTTTATTTTGAGTTCTATAATTGTCATTTGTTTATTAAAAATGAACTTGTAAATTGTAAAACTTCCTTTTTGAGATTTTCTATTTCTACATTTGTTTCAAGAGAATTTGTAATTGCTTGTTGAAACATTTTTATGATGACTGCTTTAAAATTCTTGTCAGATAATTCCAACATCTGATTCATCTTGGCATCGGCATCACTTGGTTGTTTTTCTCATTCAAATTGTGGTTTTCTTGGTTCTTGGTGTGAGGAGTAATTTTAGATTATATCCTGGACATTTTGGTTATATTAGAAGACTCTTACTGCTATTTAGGTCTTCTATTTTAGCAGGCAGTCACCCTTTTTAGATTTAGCATCTAGGTCTGGCCTACTTCTGTGGGTTGTAGTTCCAATGACAGTTTAGTTTTCATAGCCCTTGCAATACTATTCTGGTGGTTGTGCCTGTGAGGGTGGAAGATGCTTCCACTGGGGCCTGGGGCTTCTTGTGGCACTTGGTGGAGGGCAGGAGACACAGGCTCCACTGATACTGCCCTGTGGATGAATTGACCCTCACTTCAGTGTCCTGCTTGTGGAGCACAGAACCCTAGCACTGCCTCCCTTCCCTTTCCCCAGTCCTTTGGCCAGAGAGGACAGCTCTGTTTATTTGTTTTGTCAATGCCTCTTGGAAGTTCATGTTACAGGGCTCTCTGTGCCCATTATGGGGAATGTGGGAGATAAAAAGCCCAAGAGCCTACCATCATGTTGTTTTCAAGTCCCAAGGCTTCTAGCTAGTCTGCCACCTTCTTTCCAGCTTTCTTGGTCCCTTTGTAGTGTCTGTTGAATTATGTCCATGGAGGGAGGATGTGGGAAAAGTGAGTCTGTACCGTCTTGTTCTGGAACTGGAAGTCCACTTCTGGGAGATTTTACCATCATAATATTTTCTCTATAAAACCAGGCAACATCACGGCCCCTAAGATGGCAGTTTTGTTCATTGGTAGTCCACACAAAAGGTAGCAGGACTTTAGGCTACCAGAAGGTTCTCTGGTCATTGTGAGGGGTGGGGAGAAGGCAAGCAAAGAAGAGCTGGGAGGTGGAAAGAGAAACTGGAGATAACGTGAAGGAGTGGTCCAGAGGACCACATGTCTATCAAGAGCCCACTGTGTGCTTATGGGGAATAGGGAGCCCTGGCCTCACAGATCCCTCTGTCTGGTGGGCACAAAGTGCCAGGGGCTGTTGCAGCACAGCATGGAAAGTGCAAAGGCTCTCAGGTGTTGGGGACAGAGGGATGAGGAAAAGAAAACAGGATGCGGCAAGGAGAGGAGGAAAGGCTGAGTCGGGCCTCTGAGCTCCAGAATCTCATGGTTCCTATCGGACCTGGGGGCTGACGTTCCCCTCTGGAAGCTCTCAGGCCCCACACCCTCCCCCCATGGATCTGAGACCCCTGCAAGCAAGAAAGGAAGGCAGAGCCAGGCATGGGGCCAGGAGCAGCTGAGGGGGCAGGGTCCCCAGGTGGCACAGGAGGGAGTAGCGCTCCTTGTGGTAGCAGGAGGCGGCCACTCTTCTCAGCTGTTCCCATCCCAGGGATAAAAATACCAGCTTGCAAAATCAGCTGCTAATCTTGTTGCTAGGTAGAGTTCAGCTCCTGAATTGCCATTTTGTGCTAAGTTTGGCTGAACAGCTTTTCTTGGGAATCAAAGACTCTCTGCCTGCAGGCTCTGGGTCCCTGGAGGAAGCCCAGGGAGGCAGGCATTCTACTCATTGCCTTATTGGGTGAGGTGGGGGTAGCCTGGTTATTATTCCCCACCCCACCCCACCCTTCCGCCAGCCAGCCATAAAAAAACAGGCAGGCACATGTCCCGCCTGAACTGTAGAGGGGCAGGTGTGGCCCCATGGAGAAGGCCTGTGTCCCAGACTGGCCAAGCGGCCTTTGACTCTCTGGGAAAGCCATGGCAGAGGTCCACACTTCACAGAGACTCAGTGCAGACACAGCAAATGAGGTTGGGAGCTTCCTTCTGGGGAGGGACCAGGAACTGGCTGAGGTGGGCTGGGGCAGGGTGACATGGTGAACACCCTTATGTCTCTGGGGACTGCATACCCCAAGGAGTTGTGTGAGGAACCCGAGAGGGATGGGGAGGCACTGTTCTTGGGGTCAGGTCCTTAGGGGCCTTGCTGACATGGCCACAGATAGGGGCATGTTAATGACTATAATTAAAACCCCGAAGCAGGTCTGCAGCCAGTGATGGTAGCCAAATCCAGGCAAAGAGCTGCAAGTGCCTGAGATGAGGGGATGCAGGGCTTGTGGCTAGGAGGGGCTGTACGTGCTTGAGCAACCTCCTGGGGGGTCATCATCCTTTTCCTTTGTGATTTTGCAGACCTCAGGAGTCCTGCACTTTGCTCCCTTGGCCCACCCTGGTGGGGAAGCAGAAAGTCAGAGAGGTTTTGGGGCCTTGGGACCTTGGGAGAGGCCTGAGCTTTCCAGCAGCGGCCATACCAGGTCCACACAACAGTGGCATCAGTCAGACTTCCCCCAGCTTTCAGCTCCAACCCAGGGCCTCATTCACACCAAGGAGTCAGGGTGCCCCCTGGGGACCCATACGCAGATCTGCCAGCCACAATCTCCACCAGGGTCTGCTGTCTCCTCCTTTCTGGACCTTGTTATCAATGTCCCATGCCCAGGAAAGCCAACAAGATCCCCTCACCACTGCCCCCTAACTGCCTGCCAGAGAATGCTGACACCCCTGCCCCAAGCTCTTCCACCCTCCAAGTGCAGGAACATGGTAGGTTCCCTGCAGTTTTTGACATCCCAAAGCCATGCTGTTCTCTACAGAGAGAGAACTTCCAATCCTTCCACCCTTCTAATACCCCCACCACCCCGTCCATGAAGAGGCCTCTTGCAACCAGCCAATGAGATTTGGGCTCCTGAGGAGCTGTCCATGTGTCCAAATGTTCATATCCCAGTAGAAACTTAAGGTGAGCCCATCAGCAAATGGGCCCCATGCCCAGTGCTAGTCTGGTCCAACCACAGGGGAGTCCAGAGCAGGAAGTCACCTCAAGACAGCAGCTCCCCCTGTGCCAGGGGACAAGCTGAGTGCCACCACTCCCACCCTGGAGGAGACACCAGGGAGGCCCCAGGCCAAATGTTGGTTCCTCACCCAGGATTTGTTGAGCTGCCAGTGCTCCTGCCTTTTCATCAGGGCTTCCATCTACTCTCAAGAGAAGTGGGTGTAGGAAGCTGCCATCTATGACTTATTTCCCTCTTGTGATTGCTTTGCCAGGATAAAAAGCTGGCAGCAACATCTGAACCTGGGCTGAAATTGGGGAAAAGTTCATGAAAGAAGACTCTTTATTATCTAAATCTTGGCACTGGGGAGGAGAAGGAATCCTGAGCCTGGGCTACTTGTTTAATTTAGAACATGATCCTGGCAGTGCAGGGGTCTGGCCCACAGCCATGGGAAGGTCCTTTTCCTAGAAGCAGGAGGTGAGGCTGCAAGGCCTGTCCCCCATTATAGAGCCTCCAGCTATTCTTTTTGTTTGTTTCAATAGCTTTATTGAGGTGTAATTCACATAGCATAAAATTCACCTTTTTAAAGTGTACAATTTCAGCGGTTTTGGTATATTCACACAGTTATGCAGCCATCACTCTATCTAAGTTTAGGACATTTTTATCACCCCCGAAGGAAAGCTCATACCCATTAGCAGTCACTCCTCATTCCTGCTACACACCCCCAAGCCTAGTCAACCACTAATATACTTCCTGTCTTTATAAATTTGCCTATTTCATGGAACAAAGTTGGACTCCTACCTCATACCATATACAAAAATTAACTCAAAAATGGATCAAAAACTTAAACATAAGAGCTAAAATAACAAAACTCTTAGAGGAAAACATAGGGGTAAATCTTCATGATTTTGGATTTGATGATGGCTTCTTAGATATGACACCAAAGCACAAACAACAAAAGAAAAAATAAATGGACTTTATTAAAGTTAAAAACTTCAGTGCATCAAAAGACATTATCAAGAAAGTGAAAATACCACCTACAGAGTAGAAGAAAATATTTATAAATCATATATCTAAGAAAGGTTATCCAGAATACAGAAGGGGACTCCTACAACTCAACAACAAAAAGACAAACAATCCAATCAAAATATGGGCAAAGGACTCGAATAGACATTTCTCTAAAGTAGATATACAAATTTCCAATAAGCACATAAAAATATACTTTGTATCATTAGTTAATAGGAAGTGCAAAAACCACAATGAGATACACCTCACACATAGTAGAATGGCTGTACTTAGGAAAGAAAAGAATGTAAGTATTGAGGAGGCCATGGAGAAACTGGAGACCTCATACGTCACTGCTGGGAATGTAAAATGGCGCAGCTGCTATGGAAAACAGTTTGGTGGTTCCTCAGAGGTTAAACATAGAATTACCACTCCTAGGTATATCCCCCAAAGAATTGAAAACAGGATTCAAACATATACTCGTATGCCATTGTTCACTGCAGCATTATTTGCAATAGCCAAAAGTAGGAAAGAACCCCAATGTTAACCAGCTGATTGAGGAATAAACAAAATGTGATATTTACACAGACAATGGAATATCATTCAGTCTTAACAAGGCACAAAGTTCTGATACATGCTACAATATGGATGAACCTTGAAAACATTGTGCTAAGAGAAATAAGCCAGACACAAAAGGACAAATAATGTCTGATTCCACTTACCTGAAATATCTAGAATAGGCCAGTTCATAGAAACAGAAAGAAAGGGGAGTTATTACTTAATGGCTATAGATTATAGGAGATTATAGGGGAGTTATTACTTAATGGCTATAGAATCTCTGGGGTAATGAAGAAGTTTTGGAAATAGTTGGTGGTGATGATTGCACAACATTGTGTGAATGTACTTAATGCCGCTGAATTGTACACTTAAAATTTGTTAAAATCACAAATCGTGTTTTTTATATATATATACACACACACACTTCTCTGTATGTATACACACACACATATGTATACACAATTTTTTTAAAAGTCAAAATTTTTTCTATGCATTTTGCCTCCAGGGGATAAAAAGATTGATTGGACAAGTTAATTAGCCTCTTTAAGCCTCAGTTTCCACATCTGTAAAATGGGAATAGATATAGTACCTAGCCTTGCTGTAAAAGCTTGCTGTAAAAATCAAATGACATAATATATGTAGTCACATAGCACAAAGTCTGGCACATAGTAAGAGCTCAATATGGGGGAGCTGTCATAATTATTTTCATGTGTTCACTTTACTCTGTCTAGAAACACATTCAATTTGGTGCCATCTATAAAATTACCCTTCCTCGAGTTTCCATTTCCAGCTATAATGGAGTATTTGGAGCAGATCACTGACCCCACTGAGAACAACTAGAAAATCCAGATTAAAAAAACTGGTTTGAAGGCACTGGACAACTGCAGATAACCAGGGCTTAAGGAACCAAGTTTCCAAATAGAAGAGAATTGGAGAGAGATGAGCTGATATTCTGCACATCATTTACCCCTCCAGGTGATGACCAGTTCTTAGAGAGGCTAGGAATCTGAGCATAGGACTATTACTTTAAGAGGCAGAGAAGCCAGCAGATCTTTCAGCAATTTCATGGAGAAGAGAATAAAAAATTAATTATAGAGCTGACAGGATAGCCAGCACCCAAGAGGCCAGGAGCCCCAAACTCAGAGGTTTCCCTTGAAGCATTTGCCCATGTATTAAATACACATGGTGAGGAGCTAATAAGAAAGCCAGTGAAAAGATGAAGTTTTTCTATGATCTCATGGTTATGAAGAGACAAAAATGGGAGTTCAGGACCCTAGCTGGGGTCTCAGGAGGGCAACACCCTAGGGGTGGGCATGAAGCAAAGAGAGAATGAGATGTAAAAGGACTGCAATCCTGCCTCATGCTGCTTTGGATGAAGGTAGTCTGCTCACACTGTAGCTGCCCCAAGGATAAGGTGAATGGTCTCTGGAGGAAGTTAATGGAATCCAGAGCTTCTATAAATTGTTGCACACTATGTCCAACATTCAATTAAAAAGTAATAAGCATACCAAGAAAAAAAAAGGGCAAAATTCCCAGGTGATACAGATATTAGAGGTATCAGACACAGACTTTAAAACAGCTATTAATATTTTAGAGAAAACAGGTAACAAGATAGACAATTTCACTAAAGAAAAAATATATAAATCTCAGAGTTGAAAACACAGTAGCTGATATTTAGAATACAACAGATGTAAGAATGGATGGAATACAACAGGAGACAGGACTAATGGAAGTAGACTGGTAGGATTAGTAGAAGTAGAAGAGGATTAGTAGAAGACAGGACAACAGAAAATATCAAGACTGATACACAAAGAATTTTTAAAAGATGAAAAAATAGAGAAAAGAGTATAAGAGATATGTGGAACATGTTGAAAAGTTCTAATATATGTACAACTGAAGACCCAGAAGGAGAAAAGAAAGGTGATGGAGCAGAAGCAATATTAGAGTATGATCATTTTAGAAACAAATTAATGCCTTCAACCCACAAACTCAAGATACTCAGTAACCCCAAGCAGGATAAATACAAAGGCAATCTTAAATGTTAAAAGAAGCCAGAGGAAAATAGGGTAACCACAGGAGTAACAATCAGACTGATGACAGATTTTTCAAAACAAATTACTGGAGTCAGAAGGAAAGAAATAACATTTTTAAACTGCTGGAAAAAATCACTGCCAACCTGGAATTCTACAGAATTCTATAGCCAAAATATTCTTCAAAAATAAAGGTAAAATGAAGATTTTTTAGGGAAAAAAATGTTTTAATGTGTACAGGGAGTTCTTCTGGAATCTTGTCATCAAGGGTAACCACTGAAATAATAATAAAATGATGTCAATAGTAAGTAATAACATAATAGTAAATAAATGCATAACTAATAGAATGATAGGTATGGAGAATGGAATAATAAAAAATGTTTAATCCAAAGAAAGGCAAAAAAGAGGAAAAGGAATATAAAACAGGTGGGACAAAGAAAAAAATTCACATAGTAGGTATAAACTAAAATATATCAGGAAATACATTTACATGTAAATGGACTAAACACCCCAAGTAAAAGACTAAGATAGACTGAATGAAAACAAAATAAAACCAAAAAAAATTAAACTATATGTTGCTACAAGAGACACATCTTAAGTATAAGGATGCAGAAAAGTTGAAGGTAAAGGAATGAAAAAATATAACCATGTGTATGTTGTGGGGCCACTTTCTGACTTGATGATTCACTGGAAGGACTCACTGGCCTCACAAGAGCTGTTATACTCATGATCGCACAGTTTTTCTTTTTTTTTTTTTTTTTGAGGCGGAGTCTCACTCTGTCGCCCAGGCTGGAGTGCAGTGGCGCGATCTCGGATCACTGCAACCTCCGCCTCCCGGGTTCAAGCACTTCTTCTGCCTCAGCCTCCCAAGTAGCTGGGACTACAGGCATGTGCCACTACGCCTGGCTAATTTTTGTATTTTTAGCAGAGACAGAGTTTCACTATATTGGCCAGGCTGGTCTCGAACTCCTGTCTTTGTGATCTGCCCATCTGGGCCTCTCACAGTGCTGAGATTACAGGCATGAGCCACTGCACCTGGCCCACACAGTTTCTTAAAGCAGGAGGTTACAGATTAAAATCACCTAATGGAAAAGGCACATGAGCAAAGTCCAGGGGAAAGTGAGCACAAGCATCCAAATGTCCCCTCCTAGTGAAGCTGCTTGGAGTATGCTTAATTCTCCCAGCAACTATGTGCAATCACATACTAAGTACTGCCAATCGAGGAGGCTCATTTGAGCCTCGATGTCCAGAGTTTTTACGGAGTGTCAGTCACATAGGCAGGAATTGTCTGCATGACTGACCTTAGCTACTCAGCCCCTAAGAGGCCAAAGTGATACAGCATAGCCCAGGACCTCAGACACACATCACAAAAGCCACATTGTTAGCATAAGCTATCTGGTTTTACTGGTTTATAGGACTGCCACAACAAAATGCCAGAGACTGAGGGGCTTAAACAACAGGAATTTATTTTCTCACAGTTCTGGAGGCTGGAAGTCCAAGACCCAAGTGTCAGCAGGGTTGGTTCCTCCTGAGGCCTCTCTCTTGGGTTGCAGGTGGCCGTCTTCTTGCTTTGTCTGCATGTGGTCTTTGCTCTTTGTGTCTGTGTGTCCTACTCTCCTCTCTTAGAAAGGACATCTGTCAGATTGGATTAAGGCTCACCCTAGGGCCTCATTTAACTTAATTACCATTTTTTTTTTTTTTTTGAGATGGAGTCTTGCTCTGTCTCCCAGGCTGGAGTTTAATGGGGCAATCTTGGCTCATTGCAACCTCCACCTCTCAGGTTCAAGCAATTCTCCTGCCTCAGCTTCCAGAGTAGCTGGGATTACAGGTGCCCGCCACCACACCCAGCTAATTTTTGTATTTTTAGTAGAGATGGGGTTTCACCTGTTGGTCAGGCTTGTCTCGAACTCTTGATCTCAGGTGATCCACCTGCCTCGGCCTCCCAAAGTGCCGGGGTTACAGGCATGATTAATTATCTCTTTAATGGCCCTATCCCCACATACAGTCACATTCTAAGGTGCTGGGAGTTAGGGTTTCAACCTATGAGTTTTGGGGGAACAAAATTCAGTCCATAACACTGACTTAATGGATACAGCATGGCCCAAGGTCTCAGGCAAACAAAAACAAGCTTTCAAGCAGGATATTCCAAGGGTTGCCTCTCTGGAACCTACCAAGGGGAAGTCCATTCTTGGCATGTGCAGGCCCTGGACCAACCAAGCCTGATGAGTTAACCTTTTTCTGCACACCATGAAAGCACTAATCAAAAGAAAGTTAATGCAGCTGTACTATCACTAAATGAAATAGACATTAAGAAAATAGGACAACTGTAGAGGAGGGGGAACATAAAGTGATAAGGTGGACTCACCAAAAATATACAATGTAAAAATCTATATGAACTGCACATAACTTCATATTATATAAAGTAAAAACTGACAATGCTAAAAGGAGAAGGAAAAATTGGCAATCACAGTGGAAGACTTTAACCCTCCTCTTATAATAAATAAGAGAACAGCAGACAAAAAACTCAGCAAGTAGAATACCTGCCTAACGTGATGAACAAACTTGACATATTTGACAGCTGTAGAATGCCATACCCAATCATGACAGCGCACGCACGCTTTTCTGATGCATATGGAACATTACAAGAATTGATCATATGGTTGAGCCATAAGTTTCAACACATTTTCAAAAGATTAGAATTATTCAGATCATGTCCTAGGAATAGAAGGGAGCTTTCTTATTCTGTTAAAAAAGTATCTATAAAAAACCTTCTTAATGATGAAATATTTAAAACCTTCCCCCTGAGATTTGGCATGAGCTGAGGATACCCACAATACTACTCGACATTGTCCTGGAGGGCCCAGCAACCACAAAAGGCAAGGCGAGCAGACCTAAAGGGAGGAGAGGAAGAAAGAAAAGTCATTATTTACAGATGACATCATTGTGTGCATCAACTATGCAAAAGAATTTCAGGCAACTTCTTAGAATTAATATGCAAAATTGGCAAGGTTGTTGGCTATAATGTTGCTGTGGATGGAATTGTGTCCTCCCAAAATTCCTGTGTTGAAGCCTTAACCCCCAGTGTGATTCAGTTTGGAGTGGGGCCTTTAGGAAGTAATTGAGGTTAAACGAGGTCATATGGGTGCCATCCTAATCTGATAGGATTGGTGGCCTTCTAAGAAGAGGAAGAAAGATCTCTCTGTCCCCATACACAGACAATGGGTAGCCAGATGACAGCCCTCTGCAAGCCAGGAAGAGGGCCCTCACCAGAACCCAACCATGCAGGCACACTGATCCTGAACTTCCAGCCTCCAGAACTGTGGGAACACTAATCTCTGCTGTTTAAGCCACCCTGTCTGTGGTATTTTGTTATGGTAGCCTGAGCTGACTAGTACAAATGTCGATATTTTTAAAATTGTGCTTATATGTATCAGCAACAAACAATAAAAAAAGATATAAAAATTACCATTTATTAGCTGGGCATGGTGGCTCATGCCTATAATCCCAGCACTTTGGGAGGCCGAGGTGGGTGGAACACCTGAGGTCAGGAGTTTGAAACCAGCCTGGCCAACATGGTGAAATCCCGTCTCTACTAAAAATACAAAAATTAGCCAGGCATGGTGGTGGGCACCTGTAATCCCAGCTACTTGGGAGGCTGAGGCAGGAGAATCGCTTGAATCCGGGAGGCAGAGGTTGCAGTGAGCCGAGATCGCGCCACTGCACTTCAGCCTGGGCGACAGAACGAGACTCTATCTCAAAAAAAAAAAAAAATCATTTATAATAGTGTTCAAAACCAACAAATACCTAGTAGTAAATCTAACAAAAGACATGCAAAACGTTTACACAGGAAATTATTTACTGAGATAAGTACATCTAAATAAGTGGAAGGATATATCCCATATTTGTGGATTGCAAGATGCAATATTAAATAATTTTGATTCTCTGGAATCTGAGCTATAGTTTTAGTGCACACACACCCCACCCCCAAATCCTAGAAGCGTTTTGATGGTGTGTGTATGTGCACGCGCTTGTGTGCGTGTGTGTGTGTGTGTGTGTAAATGACATACTGATTCTAAAATCTACTTGAAATTGCAAAGAACCAAGAATAGGTAAGATAAATTTGAAGAAGGAGAAGGAAGAGGAGGTAGAGGAGGAGGAAGAGGACAAGGATGAGAAGGGGAGGAGGAGCAACATCAAAGCTGGAGGACTTATACTACCATGCATCTAGACTCACTGTAAAACTACAGGAATCATCCAGTGTGATCTTGGTCAAGTACAGACAAATAGAATAACGGAATGAATCAGAGTCCAGAAACACTTTATCATATAATGGGAAAATAATTTTTTATAAAATTATTCCCGGGTGAATTGAATATATATATGGAAAGAAAATCTTGATGTCTACTTTACAACACAAACACCCCCACTTAATTCATAAGGATTGTAGAACTAAATCTAAGGAACAGACAATAAAGCTGTAGGAAAATAAACCATAGGTGATCATCTTTATGACCTTGGAAGTAGATAGTAATTTCTTAAGTGGGATATAAAAAGCACAAATGCCATTGAGCAAAAAAACTGATAAATTTGCTCACATTGAAATTAAGAACTTATATTTCTCAAAAGACATCATTAATAATGTGAAACAGGGTGAAAAGACAAGCCAGAGTGGGAAAAGATATTTGCAGTGAATGTATCTGACAAAGGACTCCTATCCAGAATATATAAAGAGCTTCCACAGGTTGGGTGTGGTGGCTTATGCCTGTAATCTAGCACTTTGAGTGGCTGAGGTGGGAGGATCGCTTGAACCCAGGAGCTTGAGACCAGCCTGGGCCATAGGGTAAGACCTCGTCTCTACAAAAAAAAAAAAAAAAAAAAAATTAACCAGGAGTGGTGGTGCACACCTGTAGTCCCAGCTACTTGGGAGGCTGAGATGGGAGCATTGCTTGAGCCCAGGAGGTCGAGGCTGTAGTGAATTGTGACGGCACCACTGCACCCTAGCCTGAGTGACAGAGTGAGACCCTGTCTCAAGAAAAAGATGAAAGAAAGAAGAAAGAAAGAAAAAGAAAGAAAGAGAAAAGAAAGGAAGGAAGGAAAGAACTTCTACAAATCAATAAGGAAAAGACAATCCAATAGAAAAATATGTTAAAAACATGAACTACATTGTACAAAAAGGGATATCCAAATGGTCCAAAAACCCATGAAAAGGCACTCATCCTTAAGAGCACCTCATGAGTCTTCAGGGAAATGAAAATTAAAAACCACAATGTAATATGCCCCCCCACCCCTGACCACACTCACTATAATGACCAAAAATCTTACAATACCAGTTGTCATCTGCAAGACTATGGAGCAACCAGAACTCTCGTGTTGTGCTGTGGGAATGTAAGTCAACACACTTTGAAATCCTGTGGCAGTGTCCATTAAAAGCGAGCACCCACATACCCAGTGACCCAGAAATTCCATGCCTAGATATTTGCTGAACAGAAATGGATGCTTAAGTTCACCAGGACATGAACAAAGATGTTCGTCATAGCATTATTCGTAACAGCTCAGAACTGAAAACCACCCTGGTGTTCATTATCGGTAGAATGGGGATTTACATAATAAATGTATAAATATATGTAAATAAATTCACATGATTTAGACTAGACACATGATTTAGACTAGACGAAAAAGTTGCTATTGCTACATACAGAAACATATTTGAATATCACAAACATAACATTTGGGGGTTTTCCCAGACACAAAAGAGGAACTACTTTATAATTCTACGTATTTAAACCTCAAAACCAGGGTATACTAGTCTATGTTGGCAGAGGTTGAGATAGTAGCTACCACTATGGGAGGGGAGAGGACATAAGGTATGCAGATATTGTTCCTTTTCTTAATTGAAGTGCTGAGTGAAGGTGGAAATTTACTGAATGTTTACTTGTAATCTGTGTGCTTTTCTATTTACATTCCACCTCATTAAGAAACCATTATGGAAGTCATCTTCCTTCTGTACCCTTGCTCCATTCTGTTGCCCTCTTCCTTCTTCATGCCCTTACAGAGCTGCTGCTTTTTTGTTTGTTTTATTTTGAAGTAATCTTAAATTTACAGAAAAGTTGCAAAATAGTAAAAAGAGCTCCTATATACTATTCAACCAAATTCCCCAGTTGTTAATACTTTACTACATTTGACTTATCAGTCTTTCTCTCTATATATATACTAATGTATTTTTTTCCTGAATCATTTAATAACAAGTTGTAGATGTGATTCTTCGTCATCCCGTTAAGCCCTTGTGCAAAACAAGGGTCCTTTCCTATATGAACACAGTACAACTGTCAAAATCAGGAAATTGATCTTTATCTGATATTACCATTGAATCCACAGATCCATTCAAAGTTTGCTTATGACATTACTGCCTTAATAATTTCATCAACTATGCAGAGGCAATGCTGTGTTCTTCCTACAGCATTTATATCGGGGGCTCACAATGCTGACTTGTCCCACTCTTCTATCGCATGGTTAAGATGGTGTCTGCTGGATCTCTCCATGTAGCGCTCCTTAGTCCTTCCTGTAGATCTCAGTTTCCATCTGGTATTATTTTCCTTGCCCTGGAGGATGTCCATAGCTTTGACTGTATTACAGGTCTTCTGTCAATGAATTCTCAGTCTTGTCTAAATGTCTTCATTTCAACCTTGTTTTAAAAGGGTATTTTTGCTAGATGAGTATCTTTTTGGTTGAAGCTTTTTTCCTTTCAGCACTTTCATGATGCCATTCAATTGTTTCTGCCTCCATTGTTCCTGGTGAGAAGTTGGTAATGATTCTTATACTTGTTTCCCTGTAAGTAATGTTATACCTCCCAGCAAACCCAGCTGCTTTCAGAATTTTCTTAGGTTTTCAGAACTGTGTGTCTGAGTGTTGTTATTTTTTCTGTTTATCCTGATTTGAGTTTATTGAGACTACTGGATATGTAAATTGATGTTTTTCATCAAATTTGGGATGTTTTGGCCATTATTTCTTCACATATTTGTTCTGCCCCAATTTTACTACACCTTTTCCTTTGAGACTCTGATTACGTATGTGTTAGATTATGTGATACTATTCCACAAGGTTCGCAGGCTCTATTCACTTTCCTTCAGCCTTTTTTCCTTGTGATCTTCAGATAATGTTTATTGATCTGTCTTCATGTTTATCGACTCTTCTACTATCTCCAATCTGCTATTAAGCCTTCCAGTGAATTTTTCATTTCAATTATTATACTTTTTAGTTTTAAAATTTGTATCCAGATACCATTTTGGGGCTGAGTTTTCCTATATACTCACTGATTAAGACTATATCTTACTTTAATTATTTGGACATATTTATAATCGCCACATTACAGTCTGCTAAGCCCAACATCTGGGTCATTTTAGATTAAGTTACTGTTCTATAGTCTGCTTTATTCTTGCCTGGGCATCACATTTTCCTATTTCCTTATATACCTGGCAATTTTTTTTAAAAATTGAATACTAGATTTTGTGGCTAATATATTGTGAAACTCAAAATTGTGTTAACTTCCTCTGAAGAATGTTGATTATTGTTTTAGTAGGCAATTTAATTATTGGCAGATGACTTTGAACTTCCTTACTTAGGGTTCATGTTTTGTTACTGCAGATGCACGGAACATCCAAAATGTTTCCTAAGCCTCTCTAATTTGGCATGACTCAGTTCTTCCCTTTGTATGTGCAGCTTAGTTGTCAGTCAAGGACTTGCAGAGCTCCTGTGTGGGGTTCTGGGACCCCTGCGTGCACAGCTCCCTCTTCTCCAATGCTTGGCTCCACGCATGCCCACTGCTCCCGCTGCTCCACCTCTTCAGCTCCACATGACCCCCGTGCCCTGCCCAGACTCCGGTGCCGTGTGCCACAGTCAGAAAACTCTGTCGGGGAGCACGGAGCAATCACGGGGCTCACCTCCTAAGCGTCCCTTCCCACAGGGATCTGAGTCTTGCACTCCCTGAAAACAGCTGCCTCACGTACTTTGTCCAGATTCATGGTTATTTTTGGTGGGAGGGCTAGTCTGGTAAAACAGCTAGAAGTGGAAGTCACAAGTGATTTTGGCTGGAGAAGGTGATGCTTGTTTCCACATCCAATTTGTCCATGCCCTCCTTGACCTACTGCAACCCAGCCTCTGGCGTTTCTCTGCCTGGAGACTTCTCGACCCAGCTTCCATGACACTCTTCTCTCCTGGATTTGCCCCCGCCCCTTTACTTGCTCTTTCTTTGTCTCCTTAATCACCCCTTCCTCAAACCATCTCCTTGATGCCGCCTCCCTCAGAGACCCCTTATGAGCCCTTTTCTCTCCTCCTGTGACACTCACTAGACTGCAACTCAATCCTTCCTTCTATTGATCATTCTCCCGCCTGTGCCTTCAATTCTTCTCTTTATCTTGGCCTCTAGGCCATATTTTCACTGATACTGCAGGTAGTGGATATTTAGGAGGCCCTTAAACACTACACTCCCTAATTGGAATTTAATATCTGTACCCCATACCTGTTCCTCCTTTTCGTTTTCCCTTTATCCTGCCATTATAGAAAAATAGGAGAGATCCATGCAGCCCCAGCCCCTCCACACTCACTTCTCACTTGCAGTAGGCCACCAAGTCCTGATTCTGAAATATTATTCCAAATGGATGTCCTCTAGCCCCCCGCCAATACATGATAGCTCCTGTTAGCACTGTTAGCATGGATAGTGGCTACAAAGCTGAGGTTGCTACATATGGAGTTTCCAGGGTGTGGTAAAACAGTAGTTAGGCCTGGCCCCCTAGCAATTTCTCTCTGGGGTCAGGGGGAAGTGTTGGGGAGGGGGAAGTTGAGGAGGGGTTTAGAAGATCCCTGGGAGCTTGTGGAGGGGACCCGGACCTACCCAATTCCTGCAGAGGCCCACAGTCCTGGTAGGAGGCTCTGAGGGAGAGCCACTGGGTAGAAACCTAAGTAGGTGGGAGGCAGGAGCTGTCCATTGCCCTCCAGGCCCCAGGGGCTGTGCTAGCATGAGGGGCACCCCAGCCTGGAGGTTGAGTAGCCTGGAGGTTGAGTAGGTTGAGTAGCCCATTATCAGGGCTACTTCAGGCTCTACCTGAGTCTGCTGGCTGTCATGCAGCTGGCCCCTGTGAGGGTCTGGGCCCACTGGCCAGCCTGCTGAGACGCCAGCCGAAGTCCTCCCTCCAGGTGTGTGGCAGATGCCCCGGCCAGGCCAGAGACTGAGGGGCATTCAGAGAGGGGTCACAGAAAAAAAAGAACAAGGCCACAGCCCAACCTGGCTGTGTTCACCTGAAGGGCACCACGTGCCCATACACTTCATGGGCCATTTATTCTTTCCTCCCTGGGAGTCCCCTTTTGTGACCATTCTGTATCAGAGTCCCTAAGTCTCAGTGGCCTGCCAGGCTGGGGATGTGGAGGTGGGACATGGGGGCAGGGACTGGGAAAGGGGGCAGGAGGGCTGTGTTCATTGTGCCAAGCTTCTGTGGAGGCTACAGAGGAGGGCCAAGTGCAGGCAGGAGCCCAGCAGGGCAAACGTGCCCCCGGACTGAGGCCCTGGCAGGAGCCCGGCCAGGCTGGGGCCACTCCACGCTGGGGGCCTCAGGCTCTACCACCGTCCCCTCCTCCATCCACTGGCTTTGCCAGGGTTACCAGGACTCCAGGACCAAGGGAGCGTCCAGCAACCGAGGGATGAGTGTCAGAGTGGGAGACCCTGAACTCCAGGCAGCGGGGGTCATCTCCAAGAAAGGGCCCCAAGGGCGGCGCCTGCTTCAGAGTCAACCGAGGGGAATCCCTGAAGGACAAGAGGGAGTGCGTACGACACTCTCCAGGGGGAGAAAATGCAGCTTTAAGATGTGCTGCCTCCCACTCCATTCTACCCACACCAGTATTTCTGGTGGGGGAGGCAGTGGAACTCAGAGTGTAGGAGTCGTCTCTCTGGGAGGAAGGCCCCATGAGCTGCAAGCGCTGTTTGCATCATCTTGACCCCTGTGCAATTAGAACAAGTGGTTTATTGCCGCCCCCAGGCCTGGCCAGGACCTGGGGTAGGGGGAGGCATGCTGGCATAGAGCCGGTGATAGCAGACCTTGGATGCCAGCGGCCTCCTACCTCCTTCCCTACTGCTGTTTGTCTTCAGGCAAGTTACTTAACCATTCAGGGCCCCAGTGTCCTCATTTGCAAAGTGCTGCTGGTAATAACGTGTCTGGCATACAGGAAGCACTCAAGAAATGCTGGCTCTGACTGTAATCGCCCTGGCTATTTTCTGCTTGCTGTTGCCTGACACCTGTAAGTATGTCCATGCGTGTAGCTTTCCATAATTACGGTGGCTGTGTACAAACTGCATTATATTTGGCGTCCCCCACGCAGGAGGCTCTGTATCCACGGAGCTTCCTCCCTTCCCACTTGTCACGTGGCCCCACATCTCCATCCACTCGCTCCGTTGTTTCTGCCAGGCCAGTCCCCTGCGGGGGGCAATTTGGGTTGTTTCCAGTTTTCTTGGTTATAAATAGCACTGCTGTGCATATCTTTATTACAAATTCCTTCTTTCCTCTGAAACCCTGAATAACTGAGCCCACAGGGCATCCAGTACCCAGCGCAGGCTGTCTTACAAAACCCACAGCACTTCCTGGCCTGCTCCATTGGCATTGCATTGGGTCCTGCAGATGGGCCCCAGGGAGGGGAGAAATCAGGGTGGCCCTCGTTCTCCATTGCTCAGAGCTGCGGGGCAGCCTCAGCACTGGCCCTTCTTGAACCTGCACGGATGCTTGACATCATCTAAGTTCACAGACATGGTAAAAAACTAAGCAAAAACGAAAGAGAGAAACACCCCACCAGTGTTTCTGAACTTGCTGTGCCCTTAAATGTAAAAAGATCTCCTTGGTATCTGGGGCTGAGAGAGGCTGGGGCCCTGGCTGGCTGCAGAGCAGGCCCTGGCAGTGGAGAGGCCCAGCCTCATTTTCTTGTCAGGGTTTCCCCCTTGCCTTTTTTGTTGTTGTTGTTGAGACAGAGTCTCATTCTGTCACCCAGGCTACAGTGCAGTGGCATGATCTCAGCTTACTGCAACCTCCATCTCCCAGATTCAAATGATTCTCCTGCCTCAGCCTCCCGAGTAGCTGGGATTACAGGCTCCTACCACCATGCCCGACTAATTTTTGTATTTTTAGTAGAGATGGGGTTTCACCATGTTGGCCAGGCTGGCCTCGGACACCTGACCTCAGGCAATCCACCCACCTTGGCCTCCCAAACTGCTGGGGTTACAGGCATAAGCCACCACACCCAGTCTTTTTTTTTTTTTTAAAGTAGTACAAATATAGTAAGTGGATATGTTCTTTTTCTTTTCTTTTCTCCTGAGACAGAGTCTGGCTCTGTTGCCCAGACTGGGATACAGTGGTGCCATCACAGCTCACTGATGCAGCTTCAACTTCCTGGGCTCAATGCTCCCCACTCAGCCTCCCAAAGTGCTGGGATTACAGGTGTGAGCCACTGTGCCTGGCTGTGAATACATTCTTATTGTTCAAGGTTCACCACAGTTTTTACATATATTCTGTGATTTTTTACTGTTTTGGGGGTCAATATGAGTAATTCACATTTCCCCAGAAAAACCCCATTTCAACTACATTTTCTTTCCCTTCCTTCCTTCCTTTCTTTTCTTTTTTTTTTTTTCAGAGTCTCACTCTGTTGCCCAGGCTGGAGTGCAATGGCATGATCTTGGATCATTGCAACCTCCGCCCACCGGGTTCAGGCAGTTCTCCTGCCTCAGCCTCCCAAGTAGCTGGGACTACAGGCGCTTGCCACTATGCCCAGCTAATTTTTGTATTTTTAGTAGAGATGGGGGTTTCACCAGGTTGGCCAGGCTGGTCTCGAACTCCTGACCTCTGGTGATCCACCTGCCTTGGCCTCCCAAAGTGCTGGGATTACAAGCGTGAGCCACCGTGCCTGTCCCATTTTCTACTTATTAGCAAGATGTTGTGCAGAAAATTCTTTTATAATTCTTTCTCTCTCTCTCTCTTTCTCTCTCTCTCTCTCTTTCTTTCTGAGATGGAGTCTCACTCTTGTCGCCCAGGCTGCAGTGCAGTGGCGCGATCTCGGCTTACTGCAACCTCTGCCTCCCAGGTTCCAGTGATTCTTCTGCCTCAGACTCCTGAGTAACTGGGATTACAGGCGCTCGCCACCACGCCCAGCTAATTTTTGTACTTTTAGTAGAGACGGGGTTTCGCCATGTTGGCCAGGCTGGTCTCGAACTCCTGACCTTGGGTGATCCACCGGCCTCAGCCTCCCAAAGTGCTGGGATTACAGGCGTGAGCCACTGCGCCCAGCCAATCTTTATTTCTTTATTTTATGTTGCCTCTTTTATACCTATTTTTTGGCTTATTTTTTGTTGCTAGCCAGACTTGTCAGGTTTGTCTATTTTACTCTTTAATTTTTTTTCCCAAAGATCTAGCGTTTGTATTACTGATTAGTTGTGGTAATGATTGTTTTTCTTTCATTAATTTCTGTTTGGCATTATCACGCTCATCCTTTCACCTTTCTTGGGGTTGTTTTGCTATTCATGTCTAGCTTCTTGAGTGGTAAGCCTTAGTTTATTTTCAGTCTTGCCTGCTGTCTGATAAGGGCACGATGGCCTGTGACATCTCCTCTGATGGCTTTGGCCAGGCTTGTAACACAGAGATCACGCCACTGCATTCCAGCCTGCGCATGTTTGTTTCTAAGTTTCATTTCTGTAGTCTCCACATTCTGTCATGTAAATTTCCTGCTGAGCGGATTTATTTGGCTTTCCTTTAGTTATTTCTTTTTACTTTTATTGCAGTGATTCCTGCTTTTGTAGAATTTTTTTTTTCAATTTCCTTTGTCTCCTAGTACTTTGTCTCCTAGTACTTGTCTCCTAGTACTAGGCTCTTCCATGTGACTGAAAAAAGTATATTCTCCATATGGCATATGAACATACATTTCATGTCATTTTAAAGTTGAGGTATACTTTACATACATAATTACACGGAACTTACATGTAAATTACCTTTACATAAAACACACTGATTTTAAGGGTACAGTTTTTTCCAGGTTTTTGACAAATATATACCCTTGTGTAGCCACAGAAAATATACAGAACATTTTAATATCCCAGAAAATTCCCTTCAGCTCCTCCAAGTCAATCCCAGCACCACCCCAACCCTCTGCCGAGACAGCCACTTTTCTGATTTCTAGAACCATTGATTAGTTCTAGAATGTGTAGAATGGAATTATGTGGTGTGTATTCTTTGTGTCTGGCTTCTTTGGTTCAGCCTCATGTCTGAGCGATTCATTCATGTTGTTGAGTGTACTAGTAGTTATTCTTTTTAATTTATTTACACCAATTTGTTTACCTGCATTCCTGTTTATGGACATTAATACATTGCTTCCAGTTTCACCTACTGTGAATAAAGCTACTATAAATGCTCTTGTACAAGTTTGTTTCTTTGTTTTTCTTTTCCTTTTTTTTTTGAGACAGAGTCTCGCTCTGTCACCCAGGCTGGAGTGCAGTGGTGCAATCTTGGTTCACTGCAACCTCTGCCTCCCAGGTTCAAGCAATTCTCATGCCTCAGCCTCCTGGGTAGCTGGGATTACAGGTGTGCACCACCATGCCAGGCTAATTTTTTAATTTTTAGTTGAGACGGGGTTTCAATATGTTGGCCAGGTTGGTCTCGAACACCTGACCTCAGGCGATCTGCCCGCCTCAGCCTCCCAAAGTGTTGAGATTACAGGCATGAGCCACTGCACCCGGCCTCTCTTTTTCTTTTCCTGACATATGTTTTTACTTTTTTGGGGTAAAAGCCTAAGACGAATTGCCAGGTCATAGGGAAGGTATTTGTTTAGCTTTATAATAAACTGTCAAACAGTTCTCCAAAGTGGCTGTCCTGTATTTATGCACATTCTCTTTTATAGTGTTTTGCATCTGTCAACAATAATAATCCTAACAGCAATTAGATATTAGCTCCTATCACAAGGCAGAACCCAGAAACAGCTGCCTTGTGCTCCCTGGACTTTGGTTCCTTAGCAGCGAGGGCTGGAGAATGAGCGAGGCACTGCATGGACGAGGCGGCAAAAGCCACATTTTCCCCAGCATCCTTCTCCACTTCTTCAGTCATAGACACCCCACAACCCAGCCTCCCTTGCAGCCAAATGAAAGCACGTGATTCAGCTGTCAGCGGGGTCATGTGGCAGAAAGTTGACCAGTGCCCACCATTCCCCCTCCCTTTCTCTATCCTGCTGCTGGGAACATGGATATGACAGCTAAATCTCCATGTCAGAGCTCCAGGAAGAGGGCCAGCGCCAGATGCAGGAGCAGAAAGCTGGAGGCAGCTTGGTTCCTGAGGGCTTTGCGACCACCCCAGGTGCCACCCCTGATGCTTAGGGGAATGGCTGCCTTGTGTTAGCCCTGGCTGGTGCACACAGGCCTGTGTCCATGCTGGGAACTCCAGGCTGGTAGCCAGGCTTTCTGCTTTAGCACAGCCTTTGTGCCTGCAGTTGGAAGCTACACAGGGTGGGATGGAAGGGGCCTGAGTGCAGAGTCTTCTGACACATGCTAGGAGGCCATTTCCACGATGACAAATCCCTGGTGTCCACTACAGGGAAGGAGGATCTGGGAGCCACTTATGGGCCATCTGGGACCTGCTCCTATCAGCCTAACTACTCCTAGCTGCTAGATATACCTGCGTTGGGGGCCTGCCTGGGCTGGGACAGTGCCTGGACTTCTGGGGCCTAGGGCCTGAGGCAACTCCAGGAGGATGGAGGTGACACCAATGAGGACAGCTAAGGTGGGGTCAGTCAGGAAGGGTCCACCTCGCCTGGTAGCCAGAGAGTGCCAGGGGTGCTCCAGGGAGCCCCAGCCAGCAGAGGGGGGGGTGGCCCAGAGCCTCAGCCTGGCAGCAGACTTAGCAGGGGTTGCTCTCACTTCCCTCCCTTTGCCCAAGGGCACAGTATCTCCGGGACAGGTGCTGGTGTCCAACTTATGCTTGGATGCTTGGTGAGAAGGGAGGAAGTCTAGGGGGTTCTCACCCTATGTTCTCGGGCCAAGCCTCTGAGCCAAGCCTGTGGATGCTGCTCCCGGCCCAGGGCCATAATGGTTAGTTGGCTTTATCACTTTGCTTGTTAGTCATCAAGGTGGTTCCAAATCCCTTGGAGGACTCAGGTGACATCTGCCAATAAGCCACTGACAAAATGCCCTTGCTGGGTCTGACTGCTTCACCCTCTTCCCCACCGTCTTCATTCCCTAAACACACCAGCTAGTGCCTGCCACAGGGCCTTTGCATGGCAGCCTCTTCTGCCAACACCCTGCCCTTTGGCTCTCAAGGGTAGCCTCTCTGTTTCATTCAGACTTCAGCTTAGACATCACCTCCTCAGAAAGCTCTTCCATGGACTTCCACTCTGAAGTTGCCACCCTGTCACTCTCTAGCACACCACTTTGTTTTAAATCTACATACAACATGAGTACTAGATGCATTCTTGTTTGCTTGTTATCAAGCTCTGCAAAGGCAGAATCCTTTTCTATCTCATTCCCTGATGTGACTGAGTGCCTGGACAGAGCTGGGCACACAGTAACTGCACAAAGAAGGCTGGTGGACACCCCTAAGCAGGACACAGTGGTTAAAGGAACCAGCCACAAAGTCAGGCAGATCCAGATGCCAATACTAAACTAGCTGTCTGACCTGAGGCCAGTTAGAGTCTGTGTCTCAATTTCCTCATTTGTAAAAGGGAGGCAATGATAATGCTATGAAGTTTATTCAAAATGGTGGATGTTGGACTTTTAGAATGGTTTAGGGCAGGTGATGAGTGAATTGTAAATTGTAGCTATGGCCTTCATCATCACCATCACCATCACCACCATCATCATTGTCACCAACACCATCATTATCACCACCACCATCACCATCCCCACCACCACCACCATCAGCAGCACCACCATCACCACCACCATGACCATCACCATCATTGTCACCAACACCATCATTATCATTATTACCACCACCACCAGCACCACCATTACCATCATTATCATTATCACCACCACCACCACCATCATTACCATCATTATCGTAACCATCACCACCATAGCCACTCCATGTGCTTGCCACTGTGTCCTGTATGGGCTGCCATGTCAAGGGCCAGATGATGGGAGATGGATGGACTAGGGTCTTCCTGCTCTGGGAACCACAGCCTGCTCTCCCTGGTGGATGGCTGGGCCTGAGAGAGGAGGTGCAGTGACACCCTTCCACATGACAGCAGTCCCTGGAGGTGAGGGGGACAGGGGAGGCGTGGCTTTCTTTGGGATAATGAACCCCATGTGCAGCACTTTTGGCTCTGCAGATGTGATGCTTGTTGCCATGGTGACCGTCCTAACAATAACCTCCCAGAACTGATATTCCCCACACCCTCCCCAGCTGCCACCTGGGAGGGAGAGCCCTCCTCGCTTACGAAAGCAAGCTTGAAAGGACAAGGTGGGAGGCAGAGATGACACGGGGGTTGGGGTGGAAGTGGGCCCTTCCTGAAGGCAGGGGTGGGAAGAGGGGGAAGTCTGGGCCTCTCTGACCAGAGCCAAAGCCAGATGAGAGGGCTTCTGGAATCTGGGACCAGAGAGTCATGGCTGGAAGTCTTTCTCCCTTCTACCCATTTTCCTATGATAGGGAGAAGCCGTCTGGGTCTGAGGGTGGGGACTGGGCTGTTTTTTGAGTGTTAGTGTGGGGTCAAGCTGTCTGGGTAGGGACAGTCTGGCTGCCTCTGATAGCCCAGCCCTTCCCCACTGTCTGGTGCCCAATCATGCCAACCTTCCTGCGCTCGCCAGGGTAGCTCTGCTTCATACCTCTAATATTTCAGCTCGGAGGAGGGACTGCCTGGGGGTCCCAGGTGCTAACAGGTACAAAAGGCGGGAAGAAGTATAGGATACAATGAATCTCAAATTGCATCTCTTAGTGACCCCACATTCTTGTGTAACCCTGGTCCTGGGCAGCTTCTCAACTTTTGAAAGGTGACCTCGGCCGGGTGCAGTGGCTCATGCCTGTAATCCTAGCACTTTGGGAGGCCGAGGTGGGTGGATCACCTGAGGTCAGGAGTTTGAGACCAGCCTGGCCCACATAGCTGGGGCTGTGAGCCACTGTGAGCTTGTTACAGGCGTGAGCCACCGTGCTTGGCTTGTTATTTGTATTCTGTTGTGTGGCCCTACCTCGTCTTTCCAGAGCTCAGAAAGGGAAAATATGGATGCATCCAGCAGGTGCTGGAAGAAACTCCTGTGGGGTTAAACACAACGCCAAGAACAAACCTCAGACTTGGCCTCCAGTCCTTTCTCGAGCCCATGCCAGTCTGTCTGTTAGGATGGCCCAGGATTCTCTGAGTCCAAGTCTGACATAGACGGGGTCTCCCTTCCTGCTATGGTCCTGCTGAAGTCAAGGCCAGGATCCCTCTGCTTCCTCAGCTGGGGACTTCCCCAGGTGGCCCAGCATTTGCCTTTGGCCTGAGAATTTCTCGTCCTCTAGTGTCTTCTGGGTGCAGGTGGGTCGATGGCAGGGACTTGTTGCCGTGTGGTCTACTAATTGCCCAGCAGTCCCATGCCAAATGCATCCTGGCCCAGAAGGGCCCTGGCTGCCAGCACTCAGAATGCCTTTATCCCCTCCCTTATCCACATGACATTTATTGTGGCTTCTGGGGCTTGCCCTGGGCTGGCCACGAGGTGAGAGGGATGAGCAGGATAGGCCCAGAATTGGTCCTTGGGGAGCAGTAAGGAAGTCATATCAGGGCAGCAGCGTGACCCAAATCCAGAGCTGGCTGCTGGAAACCCCCTCCTCAGAGCCTGCCCAGGATGGACCCCGTCAGAGAAGAGTGTGGGGATGCTGGAGCCCAGTGGTCTAAAGTCCCGGTTCTGGACAGCAGCCCTGGTGCCAGGCCTCAGGGAAGGCTGTTTTGTGGGAAACCGGGTCGCCCTGCCTCCTGCCTGCCTCCCTGCACTCTCCTCCTCCTTGGCTGCTTTCAGGAGGGGGTTGGGGTGTGTGGGCCCTCCTCCTCCAGGCAAAAGCAGGGGGCAGGCAGGTGGACCGTGCTGGAAAAGGAGAGAATGTGCACCTTTACCTGATCAGGGTGGCTGTGAGCTCTCAGGCCCCCCAAATTGCTGGTGGAGCAGCCCCTGTTCCCCTGGCTCAGGGTCCGTTGGTCTGGACTCCGAATGTTGCCTCCTGGGACCTCCATTCCAGACAACCCAGCAACCAGTCTTTGGAGAAGTGAGGGGGAAGGGAGGGGCTGGGGCCAAGGGGAGGGGGCAGGCCCCACCCTTTCACTTTCTCATGCTAGTGACCCAGTGTGTACACTGCCTTCTGGGCGGTTCCTCCTGGCCAGGCAGCCTTTGGGGCATGTGTGGCTGATGGAGACTGGGCAGAAGGGATCTGGCAGCATCTCTTCCTGAGGGTGTGAGGAATGAGTCCTGTGGAGGGCAGCACATGAGCCCTCTACCTCCATGTGGGCCCCAGTCCCCTCCTGCTGTCAGGCTAGGTGGGCCTTCGAGAGAGAGAGAGGAGGCTGCGTTCATTATGTGCACTCTTCTGTGTTATGTGAGAGCGAGGGGTCGGCAGCAGCAAGTGGCCTGCGTGCGCGAGGTGCGGGCGTGGTGCGGGTAGAGGATGAAGGCGTCAGTACAGGGCGCGGGTGTGTGTGTGGGGTGCGGGGGCGGGCGGGGGCGGGCGCGCGTGTGAGTGCAGGTGCAGGTGCAGGTGCGTTGCGGGTGCGGGGCAAGGGTGTGTGTGCAGGGCGCGTGTGCAGATGCAGGGCGCCGGTGCCCTGCGGGTGCGGGTGCAGGAGCAGCGTGTGCAGGGCGCGGGGAAGGCGCGTGCAGGGGGCGGCGGGCGGGGCGGGCGCGGCGGCGGCGGCGGTGACAGCGGCGCCCGCGCCTCCCCGCGCGTAGGTGTGCGGCGCGCTCCTGGCGAGGACGGAGCGAGCAGATCTCGCGTGCGCTCGCCGCCCGGCGCAGCCCAGCCCGGCCCCCGCCTGGCGCCGCGAGCCGAGGTGTCTCCCGCGCCCGCGCCCGTGTCGCCGCCGTGCCCGCGAGCGGGAGCCGGAGTCGCCGCCGCCCGAGCGCAGCCGAGCGCACGCCGAGCCCGTCCGCCGCCGCCATGGCCACCACGGTGACCTGCACCCGCTTCACCGACGAGTACCAGCTCTACGAGGATATTGGCAAGTAAGAGCAGCGGCGCGCGCGGGCTGGGCCGGGGACCCCAGAGGGCCGGGACCTCCGGGACCCTCCGCGCCGCCGGCTCCAGGCGCACTGCGGGCCCGCGCGCCGCCGGCTTCTCTGGGCTCCGGGCCCAAGCGCACGGCCCCGCGCGGCCCCGACCCGCGAGCCCCCGGCCCCGGGCCTGGCTGCCTGACCTCAGCGCGCGCGGCCCTGCCCAGCTCTGCCCAGCGCGGCTGCCGGGCCGGGGCTCCGGGCTCGCGACTTGGCGCGGCGGGGGCGGCAGCAGGTGTCCCCGGAGCGCCCGGCAGACGTGACGCATTTGGCGGCGGGGAGGTCAGAGAGGAGGGGCGCGCGGGGGTGGCCCCCGGGCCTGGAGCGCCGGGAGGGGTCGGCTGCGGCCCCAGAGGGTCGTCCCCGACGCGGGTGCGCTGTCCCCACCCCCACCCGAGCGGCAGGCGGCGGGGGTGGCGGGACCTGCTTGCGCCTGCTCCTGCGCGTGGCCCCATCCGCGCTGGGGGTGCCGGCGTGGGAGAGCCTCTGCTGTAGGTCCCCTGGGGAATCTGGGTTCTGGAGGATTTTCCCCCAGATTCTTCTGGAAACAGGAATTTGGAGGTGTGGGGAGGACGAGGTCAGGGAGCCTGGATCAGGTCATGGGGATAGCGGGGAGAGACTAAGAGCCTGACTGGATTGCAAATTTCAGGGTCATCGAGGTGGATGGGGGCTGGATTTTGGACTGTTGGCGGGGGCGCCCTAAAGGGGAAGGGGCTTTGAAGGTTTGTTTGAAGTGGGACCTCACGGGGAACAGGTGCTGTGGCTCCCGTTCTCTCCTTGGCAGTATGAGCAGTGTAGGGCGAAGGTCTGGTTCGTGGTCCCCGGACCCGGCTTTGCCCCTGGGGTGAGATGGGGAGCGCCTCAGGGGCCTCCTGTCTGGCCTGGGGTCTCCCGTTCTGAGAATCAAGGTGGCTGCACCTGGCATCCCTAGGGCTAGCTTCAGAACTCCTGAATCTCCAGCCTGACTGGGCCAGAGCCCCATCCTCCTGCGTCCTCCCCCATCCTCCTCCGTCCCTTCAGTGCAGGCGGTGGGGGCGCTGGCGGTGCTGGCGAGATTTCCTCTTACACATCCAGCAACAGATCCTTTTTTTCCTTTACTAAATAAGTGTCTGGTGAAACCTTGTGGTGGGTGAGGGACGCTGATCATTGATAATTGTGGAGTGCGGAGCTGGAGGAGTGTGGGGGTGTGTTCATTCCCCACTTCTCCCTGCACGTGTGGAGAGAATTCTGGTAGGGGTTAGGGATGTGGAGCCCAGCCCTGCAAGAAGCCCATGCTGGATGGGTGGGGTGGGGGGCCAGGCTGGCTGGGGGACCCTTCCTTGGGTGGATCTGGAGAGCACCACAGGGCTGAGACCTCGAGGGAGAGGGCGAGCCCAGCCCCCTTCATGCGGATCCCTGAGTGGGTGGCTGGCTCCCCGGTCTTCACCCCTCAGATGCACCGATCTACCCCCGTCTGTCCTCTTGGCCTCCAGAGGTGTCCTGGCCACTGGAGGGGCAGGTGGGTGGCAGTTAATGTGCCTGGTTCTCTGAGGAAGAGAGCAACAGTGGGAAGTCAGTCTTTCCTCAGGAGCCTTCTTGTTGTCTTTTCTGCTTGCGCTCAGAAGCACAGAGGCCCTCACAGCAGGTGTCCCTGGTCTTCTCCAAAGAAGCCACTTTCAAGACCTCCCCATGTGCACCCAGTGTCCTCAGACTGCAGCTCACTCTGGCTGTTCCTTCTTCCCTTTGCTGCGAGCCTCCCTGCGTCCAGCGGCAGTGTCCGGGTGGCCAGCTCCCCGCTGAGCCTCCGATTCCAGCGCAGCTGGATGTCCTGGCCAGTGCCACCCACACTGGGGAATGGAGGTCTTTGGGGCTGCCTGGGGAAGGTTGAGAGAGGTGGCTCCAGAGGTGGAGACCAGGTGGGGCTAAGACTGCTGGGCTTCTCTGTCAAGCCAGAGAATGAGCTGCTGCTGGAAAGGAGCGAGTGTGGCCTCCTGAGCGAAAGCACTGGGAGCCATGCATTGCGAGGTGAGGAGTGGGGCCTGGCATCGAGGGGAGCCCCATGACCTGGGACAAGAGGAGATGCCCAAGCCAGGAGCAGGCAGCTCAGCCTAGTGCACCTTTGTGGAGCCCTGCTAGGCGCCGGGTCCCTGGCGACGCCAAGGGCCTACCACTGCCCTGCTGTGGCGGCTCTTGGGTAGGGAAGGGACCGATTCCTCGGGGGTGCAGCCGTGCCATAGAGGTGGGCCAGGGAGCTGGGAGGGCAGAGCAGGGCACCTAAGGGGGATGTCTGAGGCCAGGGCTCAGTTGTGGGCACTCAGCCCATTTGCAGCGCTGGGGTCCCTTGGTTGTTATGCTGGCTGGTTGTTGACAGTGCCTGCCCAGGGCACAGTTGGTGTTGCTTCCTGGCCCCAGGTGGACATGTCCAAGTTTATTTAAAGCTGCAGCCACTGGCACCCAGTCAGGTGGCGCTGAGCTCCCTGCCCAAAGGAAGGGCTTGGCCTCAGGCCCACAGCTGCTCATGTGTGACGAGGCCACTGGCCTTTCCCCTCCCTTGCCCCATCCTTTTCTGCTGTCTCTGCTCCCGAATCTTCCCCAGAGGCCTGGGCAGCAGGGTCAGCCAGCCAAGAGGGGCCGCTTTCTGGGGCCCTGCCCTGCCCAGCTCTATAGGGAGTGTGTGCCCTTCCCTGCTCAGCCTGGCAGGGCTCACAGACACTAGCCTGGTGGCCCATGTGGGAGCAGGTACAGAGCAAGGCAAGGAAGCCCTCAGCCCGGCATGGCCCAGCCAACAGTGCAGTTTTTATTTTTTTTATATTGGATAAACTTTAAAAATCCAGAAAAATCCCAGAAATAATAAAATGAACACAGTATCTCTTCTACACAGAATTGAAAATGGTTACTCTTTTGTCATTTTGGCTTTAAGTCCTTTTTTAAAAAAATTATAAGAAGTATTACAAAGAAATATTAAGTAACCCATTTCCTTCCAACTACTGCTTTTGTATTTTTCCTCCCAGGCTCTTTCGGGTACATTTACACATGGATATAAGTATCCATAACTAATATATAGGATTGTTTTGTGTGGGTGTTTTTCTTAACTTTACATAAAAAACCTGGAACTTGTACTTTTCACTCAACAGTCTTGTTGACACCTGTGCTCGTCGATGTGTTTGATCGCAGGCTGCTGCGTGGCGACCTGTAGTGTGAACACTGTCCTGCGTGCCCCCATCCCAATGGAAATCTAGGTTGTCTCCTGTGTTCCATTGTCACTCAGCACACTGTGGCCAGCACCGTCACGGCCCGGGCCCTGAATGCGTCTGGGGCGCAGGTGTGAGAGTTTCTTTAGGGTGTGTCCCTGGCAGTGGGGCTGCCGAGGAGGGTCCTCGAGTCTTCTGTCTTTGCAGGTGCCGCCACTCTCCCTGCAGTGTCCACTCACACAGCAGCGTTGGGGCCGCCCCTTTCCCTGGGTGCTGCCATTCCTCAGGTTGGCAGGTTGTCAGTGTTGATGGGTTGTCAGTGTCGACCGTTTGTTGGGTAGGAAGAGGTCTCACATTTTGTATTCAGCCTCGTGAATCTTCCATTTTTGGGGAGTTGTCTCTTTTCAAACATGGAGATCTCCCTAGAAGAAAGCATCTCCCACGAGGTTTTGGATTTCATTTCAGGGGTTCATGGGCCCCTCCTTTTTTGGCGGAGATGGCAGCTAGGGCTGGGCCATGTTGTAACAACACCTAATGTGTACATTACTTTAAATGTTTGGTTTTATTTGATTCCAATTGTCCAGAAAGGCCCTTCTCCCCAGCCCCATTTTACAGACAAAGAACCGAAGTTCAGGAAAGATTGGCAACTTGCCCAAGCCCAGGCAGCAAGAATGGCCCCTGAGCTCCAGTCTAGGGCATCTCCCACCCCTCCCATCTCTCCCACTAAACCTGAGATAGGCCCAAAACTGACCTTGATATGTCCTTGACTCCATCCAGTGGTACCCCAGTCGCCAGCAAGCGACTATATCCTGGGGTGTGTGTGGCCTGACCGCTCGCGGGGGCATCACTGTCAGCTGGCGGATGCCTTCTGCCGAGAGGCACACTGTGAACAAGCGAATGGCCTGTTAGGTAGTTAATAGATAAACTTAGGAAATTCAGAGCGAATCAATTTTTGAGTCTCCAAGCTCTGAGCCGGTTGCCAGGGAAGAGAGGAATGGAGGAGGAGGGATCATCGTATTTGCTTTCTCTCTCCCCAGAGCACACCAGGCACTCCCTGCCTCGGGGGCCTTGGCCAAGCTGCCTCTCTTCCCCTGACCCCTCACAGCTCACTCCCTTGGGCTGCTCAGCAGGCTCTCCCAGATGCCCCCTGCCCTGGCTCTCCTTTTGCCTCCCCACTGCTCCCTGCCCCTCCCCCTAGCTTGTCTTCTCCCTGGCACTTTGCCCCATCTGATGTGCTGGACAGCTTACCCACAGAGAGGCGGAGGTCCGGCTCCCTGCCATGGTTGTGTCCCCAGTGCCTGGCCCGAGGTGGGGAAGGGGTGAGTTGGGTGGGCCTCTGCCTTCCGGCCTGGCTCCCAGGAGGCCAGCAAGAGTCCTCCTGGTCTTGATTCCTTAATGTAGGGTAGTTTAAAAAGAAGTCGCACATGCTGAGATTGCTGGCAAGATGTGCATTAAGGTGATGCTAGTTTAGTTACTATTTAATGGTATTTTTATACCATAACCTACTTTGCTGAGAGCTAAGAATATATCTGCATGCTTGCTACCAGGACTTTTCTTTTCTGGTAACAGTTGCTAGCGCTTAAATGGTGCTTATTATATTAACGCGCTAGATCTGTGAAGTAGGTACTGTAATCATCCCAAGTTTACAGGAGAGGTAGCTGAGGCACAGAGAAGCCCCATTCCCCAGGAAAGGTCACACAGGGTCAGGATTTGAATCCACATTCTGCTCCTCTCAGAAGCTCATTACCCTACTCTATTCTGTGCTTTAAAAATGCTGTGACTCCACTGGCTGACTCATGGCCAGCTTGTGGTCTACTCTGACCTGAGGCTTTTGGGCACCTGTCCTTGGCCGGCTGCTCACCATGATGTATTTGTGCTTTTCCAAACCAAGGGCCCCCTACCTCTAGGTTCCCCTTTGTGAAGATGTTACTTCGTTTCGTCATCAAAGACAACCAACACTCTGACTCCATATGACACCAGCAAGACTAGAAATTTTTATTTTATTAATTAAATTACCAGGGCAATATGATCTTGTAAAACACACACAGACACATACACACACACACCAAGTAATACAGAAGTACGTGCCGTAAAATGTGACTCCTTTACACTCAAGTTCCCTCACTCTCCAGAGGTACCTGGCCTCTTAATTTTAATGTCAGTATGAGGATATGTGTGTGTGTACATATATACACATCTACATATATAGCAGATATAGATGATTTCAAAACACAGATGGAATCACCATATATGTGATTCTGCAATCTGTTTGCCCAACACTTTCATGACGACCCCCCGTGTCAGTAAGTCTTTTCTTCAGCTAAGTGCCTTCCAATTCTTAGCAGAGAAATGTGTGCATACGCGTTGGCCACATTTTTTAAACCAAAAATTGGGACCCATCCTCTAGCAAGTGTGATGGGATATATAATAGGATGCTATATTTGAAATCAGGGCCTGAAAGGTCATTAGGAGGGCCCAACTGTTGTGAAGGAAAGCTGTGTTCTCAGCACGACCAGCTGCAGGGGCTGGGCCTGTGGAGGTGGGTGCAAGTGGACTCCTGCCGCGGTCAAAGGCCACAGGACTAAGGATGTCTCAGGTCTCACTTGAAAGAACTGAAGGACCTATTCCCATCTTTCCATCCCCCTTTTCTAGGAATCCCGAAGAGCAGAGGGGAGAGATATGCAATGTTTAGGTTTTGTATCTTCTACTTAAAAATTCTAACAGGGATGTTTCCCTCATTTTTGCTCCATTGGCCTTTAAAGAGTCTATATTGAGCCACCCTAGAATTTAACAGTAATTTACTAGAAGAGACCAGGTGGAGATAAGTGTGCAATGTCTGTCCCTGGGAAGACCACTCCCATTTCCCTGTGTTCCGTGATGCCACCTCCCTCATCCAGGCAAGAGATGTGGCCTTTCTGGAGATTTTAAATATATTTTCAAAAAATTTAATTCTCTCTCTCTTCCCCCACAAAAATTGAATCTGATTTGATTATTTTTAAAGCATCTTTTACAGCTGCAAGTCACTTTGTTAGTGTAGAAACATAAAAATGCATTATGTATCAACTTGGTTTTTAAAAAATTATCATATTGGCATATTACACAGATATGTATATTTTATTCATAGAAAAACTTGAATTTATTTAAAATGAAAACATCCTTTTATGTTAGAGAAAGGTGGTGTTGCTAGCTGCCAAACTTTTGGGTGGCTTTTGTCTCCTGGGTTAGAGGGTCACTTGTTGAGGGCTCAGTTCCTGGTGGACATAGTTCTTTTTGTATTGACATAATTATCCAAAAATAACTTAAGTTATGATTCTTTGTTAAGCCAGACAGAAGCTTTTGTTGAATTCTAGAACAGATTGGCAACAACCAGGCAAAGATTTAAGAAGATTTTATGGGAGGAAGCATAATGGCACACTTGTACAGGGTGGAATTTGGGACCCACAGTCCTTGTTTCCTCACTTTGTGAGCAGCAAGAGAAGCCTGGAGGGCAGGAGCTGCTGTCGCCCTTACAATGAAGTACTGCAGGTGTTATGCCTTTTGCTGTAATGCCCTCTGGGTGTCAAGCACATCCCAGTGAGTGCCGTTTCCAGCAAGGAGCTGAGGAGCCTTGATTCTGTCACCCAACACACCCTGAATTCAAGTGCTGAGAACAGTGCCTGGCACACAGTAGGTGCTCCACAGTGACTCAGCAATGGTCTGGGTCACTCAGGCCTTGCACCTGGGACTGCTTCCCAGAGCAGTGGCACACCCACCCTGTAAAAGATGAGGGCCTTATAAGAGGTATTGGGTGGCTCTGCAGGTAGGTCTTGCGGGTATTCTGATGTCCAGTCTGGGTAGACAGTCTTGTCACCCGGTGAAATGCAGTAGCAGGGCTGTCAGCACTTATATGTCTGTCATGGAGCTTGACTCCAAGAGGCTTGCAGCTTTCAGCTAATTTCTTAATGAGGTTGTTCACATGACTTCTTGTTTGTTGAGGTGCTGCCTGATTCTCAGCGTCTGTGAGTTTGATCCAGGCCATTAGTTAGGGGCTTTCTGGGCAAAGGGTAGGAGTCTGGTTAGGAGCAGGCCCTCCCAAAGAAGATGACCATGTGGTGGTTCTCAACCCCAACCACACATGGGAAGCCCCTGAGGAGTGTTCAGGCCCCATCGCATTTAGCCAGACACTAGGGAAATGGGGTATCAGCAGTTTTTAAAAGCTCCCAGGTGATTCCAATGGGCACTGCATACCTAGACTCTGCAGAGGAGTCTGCACCTGAGGCCAGACACTCGCCTAAGCCCACACTCCTTCATATAACCCTTGGTTCTTTCAGAGCCCACCTAGGCATGAATTTGAAGTTTACCTTCATTTTCTCTACATTCACAATGACATTACTACCCCACCGCCCACCCCATCCAAGTTGTCGAGAGCTGCATTGTCCAGAAGAGATAAAATGTGATACAAAGTTGAGCCATATGTGTGATTAAAAATTTTCTAGTACGTAAAGAAAAAAAAGAAACAGGTGAAAGGAACTTTAAAAATATATTTATTTAACTTTATATCCAAAATATCATTCAGAGGCCTGGTGCGGTGGCTCGTGCCTGTAATCCCAGCACTTTGGGAGGCCAAGGTGGGTGGATCACTTGAGCCCAGGAGTTAGAGACCGTGGGCAACATGGCAAAACCCCATCTGTACAAAAATTAAAAAATCATTTCAACATGTAATCAAAACAGAAATTATTAAGCTATTTTGCATTCCTTTTTGTACTACGTCTTGAAATCTGGTGTGTATTTTACCCTTACGGCACATCTCAGTTTGGACCAGGTTCTTATGACTACATGGTGACAGTGACCACAGTATTGGACAACACAGGGCCAGAGCTTCAAAATCACCATGCTTTTTTTTTTTTTTTTCATTTTTCCTGGTTTCTTTTAAGGATAATAGTTACAGTCATAGCTGTCTTAGTCTGTTCCAGATTTCTTTTGCTCTCCTGAAGACTTATTCATTTATTCAGCAAGTCTGGTTGCCTGTACTTACCATGTGCCATAGGTGCTTGGGAAACAGTAGTGAACAAAGCAGTCAAGGATGCCTGCCCTTAGGGAGCTTATATACTGCTGGATAGAGGCAGGCAATAAACATAAATACTAAAAAAATTATATGATAGGGTAGAAGGTGATTAATACCTCTGAGAATAATTAAGAAGACTCAGGAGTGCTAGTTAGGAGGAAGGTTATTATTATAAAAAGGATGGTAAAGCCAAGAAAAAAGAAGACTCCAATTGCTAAAATCAGGAATGACACAGGGGACCTTACTGCCAACCTTACAGAAAAAAAATTATAAGGAAATAACTATGAATAATTATGTGCCCTCAAGTTAGATAACCTGGATGAAATGGACAAATACTTAGAAAGACACAAACTACTGAATCTGGCTCAAGAAGAAATAGAAAATCTGAATAGACCTATAACAAGTAGAGACTGACTTAGTAATTTAAAATTTTCCCACAAAGGAAAGCTTAGGCTCAGATAATTTCACTGGTAAATCCTACCAAACATTTAAAGAAGAATTAATACCAGTCTTTTACAAGCTCCCCCAAAAAGTAGAAGAGGAGGAAATTCTTTCCAATTCATTCTGTGAAGCCAGCAATACCCTAATACCAAAACCAAAGATATCACAAAACTACAGACTGTTATCACTTATGAATGCAGATGAAGCATCCTCAACAAAACACTAGCAAAATAAATCTAGCAACATATAAAAAGGATTATTTATACATTATGAACAAGTAGGATGTATCCCAAGAATGAAAGGTTCATTCAGCATACAAAAATCAATCTATATAATACACCACGTTGATAGAACAAACATTGAAACTATATGAACCATTTCAATAGATGCAGAAAAAGCATTTAAAAAAAAACCAATACCATTTCATGATAAAAACTCAACAAATGACAAGTAGAAAGGAACTTCCTTAACTTGATAAAATACATTTGTGAAAAATCTGCAGCTAACCTCATATTTAATGGTGGAAAACTGAATGTATCTGCTCTTTCCATTTCTAGGCAGCACGGTATAGGAGATTCTAGCCAGGGCAATTAGGCAAGAAAAAGAGATAGAAGGCTCCCAGATTGGAAATAAATAGTTATAGCTACCTCTCTTTTCAGATTACATGCTTTCGTATATAGAAAATCCTAAGGAATCCATTTAAAAAACTATTAGAACTAAAAAATGAATTTAGCAAAGTTGCAAGATGTAAGACCAATATACAAAAATCCATTGTATTTCAATGGACTAGAAGTTCAAAATAACAAAATTAGGAAAAACAATTTACAATAGCATCTAAAAAATAAAACACTTAATACTAAATTTAATAAAAGAAGTACAAGACTTGTACATTGAAAACCACAAACCACTGTTGAGAGAAATTAAAGAAGACCTAAATTAATGGAAAGACATCCCATGTTCATGGATTGGAATATTTAATATTGTTAAATAGTAGTATACTCCAAATTGACCTACATTTTTGCTATGAAAATTCCAGCTGCGTTTTTTGCAAAAATTGACAACCTGGCCCTAAAATTCACATAGGAATGCAAGAGACCCAAAATAGCTAAAACAATCTTGAAAAAGGAGAACAAAGTCAGAGGACTCACGGGTTCTGATTTCAAAACTAACTACACAGTTACAGCAATCAAGACAGTGTGGTGTTGACATAAGGATAAATACATAGATCAGTGAAATAGGATTGAGAGTGTAGAATAAATCCATACATCTATGTTCAGTTGATTTTTTACAAGGGTGCCAAGACAATTCCAGTGGAGAAGAATAACGGTCCATTCAACAAATGGACAATTGAGTATCCACATGCAGAAGAATGAAGTTGGAGCTGTACTTGACACCATATACAAAAATTATTTCAAAATAAATAATAGATCTAAATGTAGGAGCTAAAATCACAGAATTCTTAGAAGAAAACATAAGAGTAAATCTTTGCAACTTTGTATTAGGCAATGGTTTTTTAGATATGACACCACAAGCATAAACAACGAAAGAAAAATAGTTTTGCTGTTGGGCTTCATTAACAGTGAAAACTTTTGTATTCAAAGGACACCATTGAGAAAGTGGAATAGAATAGTCCATAGAATGGGAGAAAATATTTGCAAACCATCTGTCTGGTAAGGAATTTGTATTCAGAATACTTTAAGAACTTTTACTACCTAACAGTAAGAAGAAACAACCTAATTAAAAAATGGGCAAAGGACTTAGACATTTCTCTAAAATAGGTAACAAATAGCCCACAGCACATGAAAAGATTTTGGCATCATTATGGAAATGCAATTCAAAACCATCATGCGATGCCATTTCACTCTTACTAGGATGGCTACTGTCGAAAAGACAGATAATAGCAAGTGTTGGTGAGGGTGTGAAGTTGGAATGCTCATTCATTGCTGGTGAGGATGTAAAATGGCACAGCTACTATGAAAAATACTTTGGTGGGTCTTCAAAATGTTCTATTCTTAGGTATATGCCCAAGAGCTATGAAAACATATGTCCACACAAAAACTGGTTCATAGCAGCATTATCCATAATAGCCAAAAAGTAGAAACAGCCCAGATGTCCACCAGCTGATTGAATGCGTGAGAAAAATGTGTTATAGTCATACAGTGGAATATTATTCAGGCATAAAAAGGAATGAAATGCTAATAAGCACCGACACATGCTGAAATGTGGACGAACGTTCAAAACGTCATGCTCAGTGCAAGAAGCCAGTCGCAAAAGGCCATGTGTTGTTTAATCCCCTTTTTATGAAATGTCCAGAAAAGGCAAACCTGTAGGACAAAAACTGGAGCGAGAATGGATGGAAAGAGGATGGGCAGTGACTGCTAATGCGTAGAAGTTTGGTTCTGAAGTGATGAAAATGTTATAAACTTAGATTGTGGTAATGGATATACAACTCTCAATATATTTGTTGAGATATATTTATCTGAATTATATACTCTAAATGGGTGAATTGTTTGGTATATGAATTAAATCTCAATAAAGATGTCAAAGAAATAAAACCTACTCAGAAAATAAAAGCTCTCACATCTGGATCTCGACGTTCACATTGCTGAGAAGTGAGCTTAGAAATTAAAGTGACTGCCAATGCCTGGCTCAGGGTGGGCGGCCTCCCCTAATCTTCAGGACCCCAGCAGAAATGCGGCTTTGGCCAGGCCACCTTCTTTGAACCAGCCTCTGCTGCGAAGTGTCTTCGCAAACAAAAAACTGTGAGAAGAAGCCTTGTCACTGGAGCATCTGACTGGTGCCGGATGACAGCATCTCTAAACTTAGCCAGCCCTCTGGGCCTGTGCCTGATGTGAGCTCAGGCCAGAGGCACTGGGGAGGGCCAGGTTCCCACTGGCCCAGGAAGATCCAGGAACCTGTGAGCCCTCACATAAGCTGGGCCTGGGGCGGGTTCTGACCTGGAGTTCAGGGACACATGACACATTGGGTGACCCTTTCCAGAGACCAGCACAGGGGAAGATGCCGTCTGTACCACCTTACTTTCAGGGCTGTGTGACTGAGGGTTCCGCTGTGACTAGGAACCCAGTAGGTGCCCTGGCTTCCAAACTTTGCCCCCATAGCCTCACCCCACGTCTGGGCCTCACCTCACGTTCTGGGACTCTATTTTGCTTGTTTCCTGAGTGGCCCTTGGGACTGTCACATCAGAAACTCCAGGCCAGGCCTTTGTAGCAAGGCTGGGGCTGTAGCTTCCCATTACTGCAGTGTGAGGTGGGCCTCAGGGGTGCCCTCCGCCTGTGCCCTTTTTCCTTCCTCAGAGAAAGCCTGGGCCCCTAAAGTCCTTGTCAGGGCCTCATAGCAGCAGGACGACTTCCATTGCAGTGTGGGACTTCTGAGGCACAATGTGTGTGCCCTGAAAGGCAGCCCAAGGATCAGGGGAATGGGACGGAGCGAGGGAGTGCTGGCCTGTCACTCAGGACCCCAGCTAGGCAGCGGGAGGTGGGTGGAGGCTGGGCTGGGTGCTGGGATGCCAGGAGCCCATCAGGGGTGATGGGCCCAGTGGCTAGTGAGAAAGTGGTGGTCACAAGGCCGCTGCTGAGGAAGCGCACCAGCCCCGAGGGTCCTGCTGTCTCCCTGGAAATTAATGTGGCTGAGCCTGTACTCCTCCTTCGACAGAGCTGGGGACCCAGCTGTCCTGGGCCCACTGCCTACCACCACCCCATCCCCATCCTTTCATCATAACAGCCCCAGGGACTGACGGAGAACACCCCTCCCAGTCAAAAACCCTGAGAAAAGCAGTGATTTTGATGCTTTTCACAACTCCTCTGCATGCCTGAGGCCAGGTTCATTTTATTCTTACATTTTTATTCTCTGATTGACATTCACAAATTCTTATCTTGACCAATTGTCCACATGACATCCAACCCAGGACAGCCTGTCTTGCGGGAGGTGTTACTCTTTCTCTGTCTCCTCTGTCTCTCTGTTTCTCTCCCTCTCTTTTTCTCACTTCATGTTTCCACTTTTCCTCCCTCTTTTGCTTCCTGGTCTTTTCTAGGCTCTTCCTGGTGTGGTGACGATGGCCACTGGGCACCCCCCTCACTTTATGGGGCAGCCCCTCCCGGGAAGGACCTGGGGCTGTTTCTTTCTCCAGCCTCATCATCCTCCCCTCCTTCCCTCCCTCTTCCTCCCTCTCCTTTCTCCTTTCACTTAAAGGATCCTGTCTTTTGGGTGGCCCTCCTTCTCCTGCCCTCCCAGGTACTCGGTGGCTTGTCCCTAGCTCTGAAGGCCGTTCTGGGGCTTTGCAGCCCCTGAGAGTGTCACAGGCACTTCTGGGTCTCTGCCCCACCCTCCCACCACCACCCTCTCGCCACTGACACCTGGCTGAACTATTTCCCCCAGTGTGGGCTGAGGATGCTGGAATAGAGTTGTCATTTTAAATTCCACTCACCTCCACTTTCTGGCACCAAGGATGGAGGCTCTGGAGTGTGGATGGACCAGAGCACAGCCTCCCTGTGACTCCAGTGCTGTTTCTGTGGCCTCACTGCCCTGGGGTAAATGTGGGGCTCTTCCCAGCCTTGGTCACCCATGGGGGCATCACCAGCAGGAAGCACACACTGGGGCTCAGTTTCCCCCTCTGGGCTGTGGGGACAGAGATGTGGCGAGGAAAGTCTCCAGCAGGCGTGACTCCGTGGTGAGGATGGGCCTGTGCCTCATTTGGGCCCCGTTGTATGACCCTGGGCAGGAGAAGGGTCACCTCTTGGAGCGTCGTGAGGGTCAGTCCACGGTGCAGGGAGCCAGCCACGCAGTCACCCTTCCCTGCCCAGAGTGGGGGTAGGGCAGAGTCAGTCACACACCCCTTCCCCTTGTCCTGTCTGCAGGTGGGAGCAGAGACCCAGGCCTGAAGGCCTCTGGTTTCCCACTGTTGTCCCTGAGGCCCAGAGCTGGGGCGGTGGGGGTCCTGTGTGAAGGATGACACAGCTCAGAACCGCAGAGCCAGGCTGTGGTGCTCGCAGGGGCAGGACAGCCCCTCTGGGTACCCGGGGCTGGGGCTGGGAGAGCCCTGAGAGGGGTTGCAAGCACCCGGGGCCAGCCTCAGGGGCACATGCTGGGGCACAACAATCTTACCTGCCACCCCTCACAGCCACACATTGCTTTTAGTTTATGGTTTACTGTCTGGAATCCTTAGGGATTCTTTTCTCTGAGTTTTTCTTGTTTGTTACTAGAGGTTAAGAATTTGATTTGCCACATGGTGATAAAGGAGTTCTTCTTAAAACCAGATTTTGGCTGAGTGCGGTGGCTCACGCCTGTAATCCCAGCACTTTGGGAGGCCGAGATGGGCGGATCACTTGAAGTCAGGAGTTCGAGACCAGCCTGGCCAACATGGTGAAACCCCATGTCTACTAAAAATACAAAAATGTGCCAGGCGTGGTGGCATGTGCCTGTAATCCCAGCTACTCAGGAGGTTGAGGCAGGAGAATCGCTTGAACCAGGGGGTTGCAGAGGTTGCAGTGAGCCGAGATCACGCCATTGCACTCCAGCCTGGGCAATAGAATGAGACTGTCTCAAAAAAGTAAAAAAATAATAAAAATAAAAACCAGATTTTAAAGACAGCATTGCAAGTACCAGTTTCTGTCATTATTTCTTAATGATTCCTCAGAGATAACGGCTACATACCATACCAGGTATTTTATTAAGGTAAAACATACATAACAGAAAAATTTGCTGTCTTAACCGTTTTTAAGTGTACAGTTCAGTGGCAGTACGTGTATTTACATTGTTGTGCAACTGTTACCATCATCCATCTCCAGAACGTTTTTGTCTTCCCTAAGTGAAACTGTCCCCATTAAATACCGACTCCCCATTCCCTTCCCTCACCCTGGCACCCACCATTCTGCTGTCTGCCTCTATGAATTTGACAACTTTAGGGACCCCATATAAGTGGAATCAGACAGTGTTTGTCCTTGTTTCAATGAGCATAATGTCTTCAAGTTTCACCCATGTTGTAGCCTGTGTCAGCATTTCCTTCCTTTTTAAGGCTGAATAATATTCCATTGTGTGCATTTTGCTCATCTATTGACAGACGCAGGTTGCTCCTGCCTCTTGGCTGTTGTGAATAATGCTGCTATGAATGCGGGTGTACAAAGGACATTTTTAAAGGACATGATACATGGCCCCCTCCCACCGCGCATGACATAGCCACTGGGTTGTGTGGCCTTGGGCTGCCACGTAACTCTCTGGGTTTCAGCCTCCCCACTTACGAACCAGGAGGGTTGGGTCAAATGACTCTCTCCAGTCCCTTCCGGCCCCAGGAAGTGGTTCTGTGGAAGCCCCATTTCTTTCTTCTGAGACTTGCCCCAAAGCTCATCTCTCCCACATGCAGGTGACCCACAGTCTGATTACGTGGACATTTCTAAGCTTCCAAAATCCTTTTGCATTCCTTGAGAATAAAACTTTCGAAGGATGAAATCTGATTGATCTGAAACCAAACAAAAACCCGAGTACTTTAATTGATGCGCAGCTTGCAGGAAAAAAGCAGCAAGCGGGCACAAAGCGTATCCTAACTCCCAAAGCGCCCCCGCCCCCGCCCGGTCTCGGCCACCGTGCGGTTCCGCGCGTGGCTTGGTGAGCCTGGGGTCCCTGGCGGTGGCGCCCACGGCTCAGCCGGCGGAAAGGCTCTTCCCGCGTGTCCTTCGCGAGCCGCGCGGCCTCGGCCTGGTTCTGGCTGCTCAGGCGCGGTGACTACCCGCGGGCCGCCGCTCCAGGAGGGGCGTGACCGGCTCTTAAGCGCCGCCTTTGAAGGTCGCTGCAAGGCTGCGCGGACGGACGCCGAGTGCGGCCCCTACGGTGCTGGCGTCGGAATCTCTCTCGTCCCCAGTTTCTTCCGATGGGCTGGTGTCTCTGGCTTTTGGATCCACTCAGGTCCCACTGCTAGGGTGAGGGACTGACTGGTCCCCCGCGGGCGCTCCTGCCCGGGCGAGGAGGCTGTGTCCTTTCCACAGCTGGGACGCCGCGGGCGCAGAGTCCCGACCCCACCGCACTCCAGCCCACACCCGCACCCTGGGGTCAGAGGACTCCTCGGATGGGGACCGCTTCTGCCTGTCCTTCCCGAGGGCCCTCCCCATGCCCTGTGCTTAGGGGCGCGACGGAGCTGGGGACCTGATGTGGTCCAGGGCAGCCCCTGGACGTGCAGGAGGGAGATGGGGGCGCAGCAAGGGTGGGCCCCGGGGCTGGAGGCGCAGCCCAGCCCTCCTGCTCCTGCTGGCTCAGAGCTCGGGTACTCGGGCCGTCCTGAGAGCTCAGTGGCCTTAAACCCTCCGTCTGTGTCCCTTCTCCCGTCAGGCCAGGAGCGCAGATGGCCTGGGCCCCAGGTGGGTGGGCTGACCCCTGCCCCAGAGCCCGGCTTCAGCTGGGCAGCTGTGAACTGCCCCTTGTCCCAGCCCCCTGCAGGGAGGAGCACCAGCCTGGCTGTGGTGAGACCACTCTCTCCTCTCTGGGGCCTGGCCTGGTGCCCGCCCACTCCTCTGGGACAGTGCACAGCACAGTCGCAGTGGTTTGTGGAATCCGCGTTGGTGGTAGGAGCCTACTAGGCCAGGCGGGCAGTGCTGGGCAGGGCTCTGGGGTCCGTTTCAGCCTAGCCAGACCTGAGGACACAACCCCCCTGACAGGGCTAAGCCAAGCCAGGCTGGTCACCGCAGCTCAGTTCCCTCAGTGCCTTTGCTGGACCCTTCTGGGCCTTCCGGCTGGCAGGCAGTAAAGGGCAGGCTGGCCATGGACAGAGGCCCCGGGGAGGGATGGTCTGCTCAGCCCCTGGTCTCTTGTGAGGAGAGACGAGGGGCTCGCACACCGCCTGATGTGCAAGGCCTGCTGCTGGGCAAAGTGCCTTCTCTGTGCCTCATGGCCAGTCTTGGGGCTAGTGGTCTGCATTCCCTGAGTAGGACGGGGCCTTGCCCTCCGGACAAGGTGGGATATGGGGGGCCCGCACCTCCCTCTCTCTGTAATGTCACTCCTGCCTTCATCTTCCCAAAGTAGACACGTTGGTGGAACCTTGTCCTGCCCTCCGGGTGTCCCTGTGGATCCAGCTCAGAGAGGGCAGCAGTGTGGTTCTGAAGGGGATGACCAAGGAAGTGGGGGGATGCACAGGAGGAGGGCCAGCAGCTCCCAATCAGGGAAGGCAAGCTGTGAGGAGAGGAGGGGGACATGGGATGCGAGCCGGGGGCAGGGGGATGGGGACCCAGGAGCAGGACACCATGCTGGGCGCCACCACACACAGGCATGGGGCAGGCCCTGTCTCTCTTCCCCCAGCCACCTGGGCCTTCCTATCTGGCATCCTGGCTCCACCTACCATGGGCACTTCTTTCATCCCACAGCTCAGCTTGTCCCTGGAATTTCTCAGGTGAGAGTCAGGATGGCAGCTCCGGCAATTAGCCATCTGCACATCTGGATTTTAGGGGCAAAGAGGAGAAGAGACGTGCCTTGTGCTTAAAGTGTTCACATTCCTGTTAGGGAACAGAACAAGAACGTGCCTGCCCCATGCCTCCTGGGCACATCCCGTGTGGGTGAGGCCACAGCAGGCCCTCCCAGCATTTGGGCTACATGAGGTGAATGGGTGGTTTCCCTCATATGGAAAGAGCTCCTATAGGTCAAAAAGGCCTGGAATCCCAGCGCTTTGGGAGGCCCAGGTGGGAGGATCACTTAGGCTAGGAGATCAAGGCTGCAGTGAGCTGCAGTCACACCACTGCACTCCAGCCTGGGTGACAGAATGAGGCCCCCCAGTTAAAAAAAAATGGCCAAAACCCCAGTTGAAGTACGGATGACAGCAGCAACAGCTCACAGAAAAATAAATGAAAGCTTTCAGTGGGTAAAAACAGGAAAACAAATTCAACAAGGGTCAGCTCTCAGCGTTCCCCTCAGAGTTCCCACAGGCTCCTTCCAGGTGGCCCTAGGCTAATGGGCCACCTCCACCAGACTCTGGCTAAGCGCATCTCATGAGGCCAGGACCAAGGCCCTAGGACACAGGCACCGTAGCCTTGTCCCAGGGAGTAGGTTGGCCCCTGATGTGCGTGACAGCCTCTCCATGTGGGCAGGGGAGGAATTCCAAAGATGCAGTGAGCCCTGGCAGACCATTCCCAGTGCCAGGGGCCAGATGGCGCCAATGACACAGGAGGCCCCAGGCTGAGCCTCCTGAAACCCTCCTCTTCACACACCCTCCCCTGCTCACACCCTCCTCCCCCTGATCACACCCTCCTCCTTCTGCTTACCCCCTCTTCTCCCTGCTCACACCCTCCTCCCCCTGCTGACAACTTCCTCCCCCTGCTGACAACTTCCTCCCCCTTCTCACACCCTCCTCCGCCTGCTCACACCCTCTTCCCTCTGCTCACACCCTCCTCCCCTTGCTCACACCCTCTTCCCTCTGCTCACACCCTCCTCCCCTTGCTCATACCCTCCTCCTGTTCACACCCTCCTCTCTCTGCTCACACCCTCCTCCCTCTGCTCACACCCTCCTCCCTCTGCTCACACCCTCCTCCCCCTGCTCACACCCTCCTCCTGCTCACACCCTCCATCCCCTGCTCAGACCCTCCTCCCCCTGCTCAGACCCTCCTCCCCCTGCTCACCGCCTCCTCTCCCTGCTCACACCCTCTTCTTCCTGCTCACACCCTCCTCCTCCTGCTCACACCCTCCTCCCCTTTCTCACATCCTCCTCCCCCTACTCACCCCCTTCTCTTCCTGCTCACACCCTCTTCCCCCTGCTCACACCGTCTTCCTGCTCACACCCTCCTCCTCCTGCTCACACCTTCCTTCCCCTGCTCACACCCTCCTCATTCTACTCACACTCTCCTACCCCTGCCCTTACCCTCCTCCCCTGCCCACACCCTCCTCCCCTGCTCGCATCCTCCTCCCCCTGCCCACACCCTCCTCCTCCTGCCCACACCCTCCTCCTGCTCACTGGTTTCAGCATGGCCAGATTGAGTGACAGTTCTCCAGCAACCCCTGTGCATTATCTGCATAATCCACCACATGCTTCAAGGCTGGGTCCAGGGCTAAGAGACAGGCTGGACCTCTCCACCCTAGAGGCTAGGCCTGACCTGCAGGCCTCCCCTAGTCTGTTGGAAGAGCATGGGCACAGTGGGCTACAGGTGTTCCTGGGTGGTCCTCCCTCCTGTCTTCATCTCTGTATTTATTTTGCTCTTTGCTTAATGCAGACCTCCCCACTGGGGTCATGGCCATTGTTCTGGGGCACAGCTCCTGTGGGGTTGCTAAAGGAAGACATTTGTTGCTGAAGATTTCTGGAGGATATGGTTCACCTGAGAGAACGGAGAAGTGAAAGAGAAAGATGGATGCTGATACAGAATGAGCAGAAGTCCCAGACCCTCCCTGGAAGGGGGAACTTCCCACCGAGGCTGCACAGGACAGGCTGGATTTACGGGGATCCCAGCCCAGCCCACCGTGGCTTTCAGAACCCCCAGTCAGACTGGCTCCCCTGTGAGCCCTCTCCTCAGGAAGAGTGCTCACCCCCTCTCCTCTCTCACTCCCATGGGGAGCATGTAATTTCAGCCCCTAGGTGGTTTCTGGCCTGTCAGGTTCTCCTCCCTCCTGACCCTCAACCCCCCTCCCTCTGGGTATTTGGGGTATGTAGAGGGAGGCCACATCATCCCCCCTTGCAGTCCCCTCTCAAGTGGTGCCTGGTCAATGTTTAACAGAGGGGTGGGGTCCCTGGTGGGTGGTGTTTGCCCATTTCTGTGGTATGAAGATGCCCACCGTGGCCAATGTCAAGCTAACAACATGACATCAGCTGGCTCGCAAGAATCCAGAAAATGTGAAAGTCTGTTCTCTAGCTGGAAGAGCTGTCTCTGACACCCACTGCCTCTGCCTTGGCCCAGCCAGCGTGACCGAGTGATGGAGTGAGCCAAGACGGCACCCAAGGCCTCTCGCCCCTGTCTTGGTCCTGCTGCCAACTCCCGGCCCTGCTTCTTCCCACTCTCAGGGCTCTACTTGGCTCAAGTCCTGTGATTCATTTTCCTCTTGCTCCCACCTCCCCCACCTCACAGGGGTGCCCCGTCCATCTCCCCAGGAGACTGTTTTTGAGCCAGTGCAGGGCACCTCAGGGGACCTGTGCAGGGCGGCAAGAGGTTGATTGGGGGGCTTGGGGATTTTTTGTTTCATTTTGTTTTGTTTTTGAGACTGGGGCTTGCTCTGCCACCCAGTCTGGGGTGCAGAGGTGCATCATAACTCACTGTAACCTTGAACTCCTGGGCTCAAGCAATCCTCCCACCTTGGCCTCCCAAAGTGCTGGGATTATAGGCATGAGCCACTGTGCCTGGCTAGGGGAGAGGGGTCTGGTTTGATCCCACCTCCACATCCATGCTGCCATGGTCTCAGCAGAGCATTCAGTGCCTGTCCCTTCCTGTGACATGGGGAGCATAGCCCCATCTTTCACTGTGGCCTGAGAGCCCTGAAGGGAACCCTTATACACTGAGAGGGCCATGCGTAGGTGGGTATTACAGTCAGGATGTCTCCCGGGGTGATGACAGCTCCAGGGGAAGACTTTAGAGTCCCTGAAACACCTTTTCCTAATGTTGTTCAGGGCCTCAGGTCACAGTGAAGTTTTAAATTTCACTATATGGCAAATATATAGGCATTTTCCTTGTGATACATGCTTTTCTGCCTATGGTTTTAAAAAGTCCTTCTCTATCCTGGTGTTTTAAAGATACAATTTTTTTCTCTTTACAATGAAAAAGAAATTAATGGGCTTCATTTTTAGAGCAGTTTTGTCTGTATGGAAAAATTGGATTGAAAGTATAAAGTTCCCATATTCCCCTTCACCATTCCCCACCCCTGTTGTTAACATCTGGCATTAGTTTGGCATATTTGTTACAATGATGGACCAATATTAATATATTATTAACTAAAGCCCATAGCTTACATTAGGGTTTGCTCTTGCTGTTGTAGATTATATGAGCTTGGACAAATGTAGAATGACATGTATCTGTCATTACAGTGTCACACAGAGTAGTTTCACCTGCCCCAGAATTTCTCTGTGCTCCACCTATTTGTCTCTCCCTCCACCCAACCCCTGCCAGTCACTGGTCTTTTGACTCTCTTCTGCCTTTTCCAGCATGTCATACCATTGGACTCACACAGTATGTGGCCTTCTCAGACTGGCTTCTTTTATTCAGCAGTGGCCACTTAAGTTTCCTCCTTAAGTGGGAGGAGGAACCTGTCTTTGTGTAGCTTGATAGTTCATTTCTTTTTAGCTGAATAATATTCCATTGTCTGGATGTACCACAGTTTGTTCATTTGCTTGCTGAAGGACATCTTGGTTCCTTCCAAGTTTTCACAGTCATGAATAAAGGTGCAATAAACATCCGTTTGCGGGTATTTTGTGGACATAAGTTTTCAATGTATTTGGGAGATACCAAGAAGTGTGATTGCTGGAGTGTAAGGTAAAGAATATTTTTAGTTTTGCAAGAAACTACCATACTCTCTTCCAAAGCAGGTGTACCATTTTGCATTCCTACCAACAATGAATGAGAATTCCTGTTGCTCCACATTCTTACCATCATTTGGTGGTGTCAGAATTCTAGATTTTGGCCATTCTAATAGGTGTATAGTGATAGCTCTTTTTTGTCTTATTTGCAATTCCCTAATGACTTACGATGTCGAGCATATTTTCATATGCTTATTTTCCATCCATATATCTTCTTCGGTGAGGTATCTGTTCAGATCTTTTGCCCATTTTTAAACTGGTTGTTTCTATATTGTTGAATTTTAAGGGTTCATTGTATATTTTGAAAACCAGTCTTATCAGATAGGTGTTTTGTAGATATTTTCTCCAAGTCTGTGGTTGTTTCCCTTTTAATTCTCATAAGTGTCTTCCACAGAACAGAACTTTTTACTTTTAATTAAGTCCAATTCATCAATTTTTTCTTTCATGAATTGTGCTTTTGGCACTGTATCTAAGAAATCATCACCAAACCCAAAGTCATCCAGATTTTCTATGTTATTTTTTAGAAGTTTTAAAGTTTTGCATTTTACATTTAGGTCTATGACCCATTTTAAGTTAATCATTATGAAAGGTGTAAGATCTGTGTCTAGATTCATTTTTTTCATCTGAATATCCAGTTGTTCTGGCACCATTGTTGAAAAGGCTATCCTTTCTCTATCTGGTATTCACAAACCTCAGACTTTGCTCTTCTCCTTCAATATTGTGTTGGTTATTGTATTATGTATCTTTTGACTCTCCATATAAACTTTAGAATCAGTTTGTTGATATACACAAAATAACTTGCCGGTATTTGATTGTGAGTGCATTGAATGTGTAAATTAATTTGGGAAAAACTGACATTGGACAATATTGCATCTTCCTATTAATGAACATGGGATGCCTCTGCATTTATTTAGTTCTTCTTTGATATTTTTTCATCAGAGTTTTGTAAATGTCCTCATATAGATCTTGTACATATTTTGTTAGATTTATACCTAAGTATTTCACTTTGGGGGATGAAATGTAAATGGTATTGTGTTTTAAAATTCCAATTCCAATCATTCATTGCTGATATGTAAGAAAACAATTGACTTTTATATATTAACCTGGTATCCTGCAACCTTGCTATAATCATTTATTAGTTCCAGGAATTTTTTTGTTGATTCTTTGGGGTTTTCTATATAGGCATATCATTTATGAACAAAGACAGTTTTATTTCTTCCTTTCCAATAAGTGTATCTTTTATTTCCTTTTCTTGCCTTATTATGTTAGCTAGGACTTCCAGTAAGATGTCGAATAGCAGTGGTGAAAGGGAACATACTTGCTTTGTTCCTGATCTTAGTGGAAAGTATCCAGTTTCTCACCATGAAGTATGGTGTAAACTGTAGGTCTTTTCTAGATTTTTTAAAAATCAAATTTAGGAAGCTCCACTGTATTCATAGTTTGCTGAGAGTTTTTAATCATGAAACAGTGTTGGATTTTTGTCAGATTCTTTTTTTGCATGTATTGATATAGTTGTGTGATTTTTCCTCTTTACCTTGTTGACGCATTGGATTATAATAATTAATTTTTGAATATTGAACAAGACTTGCATACCTGGGATAAATCCCGCATGATCATGATATATAATTCTTTTTATACATTGTTGGATTCAATTTGGTAATATTTTGTTGAGAATTTTTGCATCTGTGTTCATGTGAGATTTTGGTCTGTATATTTCTTTTCTTTAAATAATGTCCTTGTCTGGTTTTAGTATTAGGGTAATGCTAGCCTCATAGAATGAGTTAGGAAGTATTCTTGCTGCTTCTATTTTCTAAAAGAGATTTTAGAGAATTGATATGATTTCTTCTTTACATGTTTGGTAGAATTCACCAATGAACCAATCTGGGCCTGGTGCTTTCTGTTTTGGAAAATTATTATTCATTCAATTTCTTTTAGAGATACAGTCCTGTTTATATTACATTATCTATATTTCATTGTGTGAGTTTTAGAGGATTGTGTCTTTCAAGGAGTTGGTTCATATTATCTAGGCTATCAAATTTATGGCCATAGAGTTTTTCATAGTATTTCTTTATTAGTCTTTTAATATCCGTGGGATCTGTATTGGTGGCCCCACTTTTATTTCTGGTATTAGTAATTTGCCTCTTTTCTCTTTTTTCCTTAGTTAACCTGATTAGCAGTTTTCCAATTTTATTGATCTTCTCAAAGAACTAGCTGTTGGCTTTGTTGATTTTCTGTATCAGTTTCTTGTTTGCACAATTCATTGATTTACACTCTAGTTTTTATTCTTTTTTTCTGCTTACTTTGGATTTAATTTGCTTTTCTTTTTCTAGTTTCTTAAGGTGGAAGCTTAAATTACTGATTTTAGATTTCTATTTTCTTCTTTTCTTTTTTTTTTCTGAGATGGAGTCTTGCTCTGTCACCAGGCTGGAGTGCAGTGGCGCGATCTCGGCTTACTGCAACCTCCGACTTCCTGGTTCAAGTGATTCTCCTGCCTCAGTCTCCCAAGTAGCTGAGATTACAGGCATGCGCCACCATGCCCGGCTAGATTTTGTATTTTTGGTAGAGACAGGGTTTCACCATGTTGGCCAGGCTGGTCTCAAACTCCTGACCTCAGGTGATCCGCTCACCTCGGCCTCCCAAAGTGCTGGTATTACAGGCGTGAGCCACTGTGCCCGGCCTCTTCTTTTCAAAATGTAGGCACTTGATGCTATAAATTTTCCTCTAAAGATTACTTTTGGCCAGGTGCAATGGCTGACACCTGTAATCCCAGTGCTTTGGGAGGACAGGGTGGGAGAACCACTTGAGGACAGGAGTTCAAGACTGACCTGGGAAACATAGCAAGATCCTGTTTCTAAAAACAAACAAACAAACAAAAAACATCACAGGGCATGGTGGTGCATGCCTGTAGTCTTTTCTACTCAAGAGGCTGAGGCGGGAGGATCATTTGAGCCTAGGAGTTCAAGGCTGCGGTGGGCTATGATTGTGTCACTGCACTCCAGCCTGCATGACAGAGTGAGACCTTGTCCCTAAAAAATAAATAAATAATAAAGACTGCCTTTGCTGCATTCCATAAATTTTGATAAGTTGTATTTTCATTTAGTTCAAAATATTTTAAAATTTCCCTTGACATTTTTTCTTTTGTCTGTGTGTCATTTAGAAGTGTGGTGTTTCCATGTATTTTGGGCTTTTCCAGCTATCTTTCTGTTATTGATTTCTAATTTAATTCCATTGCAGTCTGAGAGCGTACTTTATATGATTACTGTATTTTAAATGTATCAGGGTGTTTTTATGGCCCAAAATGTGGTCTGTCTTGGTGATTGTTCCATGTGAGCTTGAGAAGAAAATGTATTCTGCCGTTGTTGGATGAAGTAGTCTATAGATGTCTGTTAGAGCCAGTTGATTGATGAAGCTGTTGAGTTCAATCATGTCCTTACTGATTTTCTGCCTGCTGCATCTGTCCATTTCTGGTAGAGTTGTGTTGAAGTCACCAACAATGATAGTGGAGTCATCTTTTTATCCTTACAGTTCCATCAGTTTTTGCTTCACATATTTTGATGCTCTGTGTTAGGTATGTACATGTTTAGGACTGCATGTCATCTTAGAAAACTGACCCTTTTATTATTATGTAATGCTCTTCTTTATTCCTGATAATTTCCCTGGTTGTAAAATCTGTTTTGTTTTTTTTTTTCTGATATCAATATAGTTACTCCTGGGTGGGTGCAGTGGCTCCCACATGTAATCACAGCACTTCAGGAGGCCCAGGTGGGAGAATCACTTGAGCCTAGGAGTTCAAGACCAGCTTGGGCACCATAGCAACACCGTGTCTCTACTATATATAGCTGGGCATGGTGGCTTACACCTGTAATTCCAGCACCTTAGGAGGCTGAAGTGGGAGGAATGCTTGAATCTAGGAGTTTGAGACCAGCCTAGGGAGCATACCAAGACCCCATCTCTACAAAAAATTAAAAAAATTAGCCAGCCATGGTGGCACATGCCTGTAGTCCCATCTACTTGGGAGACTGAGCCTGGAATGTAGAGGCTGCAGTGAGCCATGATTGTGCTACTGCATTCCAGCCTGGGTGACAGAGTGAGTCCCTGTCTGAACAACTACATACACACACACACACACACACACACACACACACACACACAGACACATACACATATACATACATATATACATATAGTTACTCCAGCTTTATTTTAATTATTGTTAGCATGGTACATCTTTCTCCATCCATTTACTTTTTTAAATTATGGTAAAACAAAATTATATGTAACATATAATTTGCCATTAAAGAATCCATTCTTTATCCATGAAAGAAATAATCATGGCTAACATTTATTGAGCATTTTACTATGCACTAGACTATGCATTGTTTTTTGACTTTTCCAAAAGCTCTAAGAGATACTATTATCATCTCCATTTACAGATGAGGAGTTTTCTCAGGATCACACAATTAATAAATAGTAGAGTCCAGAAATGGACAAAGAATGGTCAATTGCAAATTATTGATCCTAAAATGATTGTTTTCTCTAATTAATGTAGACAGTTCACTTATATGTATTTTGATTTGGCTAATCAAAATTATTCTTTTTATTTATTTTTAATTTTTAAATTGTGTCATATATACATAAAAATTTTACTATTTTAACCATTTCTAAGGATACAATTCAGTAACATTATGTATATTCACATTGTTGTGCTACCATCACCACCATCATTGTCCGAAATTTTTTCATCTTCCCCAACTGAAACTCTGTACCCACTAAAAACTGACTTCCCCTTCTCTCCTTATTCCAGCAACCTCTGTTCTACTTTCTCTCTATGAATTTGTCTATTCTAGGTATCCCATATAAGGGGAATCATGTGGTATTTGTGTCTTTTGTGACTGGCTTATTTCACTTAGCGTAATGTCCTCAAGATATGTCTATGTTGTAGACATGATTTCCTTCCTTTTCAAGGCTGAATAATATTCATTGTATATATAGACCACACTTTATTTATCCATTCTTCTGTCAATGGCCATTTGAGTTGCTTCTACTTTTGACTATTGTGAATAATGCTGCTATGAATATTGTATACAAGTATCTGTTTGAGTCCCTGCTTTACATTTTTTTTGGATCCACCTTGGAGTGGAATTGCTGGATCATATGGTAATTCTATGTTTAACTTTCTGAGGAGCTGCCAAACTGTTTTTCACAGTGGCTGCAACATTTTACATTCCCACCAGCAATGCACAAGGGTTCCAAGTCCTCTACACCCTCACCAACACTTGTTATTTTCAGGCTTTTTTCAATTAAAAAAAATTTATAATAGTCATCTTAATGGATGTGAAGTGGTATCTCATTATGGTTTTGATTTGATTTCTCTCATGGCTAGTGATGTTGAACATATTTTCAACATCTCTTGTTTTCCATTTGCATATCTTCTTTGGAGAAATGTCTATTCAAGTTCTTTGCTCATTTTTTGAATTGGCTTGTTTGTTTCTTTGTTATTGACGTTTAGTAGTTCTCCTATATTTATCCGTCATCAGATAGGTGAATTGCAAATATTTTATCCAATTCTGTGGGTTGTCTTTTCATTCTCTTGATAGTGTCCTTTGATGCACAAAAATTTTGTATTTTGGTAAGCCCAATTAATTTTTTCTTTTGTTGCCTGCACTTTTGGTGTCATATCCAAGAAATCATTGCCAAATCCAATGTTATGAAGATTTCCACCTATGTTTTCTTCTAAGTGTTTTGTAATTTTAGCCTTAAATTTAGGTCTTTGATTCATTTTGAGTTATTGTTTGTATGTTGTGTAAGATAAGGATCCAACTTCATTGTTTTGCATGTGGGTATCCCAGTTTCCCCAGCACCACTTGTTGAAAAGACTGTCCTTTCTTCATTGAATAACCCTTGACACGTTTGTTGAAAATCAATATATGGGAGAATTTATTTCTGGGCACTCTATTTTATTCCATTAGTCTCTGTGTCTGTCCTTATGCCGGTGTCAGACCATTTTGATTATTGTTTTGTATTGGGTTTTTTGTTTTGTTTTGTTTTTGAGATGGAGTCTCACTCTGTCACCCCGGCTGGAATGCAGTGGCATGATCTCAGCTCACTGCAACCTCCACCTTCCGGGTTCAAGTGATTCTCCTGCCTCAGCCTCCTGAGTAGCTGGGATTACAGGTGTGCACCACCAAGCCTGGCTAATTTTTGTATTTTTAATAGAGACAGGGTTTGGCCATGTTGGCCAGGCTGGTCTTGAACTCCTGACCTCAAGTGACCCACCCTCCATGGCCTCCCAAAGTGCTGGGATTACAGACGTGAGGCACTGCATCCGGCCAGTTTTATATTAAATTTTGAAATCAGGAAATGTGAGTCCCCCAACTTTGTTTTTCTTTTTCAAGATTATTTTGACCATTTTTTTGTCCCTGGAGATTCCATATCAATTTTAAGATGGTTTTTTTTTCCCTGCAAAAAAGCCATTGGAATTTTGATAGGGATTTCACTTGAATCTGTAGATAACTTTGAGTAGTATCCATGCCTTTACTCTTCACTTATTTGTGTCTTCATGTTTAAATAGGTTTCTTGTAGATGACATATAGTTTGGTCTTGTTTTTTGATCCAATAAGATAATCTCTGTCTTTTAATTTGTGTATATAGAGCCATTGACATTTAAAGTGATTATTGATATAGTTGGATTGATAGCTACCATATTTGTTTCTGTTTTTTATTTTTCCCTATTTTCTTTGTTTCTTTTTCTGTCTTCCACTCTTTTTCTGCTTTCTGTGGTTTAATTGAGCATTTTATATAATTCCATTTTCTCTCCTTTCTTGCTTCTCTTAGCATTCCTCCTCCTCTTCCACTTCTTCTTCTTTTCCCTCTCTTTCTCTTTCTCTTCTGTGGTTGTCCTAGAGTTTGCCATATACCTATATACATTTACAACTAACCCAAGCCCACTCTCAAATAACACTACACCATTTCGCATGTAGTGAAGTAATGCAAATACCTTATAGGTTATAGCAGAGTATTTCTAATTCCTCTCTCCTATCCCTGATAATGTTGCTTTCTTTCACTTATCCATAAGTGATAATTACCCAAAACACTGTTAGTATCATTATTTTGAACAAATTGTTATCTATTAGATCAATGAATAATTAGAAAAAAGATTTCATATTACCTTCACTTATTTCTTCTCTAAGTCTCTTCCTTTCTTTATGTAGATCCAAGTTTCTGAACTATGTCATTTTCCTTCTTTCTGAATAATTTCTTTTAACATTTCTTATAAGGCAGGTATGCTGGTGACCAATTGCCTCAATTTTTGTTTGAGAACATCTTTGTTTCTTATTTTTGATGGATAATTTCTCTGGATACAGAATTCTAGGTTGGTGGTTCATTTCTTCCAACACTTTAGATATTTTACTCCACTCTCCTCTTGTGAGCTTGAGAAGTCTGATGTAATGCTTTTTTGCCCCTTGACAGGTGAAGTGTTTTTTGCTTCTGGGTTATTTCAAGATTTTCTCTTTGATTTTCTGCAGTTTGAATGTGATACGACCCGATATACACTTTGGGGTATTTCTTCTGCTTGGAATTCTCTGAGCATCCTGGATTTGTGGTTTGGTGCCTGGCTTCAATTTTGGAAAGACTCAGTCAACATTACTTCAAATATTTCTTCTGCTTTTCCCCTTTCTTCTCCTTCTGATATTTCCATTACATGTGTTTATATCTTTTGTAATTTTTCTATAGTTCTTGGATTATTTTGTTTTGTCTTTTTCATTCTTTTTTGTCTTTGCATTTTAGTTTTAGAAGTTCCTATTGATATGTTTTCAAACTCACTGGTTGGTTTTTTAGCTGTGTCTAGTCTGCATCAAAGACATTCTTTATTTCTGTTACAGCATTTTTGATTTCTAGCATTGTAACTTCCATCTCTTTACTTACATCACCCGCCTGTTCTTGTATGTTGTCCACTTCTCCCATTAGAGCCTTTAGCATGGGAATTACAGTTGTTTTAAATTTCCAGTTTGATAGTTCCCAAAAGCCATGCCATATCTGAGTCTGGTTCTGGTGCATGCTCTGTATCTTCAGACTATTTTTTTCTGCCTTTTTATATGCCTTGTAGTTTTTTTATTGAAAGCTGGACATGATGTACCGGGTAAAAGCGATGTGGTGAACTGGCCTTCAGTAATGTGACAGCAGGATGTTGAGGGAGAGGAAGCATTCTGTACTCCTATAATTAGGCCTCAGTATTTTAGCGAGCCTGTGCCTGCCCCTGTGCTGTGACCTTCACAAGTGCTTCTCAGTCTCTCTCTTCCATCCGCTTATGTACTACATACAGGATGGCTGGAGGGGGCTGGAGTTGGGTATTTTCCTTCCCCAAGGTAGGTTTGGCTCTGATAAAGCCCCAGCAGGTTGGGCTGTAGTAAGATAATTTCTCCTGAGGGCAGGGTTTTAAGAAGAACAGAACGCCGTGGCATATTTCAAAATGAATATTTTTCTCCTCCCCCTGCCAGAAGCCCTGGGGAGTTTTCCTCCAGTCTTCGCTGTGAGAATCTGGTAGGGCTCCTGGAGGTAGAACTTACAAAAGTGTGGGTGCACGCTGCTAAGGCTAGGCACCCTGGAATTCTTAATTCTCAGACTTGTCCACACTGAGCATCTGGCAATTCGGCAATTACAGTTTAGGTTTCCCTACCCCAGCACTGGTTCCATGGAGGTTTCTGCTCTGGTAAGTTGTGATTCTGCACACTTGATTTTAACCAAAGGCTGAGAAGTGATGGCAAGTTGTAATTCTCTCTATCTGCCAATTTTGGAGGCAGAAGTTTTCCTGCAACCTCAGTTCTCTGATGGATCTAAGAAGAGTTGTTGATTTTCAGTTTGTTTAGCTTTTTGTCTGTAAGGACAGGAGTGATGACTTCCAAGCTTCTCACATGCTAGACCAATGTTTTAAGCTTTGCTTTTTACATTTTGTAGGTTTTTCTTTTCACATTTTAGGTATTTTTAAAAAATCTACCCAGAAGTTATTTTTCAGTGTGATTTGAGGTAGGCACCTGTTATTCTAACACATCAACCCTGTGTAATATGTATCATCAAATCCATTTTGCAGACCAGCGCTAAGTTATAAGTCCAGAATTCACCCCAGGTCTTCCTGATTCAAACCTCCCATCTTTCTAATCTCTACTTGGCTTTTCTGAGTCCAGAATTGTGGGCCTTGATTGTCTTCCCTTGACTTTCCACATCCCAGGTGGGACAGAAAGTGCAGTGCCTGCTGGGAAGGATACACCATCAGCATCTGCCAATCCCCATGTGTATCTGACTCAGCTGTTTGCTGGGACCCAGCTGACCTTTTGTTGGGAGGGGTGGGTGCACTGCTTTAGTGTCCTGGGAGGGTTCTGTTTGATCTTAGAGAGGCCAGCACCCCCATAGAATTGCCATACAAACATACACCAGCCTATATATGGCCAAGCCATGGCCAGGGCACCAAAGTGGTGAAGGGTGCTGGCCTGGGTGCACTTTGGGGAGATGAGGAGCAGAGGGCCAGGAGATGGGACTTGTACAAATCAGGAGGGACTGATCCAGGGCCAGGAGGTAGCCTGTTGACTCATAGATCTTTCTAAATCACAAATAGAGATCTCATAATAAGCATCTGCAGTCTCCTTCTGGTGCTCAGTGCAGACATTGCCAATCAATCACAGGGCACATGCAGCCAAGCCCCAGCACTCCCACCATCCCTGGGCAAGCACTGCCCAGTGCCTTCTGCATGCCTGTTCTGGGCTGGTCGCTGGGACAGAGAGGGAGCAATCAGTGCCTGGGGACCAACTGTCTGTTCCGTAGCCCTTTTGCTACCTGTGTGTGCCACCTCTGAGGCCACCCATCAGCAGCATGCATCCCAGGATGCCTGTGTCCTTGTCCTGCCTCCTGTTGCACCCCTTCCGTTGGTCCTGTGATACACAGACAGGGGCATCTGATGTGGTCCCTTGGGGTTGGGGACTTTGGCGAGGGCAGGGAGGACCCAAGAAGAGAGGCAGAGACTGGGGTTTTCCTTCCTTGGAGGGGGGTCAGCCAGGTGTGTGGGATGCTGGGCGGGAAGAGGGAGAAGTAGCTTTCCTGGGGATGTGTGGTGCCTTGGGAGCCAGTCGGACCCCACCCGACCTCAGATTGCTGCCCACTGCCTTGCTGCCGTTGGCATTCTTGCCTTGAGCTCTCCGGCATGACCCAGAGGGTCCCGGCTGTAGCAGTTCCTGGCAGTGGGTCTGGGCAGTGTGAGATGTGAGGTCCCTGAGGCTGAAATTGAACACGGTGTCACAGAAACATGTCAAAAATCACACTGTTCTCCTATCCTATACAGCTGGGTTCCTCAACCCTCAGGCCACGGACCAGTACTATTAGGAACTGGGCTACACAGCAGGAGACGAGCCATGGGCAAGCCAGCATTACAGCCTGAGCTCCGCCTCCTGTCAGATCAGCGGAGGTGTCAGATTCTCATAGGAGCACGAACCCTATTGTGAACTGTGCAAGCGAGGGATCTAGGTTGCGCGCTCCTTAAGATAATCTAACTAATGCCTGATAATCTTAGGTGAAACAGTTTCATTCTGTTCAAACTATTTTCCCCTAGCCCTTGCCCCAGTCTGTGGAAAAATTGCCTTCCATAAAACCAGTCCCTGGTGCCAAAAAGGCTGGGGACCACTGCTATACAGGATTGTCAACATATGGGAGGAAAACCTGTACAAACTCGATCTGGCTGTCTAGAAGTGACGACGACCACGTTAACCCATGTGAAAATGTGGAAGCGCTCCCATGCATCACCATTCACCTGTGAACCTCACCAGGGCATATGGGGGAATTTGTCATGAGCTTATTTGGTTAAGAAATGGCCTGTGCTCTGCTCATAGCATTGTCAAAAATGTGAAGAAAATGGTATCTCTGAATATACTTTCCTGGCTTGACCAGAGGATGAGCCGGCGCTCAGTATCTGGGAGGAAATTTAGCAGAACGGTGACTGGGGACCTGGCAGGTTTGAGACTTTGATGCACTGAAGCGAGTGGCTTCCTGCACAGGTGGGTGGGAAGGGCGCTGCCCCTGGGAGAGGGGCTCTGATGGGAGGGGCACGTGGTCCCCAGGAGACCAAAGGGGGCAGCCACACCACTCTGCTGAGAGGGGCAGAAAGCAGAGGGTGCTCTGCTGGGTTTTCTCGTTCTGAGATGCACCCACAAAGACCCCAGGGCAGTGGCTGCTGCTGTGGGCTGGAGCCGTCAAGTTTGGGTGTATCCTTGGATGAGCTTGTGGACATCAGGTGGATGGACAGGAGAGGTTTCTGCCTGGCTCTTGCCAAGTGTTTCTTTGTTAATGTGTTCATTTCATCAGAAGCATCTCTTGTGGCTTCAGTGGATCACACAGGGTTTCAGAAAGGGGCCAGTGTTGAGTCCTAAGAATAGAAGTCCCTTCTCCTTACACTCCTGGCCCTCCAGAGCCTTTTTGAATAAAGATTTCTATGGTCAAATAGGTTAAGAAAAGGATGCACCTCATACTCCCTTCTTGGAGGTTCACAGTACAGATGATCCCATTCAAGGCCCTGAGAAGTCCTGCAGTTAAAGAAAGGAAGGAAGGAAACACTGTCTAACCTACTGGTTCCCAAACTTCTTTTCTCACAGAACCCCTTTTGCACCTATCATCTGTTAACGTCCTATGAAGCTTATGTTTGAGGAGTGTGATTTGGGAAGTGTTTGCCTGCTGCAGCTGCACACAGTGGCAGATTCCACCAGGCAGACCTGGACTCAGCATACATCCTGGGCTGAACTGCATCCCCCAGAATTCATGTATGTGGAAGCCCAGTCCTCAAAATGTGACTGTATTTGGAAACAGGATAGTAGCAGATGTAATTAGTCAAGTTAGGATGAGGTCATATTGGAGATATGACTGTCGTTCTTGTAAAACGGGTGTTCTTGGACACAGAGACACAAGCAGAGAGAATGCCATGTAACTGTGAAGGCAGAGATTGGGGTGATGCATCTAGAAGCCAACTAGCACCAAGGATTGCAGGCAGCACCGGAATCCAGGAGAGAGGTATGGAACAGATTCTCCCTCCCAGCCCTAGGAAGGAACCAGCCCTAATCTCTGCCTTCTGGCCACCAGAACTGTAAGAAAATAAATATCTGTTGTTTAAACCGCTTGGTTGGTGGTACTTTGTTTCAGCAGCCCGAGCAGGCTCATAAAGCATGGATAAGTTAAGACTTTAGCTCTTGTTGGGCTCCGAAGCTCAGGTTAGGGAGCCCTTGGGCCAAAGCAGGAAAGAGCTTTGGGAACTCTCTCTAGGGTTGTATGAGCCACCCAGATTCCAAGTTTGGAAGAATGGTTTTCCATTGCTGCTGACGTGAATTGTGCTTTTGGAAGTGAACGCAATGAAATGACTGAAACAGTCATGGCAGGCCATTTTCGAGAAGGGAAGTTGGAGACCTCCTAAACGCTTGCTAATGGAGGAAGCACCCAGCTATCAGTGGTGCGTCAACTTGAGGGAATGTTCTTTCCTATAAGTGAGTATATGATCTCAGTCAAAATGTGGGGTTCGTGTGTGAAGTGATGTTAAATACAAAAGTCAAACACAAAACAGGAACTCCCGTGCTGATAAGGCACATGCTTGGATGCCGGCCCAGGCTGTGGCCGAGTTTGGGTGCTCACGAGGAGAAGTGAGTGTGTCCAGCTGCTTGTCTCCAGTAGGGTCACCTCAGACCTAGTTTTTAGAACCCAGGATGCCTGGGCCCTGGGCAGGAGTGGACGACACAGCCCTGGGAGCTCGGCTTGCACCTACCTGGGGGACGTCTTGCCAGTGGGGCGGTAGGATGGCCACCCGCCTCCCTGTGGGATGTTACTCTGGGCCTGGGGACTCCAGCTCCTGCCTGGCGGGGCACCTGCTTGTCCGAAACTCCTCAGGAGCCCAAACACTCTCCCCCCTTGGCGGAACCCCAACACTCTCCCCACTTGGCGGAACCCCAGGGCCAGAGAGGCTGGGGAGGAGTAAATACCAAGCAGGCATCCACAGGACAGTATCCATGAGCAAAGAAGTATGCAACTGTCAGATCACACTGTTGAGGCTTCATTAACAGCGCGGGGGACATAGTGAGAGGAGAAAGTGGAAAGTGGCAACAAGAGCCCCCTAATTGTGTAAGAAGACACCTCCTCATGGTGCAGAGCTGCACACTTGCACACATCCAAACATCAATGGGCCCTACTGACCGTGTTGTGGGTTATGGAGGCAACGTCAACGCATTCTGTAGACCCTCTTGTTTACTCCATAGCAAACATTGTAAACGTAACAATAATACAAACATACATTCCATCTACTGTGAACGTGAGTTTTGTTTTTGTATTATCATAAGCAGAAAAATACACAAAAGAAAAAACCCACAACAACCTCAGCACTCTGTTCATATAAAAGTTACTGTTTCCACCAAATTGCTTAGGTCAAGATTAGAATATAAAAGACCTCCCCCTCTGGCACTCCCAAGAGCTCATTTTAATCAAAGTTGGGAACTGTGTTTTTAAGCCAACACACAAATAAATACCAATTTGGTTTAGTTTCACCCACACAAGAAAAACACAAAGGTCCGCATGAGGTCAGCGGACTTGTGCCTGCTGGGGTGTCCCCAGCCCCTAGCCCAGGCCTCCTCATGGAGCCCACCTGGGGCCAGCCAGGCAAGAAAGGACGTAGGTGGCCTGAGGCTGGTTTCAGAACAACCCTTTATTAATTTACAGCAGGAAATAAAGCTGTCGGCCTGAGAGTGCTTCTGTGGCCGGCCCAGACTCTTCCAGAAGGACCTGCTCTGGAGGACCTGAGCGGGGAGGGGGCTGTGCTTGCTACTAGGGAGACAGCGCCTGGCCCGCGTGGGGAGCGTCAGACGCAAAAACTGGATGGGAAATTTCGATTTACAAAACAGGTCAGCCAGGCTTGGATCTTTTGCTTTTACTCAGGGCTCCTCAGCTTCTTTCTAAAATTCTAAAATTTAAGAACTTCCTGGAATTGCGTGTGGCCTTGCTGTGGATTGAAGGGGTCCCATGGCCCTTGGCTGTCACTGTTGTTGGGAATCTGAGGGGGCGTTTCCAGCCTATTCTGCAACATCTGAGTGAGGAGAGTGCACATGTGTGTGTGCGCATGCCTGTGAACTGCAACCGACCGGTGAGGCTCAGGACTGATGCAGGCAGCCCTGGCTGGGGTGGCACAGGCCCCAGCACTTGGGGAGGAAACTGGATGGTGTGGACATGGGCTGCGGGAGGCAGAGAGAGGAACAGGGAGAGAAGCTGCTGCCTCTGAAATTTCCACTAAGGGAACGGAATCCAAGCGTTGAGTGGGCCGACTCAGAGGCCGCTTTGATCCTGCGTGGCCCAGCGCTGCCCTGCGGGAGCTCAGCAGCCTGTCATGGGGATCACATGCACGATCACTCCAGGCGCCTGGGTCCCTGCCTATGCTGTCCTGGGAGCAGAATCACACTGCCGGCTCTTTCTGGATGCCGGATACTGTGTTGTGGCTGGTACCTGTGTCACCTCATTCTGTGTAGGGGGACAATCACTGCCCCCTTACTGATGGAAGTCACCAGCCCTTGTGAGGTGGCTGGGGAGGGCACCTGAGCAAGGTCTGCGTGACCACACGGGATAGGCTGTGGGGACGCAGGGTCCGACCTTCCCTCCCTGGTGTCGTTACCAAGTGTCTTAACTGGCACCCCAAGAGCCGGTAATCTTGGTAACCCCCAGTCTTCACCAGTGAAGGTGAGGCATGAGAGGGCCCTAGAGGGGCTGTTGTGTGGTCCTGCTGGGGGCAAGGCGAAATTTCCTTCCTGCTCTCTGGGCCCTCCCACAAACTCCAGCCATGCTGCTCAGGGACACACCTCCTCCCAGCTCTCCGGGGAGAGGTGCGGGCAGCTGGCGAGGGCCGCAGTGCGACCAGCATGACTTAGTGGAGAGTGGGGCAGGCCACAGAGCCACCTGCGGTGGGGAGCTCCGTGGGGGTTGGTGGGAGCCACGGATAGTCAGCAACTGGTGGCCGGTTGCAAGTGGGGACTGGAGGGAAGAGGCAGGCACGAGGGTTGGGGGGGCAGCTCAGAGCTGGGAAAGCCTGGGCCTGCACCAGCAGTCTGTTGTGGAGCCAGAGGAGCCATAGACTGGATGCGAGGAGGAGACAGAGGCGGATGGGGCATCCTGCAGACAATGACGCTTCCTGCTGCCTCTGCCTGTGAAGCCCCGAGAGCCCACAGGATGCCTGTGAAACACCGACTGCCCTGGGTGGCTGCAGTCAGGGGAGGTACACTCAGCACCTCTCCTCGCAGGTGGCCTTCACCCCATTATCGCGCGAGAAGCCTGAGCCCCCCTGCAATGAAGGAGGTGCCCGAGCAGGTGCAGTCGTAGAAACAGGCCATGTAGTTCCGGGCCTCCATTCCCACCCAGAACTAATTCTTCCCCTTCTCTCTCAGGACAGGTTTCCCTGGTACTGTTGATCCCACTGTAAATGAGACAGGGTTCAGAGCCTTCCACAAAGCAAGGACTCAAAGAGTATTTTCTTGTTTTAATTAGCTTTATTTGATTTTAAAAGCCCCATAATATGCTTGGTGCCCGGGGGCCTCATGATCTGAACAGGTTATTCAAAATCGCTTTCAGCCTGGCTCAGTAGCATTCGTCCCATGCAGGCCATCATGCGGGCAACCTTGATGTCTAGATGCAATTCGCAGCCCACAGGAACAGCGACCTGGGATCCCGTAGGAGCACCTCTTCCGGCTTTTTCCTGCCTTTGCCCCAACCCGCTGTGCCCTTACAGCTGCCTGGGATGGTCCACACCCTAGAGGCAGGCGTGTGATCAGCCTATGCACCTGCAGTGTCATCCAAGGCATTCTTTGCTGAGCCCAAGGACCATGCTGCCGCCTGCTAGGCCCGCCCGTGCTTCCAGATAAGAAGACCGGGCTTCGAGCCTCTGTGCGCTGGTGGAGAGGCGGGGAGCCTAAGCCCCAGGCCTTATTTACTTGGGGTACCCCCTGGCTCTGACCAGGGCCTTGTGGCCTCAGTGTAGCACAGACCCATCTACCCACAGGCCCTGGAAGCCTTGGTGGGTCTCCCCTCCTGCTGGGACACTCTAGGGGCCGCTCTTCCTGTACTGCTGGGCTGGACAAGCCCTGAGGCCCAGCAACTCCATGCTCCACAGCCCACTGTGTTGCTTGTAGGTCAGTTCTGGCTCCTATATCACAGCCCAGGCACTGTGCCTGATACCTAGGTCCAGAGTATAGGGCACTCTGCCCATAGAGAGCCATTGGAAGGGGGAGTGGCAAAAGTGAACAGGTAGATAATTAAGTAAACTAACCTAAGGAACGTGGGAGGTGCAATATCTAAAGACCAAGCTGACTTTCTGTGTGAGCTGGGAAAGCGGGGAGCTGTTTGCATTGGATCTTGAAGGACGCATAGGAGTTTGCCCTTGGCAGCAGGGACAGGCTTATGATACAGATCCAGGCTCTTTGTCGGTGTTGTCTCTCAATGTTTATAAACACTGGCGGGCAAGCACTGAGTCGCAAGGGAGTATGGTGATGGTGCTGGCTTCTTTGCTCTTGGAGAAGTCAGAGATGTTGGGCCCCCAGCCATGGCCTGCATGGCTCATGCTAAACATGTTTGTGGCCACTTCTCAAGAGGGCTGACACTTCCAAGGGGGCTTCCCGTGACAGATTGCCGTCTGGCAAGTGGCAGAACCACCAGGAAGGGGAGGAGACAGAGGTGGATCTGCAGCTGCCAGCCCAAGTTCCCCGGGGAGATGGCAGGATGGGTGCGGGTGGACAGCCATTATGGGGAGGAGCACCTTTCAGGGTGCTCTTTAGGGGAAGTGGTGGGTAAAGCGGGCAAATAACTGGGGTGGGAGACTTAAGCATACATTCCTTAAGTCCCCCAGAGGAGAGAGGAGAGGGAGAAAATTGGGGGGCGGCGATGACATTGGGACTCAGAGAAGGTTTGGGGCTTCAGTGAGGGACAGAAGGCGTGGGAGAGGCAGAGCCCAGGAGCGGGGCGCAGGGAGCAGTGGTGTCCTTGGGAGCCAGCCCTCCTGCGCCTTCCCCCAGCTGGCCACCTTCTCCCTCTGGGGGCATCCAAGTCGCTGGGAAAGGGGACCCTGTCTTCTATTCTTGAGGGTGCCCTCCACCCTACCTGCAGGCCTGTGTCCAAGAGCAGGGCCTTCTTCACCCCCGGGCCCTGCACCCCTGGTCCCTGCACCCCTGGTCCCTTCCTGCTGAGTGTCTGCTGGGTGCCTGGCACTGTGCCTGCCACATCCTATGTCACTACAGCTGTGCGGCCTGGTGCTCCCACTCCACACTCATCCCGAGGCCCCCAGCCATGCCTTCCTCCTTCCTCAGCGGCGCTGCCTGGCCTTGGCCCCCTGGCTCTGGCAGTCTTACCTGTGTTCCCTGCCCCCGCCTTCCCCGATTGCTGACTGCTCCGACCTAGGCTGATGGTGCAGGGGCGGCTCTGGAGCCTTCTGCAGAGGAGAAAGGGGCTGCCTGACCCAGGGAGGGGAGAGGGATCAACTGGAGGAAGCCCTTGTCCCACCCACCTGCGGTCAGGCTCTTGGTGATATGGTGCATGGATGTCGTGTGCTGAGGAACAGCTGTGGCTTGCCGCCCTCTGCTCCGGTACCTGTCTGAGTCTGGCCAGCAGCTGGGAGCCTGCTGTGCTGGTGGGAAGCTGCGCTTGGGTCTCCTCCCTGCTCCGGGGACGGGCTCGACACAGCGGTGCCATACGGGCATCATCAGCTTGGCATAGATGTGCAGTCTGTTGAACTTCCTACTGAGGGTCAACCCTGCAGTGTGTGGTTGCGTTCTGGCGCACGGAGGCCCAGACTCCCTGCTCCCTTCAGGGCCTGGTCCAGAACACTCAGTGGAGGCCTGCCACGTCAGCCCTGTGGCCGCTGAGCCCTCTAGGGGTCAGAGCGTGACAGATGGTAGCTCAGGACTGGTTTCGGGAAGCTCTTACCTCTCCTGAGCAAGAAGTCCGGCAAACAGCCACACAGTGGCCCCGGAAGGCTCTTCTGCTCAGTCATATGGATGGGGAAACTGAGGCTCAGAGAGCTGTGTCACCCCGTCTAACCAGGATTGAAGCCAGACCAGGCAAAAAGCCCATGGTCTTTGCCCTCACCTCAGTCTCCCAAGTTAATGTCATATGTTAAAAATAATAATCCTTTCTTTATATTTTTCTTTAAAAACATTATGAGAACGTAACTGATGCACATGGTGAAAAAATCAAGCAGAGCAAGAGAATGCGGAGTGAACAGTGAACACCTCACCGTGCCCCCCCGCCGCGCCCCCCCGCCGCGCCCCCCACGCCGTGTCCCCCCCACACCGCGCCCCCTCCGCCGCGCCTCCCCCCCGCCGCATCTCCCACCGCTGGGTCTCCCCCCACATCTCCTGAGGCAGCCCCTGTCCCTGTTCACTGGTTGACTTTAAAAAGCGAAGACGCAGCTCAGTGGCCGCCCAAGCACAGTGACTGCTCTTGAGACCTGAGTCGTTAAGAAAATGTTCAATTAGATTTAGTGTAATTATTTATCTTTCCAAGGAATTGAACAGTACTCTTTTACAAAGATTTATCTCCACAAAGGACTGTAGATAAAACGGTGTTCGTATGTAAGACGCTCCTCTTCCACCACGCAGAGCCCTTGGCCTGGACTCCCATGTGGGTTTCTCAGGCTGTCCAGGCCGAAGAAGCTTTCTGGGAGGGGAGGCTGTTCCTGTAGGGGGGAGGCTGGGCACTTTGCAGGTGCAAACACAGGAGGGCCCTGCGTGCTCGGGTTTGCACGGGTGGGTGCCCACCTGGTGGTGGGCTTCCTCCAAGCCCCCCTTTCTCCCAGCCCCAGCCTGAGAGCATCCGCTGGCCCTTTTGTCTGGACTCAGACCCTTCATGTGACATTTCTTGACCAGGCCCCTTGCCTCACGTGTGCTGTTCTTAGAAAATGATCTGAAATCAAATTAAATCAACCGTGGTGACTAGTCAGATTCTGCGGGGCCTCCTGGTGGGCACCGGCCCCCTCCCCTCCTGCCTCATAGACTCTGTGGCTCCCATTGGGTGGCACTGACTCCCTCAGGGCGCCCTGAAGCCAGGGCAGGAGCTCCTCTGCAGGCCAGGCTTTGTGGGGTACGTTCATGGCCTCTTCTCGATGGCCTCAGCAGCCTTAACCCGATTCCTTCCTTGTGTCTCTTGGGCTCTGGACTGTGGTTGATGCTGGTCAGCTCCCTCTGTCCCCCGTCCCTCCTCCCCTCTCCCTACCCCCAGGCTGTCAGTTTGTGAATGTCCCTTCGCCCTTACTCTGGGCCTCCATGGCCTCTGCGTTGACACCTGGACAGTGGAGGCTCTCAGGACCCTCTCCTCCAGCTTTTCAGTTTAAGGATGTGATGTTTCTCTCTCCCTACAAAACCTTCCATGAGTCCCCATGTCTGACTGCACAAATCCCAATATAACTGCCCTCTGGAGCTGGGCCTTCCAGACAAGGCCAGCTTTATTTGCCTCTGGGGAAGACTCAGCAGGGCCTCATGGACGTGGTACAGAGCCCCCGAGGATGCCTGCTGAGAGGCCTGTGGACATGGACTCTTGGTCCAGCCGACCCACAAGGATACAGGCCTGTAGGTCACACAGGAGCTGAACGGGGCCCCTCCGCCACCCTCCCGAGGGCCTGACTGATCCTTCTTCTCTGCACAGCCCCCCAGGGCGTGCCATCTGCCAGGGCTCTGCCAGCCGTCGGGAAGCCGGCCTCTGTTCTGCTGGTGTTGAGTGGGGCCAGCTGAGAGTGGCTTGTGAGGGGCACCCACTTCCTCACAGTTTCTGACTCACAGCCATCTGCCCGAGGCCGGGCCGGTGGCTGAATGCTTAATGGGGAGTGTTTATGGGGAGATTAATCGGCTCTCTCTCTTTCTCCTTGTCTGTCTCTGTCTCTGTCTCTCGCTCCCCCATTTTCCTCCCCAGGGGGGCTTTCTCTGTGGTCCGACGCTGTGTCAAGCTCTGCACCGGCCATGAGTATGCAGCCAAGATCATCAACACCAAGAAGCTGTCAGCCAGAGGTAGGGCATGGGGAGTGTCCTGCGCAGCTGCTGTCAGGCTGGGGCAGGGGCTTTGGAGGCCGTGCCCTGTGGACTGGGCAGCAGGCCCCTCCCAGTCTTGGCCAGCACTTGGCCCACCCTGCCTGTGGCTCCATGCACAGATGCAGTGGGGTTCCTGGAGTGGAGGCTGTGGCAGAGGGAGGCACAGGAGTGTTGGGGACTTGAGGGCACCTCTGGCCTGGTGGGGCCCAGGCTGGTGGGGGTGCCAAGGGACCCTCAGACCCTTGGATGCACCTTTGTGCTCTGGTTAGGTTGTTCTCAGGGCCCACTTTCACCTCCCCATCCCGTGTATGGGGGTCTCTGCCCCCAGAGCTGGAGGGGAAGAGGTTCAAGGTGGCCAGGCCGCCATGGTGGTTGGGTGGTGTCATCTGCCCTGAGAGCCGTGGGCCAGATGAGAGCTCAGTGACAAAGTTTCAGGTGACCGGGCAGTGCTGCGGTTGGCCATCTGCCTTCTGACAGCAGAGTCCTGGCGTCATGGCCTACTGGGAGGTGACCTGGCAGTTTCCTAACTAACAGAGCCCAAGTCTTCTACATAGTGGCAGGGCACTCCGCCTGTCCTGGGAGGGCTTCTCAGACGTGCAGGGTGTGTGCGAGGAAGGGCCTTGAGTGGTGCTGGCCCCAAGTGGCCCTCAGCATGTGGATATGCCCCATCACGGGCCTCCAGAGCCCTGCTGGCAATGATCAGCTCTGGGCACTGCAGGCAGTGATGGAGCAGACAGGCTCCTGCCCTCACGGGGTCTCCCTGCCCTCACGGGGTCTCCCTGCCCTTGTGGGGTCTCCCTGTCCTTGTGCTGTCCTTGTCCTGTGGGGCAGGTCGAGGACAAACAAAACCCAAAATCAGCACACAGCAAATCTGATGATGATGGGCAGAGGCCTCCCGGGGCAGCTGCTGTGGTTGGAGCACAGATCTGAGGAGGTGGTGGGGAGGGACTATGGCAGGGGTCCTGCTGGAGCCCCAAGGTGGGGTGTGCCAGAGCGCCAGGTGGGGCTGTGGAGGTGGGTGCAGGAAGGGTGGGCTGCCTCACTGAGGTGGCAGCCCCATGTCACTGCCCCGTATGGTGGGGTTCCATGGAGGAGGGGCTGGCCGGATGATGCCCTGGTAGAGGGAGCCAAGCGAAGCCCCTGTCTGCCTCTCTGAGCCCCTCCCCTCCCAGGGCACCACCAGCAGCCTTGATTAGCATCCAGGCACAAATCTGAGCTAATTGGGAGCTGGAGAGGCCCTGACCCATCTGGCCAGGCTGCCAGATGCTGAGGGCCTAATGTGGGCAGAGACGGGCCTCCTCTGGGTTGGTGGGAGAGCTGCCTACTGTCTGTGGCCTGCAGTTTACAGTGATCCAGCCACCTGTGGGGGCGGGCCTGTGCCATTTGTGGAGCGATGTGTCGGCGTTGTTTGAGCGACTGCTGTGTATTAGGCCATCAGTGTTTCCCCTTCTTGGGAGCATTCCCTGACACCAGGCTGTGGGGAGGTCCTTTAGGCTGCAGTGGGACCTGCTCCTGTCCCAGCCCTTGTCTGCCTCCTCGTCACTGAGCCACGAAGGGGCTTGGCGGTGCCCAGGGCTGGGTCAGTCCCCATGTGTGTGTCCCAGCCCACGAGGGGCCATGGGAGGGTGACACTGCAGAGGGTTCAGCAGGGACACTGAGGAGTGGGCTGGGGCAGCTCCAGAGGCATGCGCTCCCAACCATTCTCCACACATTGCGGGGGCCTGGGTGTCCCTTCTGCCCTGTGACTGCACAGCTGGAAGTGGGCCGCCTGCTGGTCAGCTCTTTTGGCCCCCTGGGGCCCAGCCCGTGGTGGGGTGGGTGGGCCAGGCTGTGTTCCAGGACCTAGGGCAGTCAGCTTGTTTTTTCTTGATCAAGACAGAGAACTGGTCATAAGTGGGCGGTGCTCAGTTGTGCCTGTGGCCAGTTCCTGTGGGTCTCTGGGTGACATCCCTGAGGCCTGGACACTCCCTGCCTGTCACAGGGTGCCATGGAGAGGAGGTCTATGTGTGCGTGAGCGTACCTGTGCATGTTCACACACGTGTCTACGTGCACATGCATGTGTAGGTGCATGTGTGGAGCATGGTAGAGCCTCTGGAATGGGACTGTCTGGCCCTCCGGCAGTTAGGCTGGGACCAGCCCAGGATGAGCTGGGAGAATGAGAGGTCCTTCTGGTTCCTGCTTGGGAAGATGCTTCAGGTTCCCAAGGGGCCTGGAGTGAGGCAGGTGGGGGTCCTGGAGGTGGCCCCTGGCCGGGAGAGCAGTGGGCAGAGCTGAAGGCCACTTGCTCCAAGGGTCAGCTTCGATGAGCTCTGGGGTGTTTGGACAAGCAGGTGGGAGGAGGAGGGAGTGGCCTCTGTAACCAGGATTTCAGTCCAGACTCAGGAGGGATGTCCAGTAAGGCTCCAGAGACTGAGCCGTGTGGTTGAGAGCCTGAGTGTGTCATTATGGGTGTGACCAAGGGTGATTGGGGTGCTGGGGGGCAGATGTCGCCGGGAGCAGAGGGCAGGAAGCTGCTGATGCCGAGAGGCCTGGCCAGGGTCCTGGGGTGTCTGCTGAGTGCACAGACCCTGAGTGGGCTGCCATACCGGGACCACAGGATCCGAGCTGCCTCTGCTGTCCTGCAAAGCTGTGCCGCTGGGAGTCGTGGGTCAGTGTGGTCATCTGCGGTGGCCAGATTTTCTCCGTGACCACCCAGGGACTGCTGCTGGCTTGAGCCCAGGCACGGGGATGATCAAGTGTGGGCCACAGCCTGCTGTCCTCCTGGCCCCAGGGAGCAGCTCATATGTCCCGTGGCTGCCCCATCATGGATGAAGACCCACAAGTGTCTGGTGGCCCCGCTGGACCCTGAGTCCTGGCACTGCCCAGTGCAGCCTTTCTCTAGCAGGCTTGAAACTGAGACCTGAAGAGATGCCAGGCCCAGCTCAGGTCCCACGGCCACCCTGCGATGACAGCAGTCATGTTAAAGCCAGCGCCTCCCGCGTGGTTGCTGTGTGCACGGCTTGGTGAGCCCAGGAGGCTTCTGTGTTCCCTGACGTTCTGTGGCTGGCACTGGTGGAGGCACTAGAGTGAAATGTTCTGGGGGTGGGGGGAGTATCACCCAGCACAAAGGTGGGGTCCCTAAGCCAGGAAGAGCAGGAACCTCAAACACTTCATGTTGGAGCCTTCCAGGCACCCCCTTCCCCTCATCCCTCTCCTGGTTTTATGCTCATCCCTGCCTCGTTTCTCTGTTGTTTTGCCACATGGGCGTTTCACCTGCTTGTGTCTGAGCCTGAAAGTGGAGTTGCGCTGCCGCTGTGACCTGTCTTGTGCTCGGGTGATGTTCTGGGGTGTGTCTGTGGGATGGATCCCTTCCCACTGCTGTGTGATGTTCTGTTGAACGAAGGCTGCTACTTTTCTGGCTGTAGCTAATTCCTGATGACGTTGGCAGAGCCACTGAGACCCCACACTCAGGAGAAGCTCCGTGACATGTGTCAGTGAATTGAGTTTGGCAAAAATGTTGCTTGCTGGTCAACTTGGTGTTTTAAAAGCCTGTGCAAATTTATTAGCTTAGGAAACCAGAATCCATAGCTGGCTGTCTCCCTCCTGCTTTTCCATCTGTCCGTGAAGGTCAGCAGCCACCCCCACCCACCTCGGGCCCTTCCTTATCAGGGGCCTCCAAAGCCTTGTCCACCTAGACCCACAGCTCTGACATGCACTTCCCAGGGCCATACGTGTGAGGTAGCACCACCTCGTGCCCTGTGGCCTGGTGACATATGTGTGTAGTGTGGCCCCTCTCTCCACAGATTGAGACCCGTGGGGCCTTCCCTCCCTCCTGGATACCAGGCCCACACCTGTGGGCCCATGCAGGGCAGCACAGTGCTGCCAGCCTCTCCTTTGGGATCACTTTGTCTCTGCCTGCTTCTCCTCGGCCAGGGACCATGGGGCATGTCAGACCCAGGGCTTCCTGGCCCCTCTGCACATTCTGTCTCGTTCCTCAATTGTGCGAGACCTCGGGAGGAGGAGAGAGGAACCCCTTTAGACACACCCTAGACATAGACTCTCACTCATGTAACAGGTTTACACGGAGGACACAGAGATGAGCAGATACACCCTGAAACCAGCAGCTACGACGCTGTGTGCTGGGTGGGGCCTGGGAGAGGCAGTCCTGAGGCAGTCCTAAAAGTGGAGTTGCGCTGCCACTGACCTGTCTTGTGCTCGTTCACTCCAAAAGTTGTGTTGCATGGGCGTTGAGGGATGAGTAGGAGTTTGTTAGGGTCAAGCAGAAAACTACCCGAGTATGTTTTTGTGGAATTACATAGCTCCTCTAAATTAACCTCACAACCCCTATTTATATTCTCAAAGTGCTCTATGAGTCAGAAGGATTTAGGGTAGTGGGAATCTGAGTGAGAGGATGGCTGCGCCCTGGAGACCCTGCTGACCACACAAGCTGCAGAGCTGAGCTGCTTTGTGTTGCCCTGTGGCTCATCACAGGCCTTGCTCCCAGGTGCTTGTGCCTCTCAAGCTGTATGCCTAGCCTGTTTACTCATTCGATGCAAGCTGGGTAGGGTGGTGGGAGGAAGGGGTAGCCAGCCAGGGGGCTGCCTGGCATTCTCAGCAGCCAGCTCCCTGCTGTGACCTTCCCGCAGGATGCCTCTCTGGGCAGGGGCAGGGATACCCAGCCGTGTGTGGCTCCAGAGGGCAGGCCGACCCCTTTCTGCTTTGCCTCGAGTTGTACACAGGCCCTCCGCCCAGGGCTGCACAGCCTCACCCTGCCATTTTCTTGGGCATTTTTTTCCTATTTAACTTTTTATGGTGGAAAATTTCAAACACTCCCAAATACAGAGAAAATGATAGAACGAACCCAGCTTCAACAGTTATCAATTCTTAGCCAGTCTTGTTCCATCTGGGCCCCAGACCCTGGGATGTTTACCATTCAGTGCATAAATATCTCAGCATGCATCCCTAGCAGAAAAGGGTTCCAAAAACAGCCACAGGAGCTTTATCATTCTGAAAAATGGACAGTAATTCCTTGATACCATCTCATATGCAGCCTGTGTTTGTGTTTCTAATGATTCAGAGGTTTCCTCAGAATTGAACCTTTGGGTCACACGGCCCTGCACAATTGGGTTGTCTGCCCTTGGTGCTTGAGTCCTGCTCCTGGGTAGCATCCCTGAGGTGTGCAGTTCACACCCCGGGGGCCCCGCTGTAGCCACACAGCATAGATCACAGTGGAGCCTCAGAACTCTTGATGAGGGAGCTGGCCCTACCACCCCGGCTTTGAGGGAACCTCATCCCCTTGGAGTTGAAATCTGGGTCTCCAGAAAATGACCCAGACAGAGCTGGCCTTGCCCAGATGCTGTGGGTGTTGCTTTGGTGTCCCCTCTCCTGCCCCCAGCCTGCCTCTTGGGGTGGGCGGTGACAGCGCTGGACGGTCTGCTGAGACCGTAGAGGAAGGATGCTTGGCACTTCCTCCTGGCCCTCTTCTGCAGGCAGAATCCTGCACTCACCACCCATCTCAGTCTGGGTGCTCTGTCCTGTGGCCTCTGCTGCCCTGGGCTGCCTCCCCCATGCGGGGACCTGAGGTTCCCCAACCCTCCCAGGCCCTTTGGGCTTTCCTAGCTGAGGAGGAATGGGGGAGGTGAGGGATGGGGTCTTGGATGGAGCCCCAGAGCTTCACTGTGGGACACGCACCTCCAGGTGAATGTCCTGCTTCAACCCTGACTGCCCAGCTGTCTGACCGTGGCCAGGTTACTCAGTCATCCTAGACCTCAGTTTCCCCAGCTGTAAAGTATCTACCTCACAGGGATGTTGCAAAGCTCTGAGACCATCCCTCTCCACATCGCTGCCTCCCTTCCTGGCCAGACCCTCTGCGTCCTGCTGCGGAGGACCCCTCGTGAATACCCAGTAGCTTTCTGGTGTCGTCTGGCCCACCCAACCTGCAGGCCCCAGGGCCCCCTCCTCCATGAAGCTGTCCTGGATCGTCCCACGGGCAGCCTGCCACCCTGCCTGGAACTCCCCAGGCCCCATGGCAGGCGCCCCTGGCTGTTTCTCAACTGACCATGTGCTCCTTGAGGGCAGATGCAGCTGGTTCATCTGATGGCCTCCTGGCTCCCAGCCCAGAGCCTGTGAAAACGTGGGAGAGCATAACACCCTTCCTAACCAGGGGCTGGGCCCAGGCTCTGCCTGGGTGTCTGGCTCTCTCCTTCCCATCGTGGTGGGGCAGGGGCTTCCCCAAAATGGCCTTCCCCACTGCTATTCAGGGAGGTAGAGGATGGAGAGGGGACCCAGAGAGCAATGGCCTTCCCCCCTGCTATTCAGGGAGGTGGGGGATGGAGAGGGGACCCAGAGAGCAATGGCCTTCCCCCCTGCTATTCAGGGAGGTGGGGGATGGGGAGGGGACCCAGAGAGCAAGGGTTGGTGGGGGAGAAGGATTCTGGGCCCTTGGGCCTTGTGGGGGAGGCTCCAGCAGCCTCCCCGGCTGCATTTCACCCCTGATTTGGGTCTAGCGCCAGTGGAGGGGCCTCGCTCACTCCTTGAGAGTCACTAGGAGTGCTGTGTCCCCACACTCACTCATGTCCGGGCCCGAGCAGGGCGGCCTTGGTCCTTCAAGGCTCCTGGTGATGAGAAGCGGCTGGTAGCATGCAGCTCCAGGAAGGAGGATGCCACTCCAGAAACACTCAGGCCCCCACTTACCGAAATACTCGGCCACGCGGACACTGCAGAACTGCACCAGCTGGTGCCAAAGCTGTAACAGTTCGATTTTTTAATATTTAATACTTAATTAAATGGAGGATTGTGAGACATTCAAAGTTGGTGAATGTACTGAATAATGAGAGATTATTAAACTACTGTTAACAAAAGCAGTTAGAGGAAATTAATTGACGGGGGTAAAGAGATCATTAGGCACACAAGTCTTAAAACATGTCTTGTTGTTATCTACCCCCTACCCCAACCCCCCGCCCGCTTGCCCAGCCCCTGCTGCTCATTGTCCACAATGAACGGCTGTTCTTTTGGGGACAGTTTTGTTGTGCCTTGTTGGACGCCCTGTGTAGAGGGAAGCGTGCGTAGGAAGCAGTGCAGCGGGGTGACCCTGGTTAGCGGCCCATGCTGTGGAGAGCCTGGTGCAGGGTCCGTGCCCTGGAATGGCCCTTCAGCTCAGGGTGGAGCTCCTGGCATCATCGACGCTGTCTCATGTCCTCCCACCCTCTGAGCTGAGCGTGGGCTCCCCTTTCACATGGGGGGAAAGCTGAGTCCCGAAGAAGCTGAGAGGTGGACGGGGTCCCCTAGCTGGTGGTTAGCAGAGCCGGGATGTGGAGGACTCTAGATTTCACCCAGCTGAGGCAGGCCGAGGGTTCGGCCAGCGTGGGGCTCCCAGGTGGGGCTGACCTCACAAGTGGGGCTCACCTCCCAGGCCCGAGGCTCACCCCACAGAGAGATCAGTATCACCACTGTCCTCTTCCTGCCTGCAGGCCCATGCGCAGCTCACCCCAGCTCCCTTTCTGGGGCACCTGGTCTCCCCAGGGACCCTTCTGTCTTGGGGGGACACTCCCTGCCCAAAGGCATGATGGACAGGGACCATCTTGAGGTCTCTGATCATTGGGGCTGGGGCTGAGCCCGCACCCCAGGGAAGCCTGCACGCCCCCCCTTTCCCCAGCCAGAAGCCTGCCTGCCTGGGACCCCTTTGTGCAGTGGGTGGCGGGGGGGTGCTGCCTCCGGGGCTTTCCTACTGCAGCCGGTACTGCAGTTTTCTTGTGGCTCCCGCGCAATCCACAGCCAGAAAACGACCCCTGCTCAGGGGGATAATGAGTGCCTGGTCGGCAGAATCCGCGGAACTGGGTTAATAGAGGACAAGGCGCCGCATTGCAGGGACAGCTGAGCATGCGCCTGTGGCAGCAGCACCCCTCCCAGCCCAGGGACCCTCCCCTCCCAGCCTGGAGACCCGCCCCTTTCCCTCCTCCCCGGCTCAGGGGCCCTGCCCTCCTCTCTTCTCCCCTCCCCCTGCCCCTCTTTCCCCTCTGGCTTCTCTCCCCACCTCCTCCCTGCTGGGAGACCTCCTCTGCTTCCCTACCCTAACCTCCCTGGGTGGCTTCCAGCCTGAGGGAACAGCTTTAGAGCTTGGACCCCCACCGAACTCTTGGCCCACTCTGCCTTTAAGTTTGCTCTCTAGGGATTTGGAGGGTGGCCAGGAATTGGGGGAATCCCTGGGAAACGCCCCCTCCCCTGCCCCAGGGTCAGCCTTCAACAGGATGGGGATGGTCCCTGAATTGGGATTATGGGGAAGGGACCCTGCATCCAGGTACAGAAGGAGTTAGGGGAGCTGGGAGGCAGGCCTTCTGGGGGCTCAGTGGGGGCACCGCATGCCTGCCCCTCCCAGGGGGAGGGCCACCTAGGAGCAATGAAGGAACGAGGCTAGGCTGCTGGATTTAGCAGTTAAGTATGATTTACAATCAAAAGATGTAAAATAAGCACTGTGTGTCCCAAATTGCGTGGGACACACTTACTTAAACTAAAAATTATTTGTTGTGTATCTGAAATTGAGACAAACTTATACCGAAAACAAATTTTGTCCTTTGTCATTTAACTGGGCACCCTGTGTTTTATCTGGCAATGCTCAGCCAGACTGTTAAGAGACAGGACTTTGTCATTACTTTGGAAACTGAATTGGTTTAATCGAAGGCTTCTAGAAAGCGGCCCTGAAGAGGACCAGGAGAACAGGGAGCCGGGCTGCGCGGAGGGTGCTGGCCCTTGCTGGCCCCATCTGTCAGGTGGAGAAAGGGTGGGCAGCATCATGACCTCCTGCTCTCTGGTTCTGGGTGTGGCCCTGTGTAGACACCGAGTCCCAAAACCTGCCGGTCAGGGTCCAATGCCAGGTTCCTGAGCCTCCATGACCCCTGGGGAAGACAAATGCATCCTGAACTGGATGCAGGAGCAGGGCCCACCCTGTTGGCATTTGGAGGGGGTGAGGGAGGAACCCCTGAGCCAGGGAAGGGAGGGAGGGGAGGGGAGGAGTTGTCACGGAGGACCCCTTTGCGTCCTTCCGCATTTCCAGCCACTCATCTTGCAGGGTCAGGGGCTTGTCAGTGGCAGAAAAGGCTCCCGGCAGAGGGGAGACCTGGGAGCTGGGTTCTGGCCCCTAAAGACCATCGCCTCCCTGCCTCACTCCTCTTTTCTGTAAAATAGATGGAGGGTTGCCCTCCATGCTGCCTGGCTTTTCTAGCACTGACAGTTCCCACATCTGGTGGGATCCTTACTTCCAGGCTCTGCCGGTTCCAGGAGGTGAGTGAGGATTGGGGAGATGGCTGAACCCACAGCCTGTGGGCCCAAGGTTTGAAGACCTGGTTCTGCCAGTGTGGGCACAGCCCCCTCCCCTGGTCCTTCCTGCTCACCGCCCCTTGCTCCCTCCAGGCCACCCGCCAGCAGACTGTAGGCCCAGCAAGGGCAGGCCTCCTGCTTTGCACATAGTACCTCCTTAATAAACAGAGTTGAACAGGTGGGAGGAGAAGAGTGTTTTGAAGATTCCACTTAAGGACTGAGCTGGTTGGGGAGTGGTAGTGACCACCGATGGAAGGAGAAGGGGATTCGGAGTGCCCAGGTGCCCGGGACGACTTGGGCAGGAGCGGGGAAGCCCGAAAGGTGCGGGTTTGAGGCCTGGGTGGGAACCGAGCTTGGGAATGGCAGAGCTTTGGTCTCTGTTGTGCTGGTCTGGCTGCTGATGGGAAAGTCTGGAGAGCTGGAGATCCAGGGCAAAGCTCGAGGGGGAACAGCTGCAGGGAGCCCTGGAAGGTCCTGGGGGCCCTGGTTGTGTGTCTCCCCTGTGGGCAGCCACGGTCCTCTGTCCCCAGGGCCAGAAGCTGCAGTCCTGTGACAGGTCTGCACAGCGGCTCTGAGGTCACGATGTTTCCATTGTCTGCATGTCACCTGGGGGAGCCCCGACTCCAGCTCGGTGTGGAGTGATTAGCCTACAGAAGGTCATGGAGGGTTTATTGAGGTTATTGGGGGTTAGAAGAGCCCCGTGGGTGAATGTGAGGGCCTCAGCCTCTCCTGCTGGGGAGGGCGGATGTGTGCAGATGCTCTCATCCGGAGGTGGTAGGGGGCATTCTGGAAAGGGCCTGATAGCAGTGTGCGGGACTGCTGGCCACTTGCTTCTGTTGCACAGTCCTCTCTGTTCTTTCTCCTCAATACCTTAAAAAATGTGGCAGTGCTTGCCCCGGACTGTGCTCCCTGGCCTCGGGCTGTGCTCCCTGGCCTTGGGCCTCGGGCTGGGTTGGGTCCCCAGGCATCTGCTCAGGGATGAGTGGGAACCTCCGGGCAGCTGTCCACTCTCTGAAAAGGACAAAAAGGACATGGACAGAGTTGGGGGCAGAGGATGAGGCTGGACATAAGGCCACAGTGGTCAAGAGTGCAGCCCTGGAGTCTGGGCCTTATTTTTGAGAGTAGGACCCTGACAGGGTGGGTCCTGCACCCCCAGGGGCTGGCCTGAGCCAGTGTCCCGGCTGTCTCCGGAGGAAGCCAAGCTGGTGTCTATGGAGAGATGGGCTTTGGTGGGACGTGTATGTGTCGGGGGTGGGGGGACCCCAGGTGGAGGACCCATCGCACCAGGGCTGGGAGGGATGGCCTAGCAAGCCCCTCCTGTCACTGTGCCTGCCCTGTGGGGGGCCACCGTTGTTTTCCTAGACTGGAGAGTCTAGGCACCTTGGTTTAAATCTCCTCCTACTCACCCGATTTGTGAGCACGGGAGTCCTGTCCTGGGGTTACGGGGATGACTGAACACAAGACACCCAGCACTGGATGGATGAGTGGATGACATTTTATTGTCACATATACTCAGAGCCCAGAGAGGAGGATACTGCACTCAGGACACAGTGAACAGGCAGGGGCTGGGGAGGCAGGCTTTGGAGTAACAACGAGGTGAGGTGGCCCCTGGTTCCCACCAGAGGCAGTTTCGGCTGGTTTGAATAATTCCATGGGTTGGCAGAGAGCTGCATCTCACTACTCAGGCATAAGCAGGAGCTGTGCCCAGTCCTTGTGGGGAGGACGCTTGCCTGGGTGGGTACTTAGCCACAGCAGCAGAGTCCGGTGGGGGACATGAAGCTAGGCTGTTCAGGGCCTTCCTGGTTTCACTGGGTGTCAAGGTAGCACGTAATGTTGTTGGCTTTAACTTTAGGCCTTAAACCATAGCCCTGCACAAAATGCCACAGCATGGCAGTGACAGGGAAGGAATTCCAAGCCACACCTCCGTTTCAAAGCTGAGCTGCACCCCGCAAGCTGGAGGATGGTTCTGATCCTGAAAAGGGCACTGGGAATGGGGCCCCAGCTGAAAGGCCAAGTGGACCCCATGGAGGGAAGATGCTGTGGACCCCCCAGTGTGTAGCCTGGAAGTGGCCCTACTGCAGCCACTGGCCTGGCCTGGGCTCCCAGAATGGCTATGTTCATCCCCATATGGCTGGCAAATAGTGACGAGGCCCTCGGCTCCAGCTCCGTCATGCATGTTCATGCAGAGGGGCAGGGTGCTGCCGACATGGTTGCCAGGGTCCCTGGGAGCCCTGACCTTGAGGCAGCAGGCAGCTGCAGGATGTGTCCACAGGTGCTTCTTGCGGGTGGTGGAGCTGCTGGCGGGTTAATTGCTGGTTGTCGTGTTGCCTTTTAAAAACAAAACATGCACAGAAAGCCACAGCAAGAGCCGCCCTCTTGCATCTTCATCACAGGGCTCAGCCTCCCGGGGCTGCCCAGGCCTGACTGGATCACTTGGGACCCCAAGAGGTGCTGGGTGCCCAGGAGGAGAGGGGTGTCTGCCTCCACCGCCTACCCCCTTCGACACCACCTCACCTTTTCTGGTAGACTTGTGCTGCCCTCAGAGGATCCTGACCTGGCCCCCAGACCTTGGGCCGGGGTTATTCCTGCCTCAGACCTACCACTGGGCTCCCCAAGTCCTCGCTGCCCACCCCCCCAATTCCCCGCCCCAGATCTCCAGAGGGAGAGCAGGCTTGTCCAGCCCACTATGGCAGCATCTGAAGGGCTCCGAGAAGTCCCGCCGGAAAGAAAATGAAGAGGGGGCTGCTCCCGAGGCTCCAAGTGGGGCCTCCTGTGACGGGGTCCAGCTCCACTTCTACCCAGTCTCCTTGCTCCCATGCCCCCATCTGAAAGCTGGGGTGACGCAGCAACAGCCCTGTTTCATGGGTGCCATGAGCAGCTCACAGGCCTGCCCAGAGCCAGTCCTCAGCACACAGAAGTCACTACCCTGAAGGGACTCATAGGGTCATTCTCAAGGAGCAGTTTTCCTTTTAGGAGGAATGGCCGGGACCTGCCCATGGCCTCCTTTCAGCCCCTAAACCGGCCTGCACCCTGAGACTGGATGGGCAGTCCCTGCCGCATGGCCCAAGCTGACTTTGGGGTCAGGACTGGTTCTACTTCACATTTACCAGCCAGGGAGGAGAGTCAGAGGAGAGGGGCTGCTGGAAGCCACTCCTTCGTCCCCACCCAGCTGCCCAATCTGGTCTCAAATAAATCCAAGGTCAGTGCTACCAAGGGACTTGCTGGCAGCCCAGGTTGGCAAGTGCTGGCCCCAAGATGTGAGCTGGCCTCTGCCTGCCCCACCCCACAGCCAATGCCCACTTTTCTGTCACCAGAGTCTGTAGGAGCCAGCCAGGTCATGGCCAAACAGAATTAAAGACCAGACCCCACTGGCCTGGTGTCAAGGCCCAGGATGTCCTATCAGGTTCTGGCCGAGCTGCTCAGTGCCACACAGGGCTGCGCTTGGCTCCCAAGTACTCTGTCACTAGTGTGCGAGCGCAGTCAAGTTTAGCCTTGAAGTGAATTGGGACGCTTGAGTTAAGTGTGTTGGTACCAGGCAGGGTGCAGAGTGTGCCTGGCTGGTGTTTGATGTGGATGTTGGCGAGCTGTTTAAGAGTCTAGAGGGCCAGATGGTGGCTCATGCCTGTAATCCCAGCACTTTGGGAGGCTGAGGTGGGCGGATCAACTGAGGTCAGGAGTTCAAGACCAGCCTGGCCGACATGGTGAAACCCTGTCTCTACTAAAAATACAAAAATTAGCCAGGTGTGATGGCGCATACCTGTAATCCCAGCTACTGGAGAGGCTGACATGGGAGAATCACTTGAACCCGGGAGGTGGAGTTTGCAGTGAACCAAGATCATGCCCCTGTACTCTAGCCTGGGTGACAGAGAGAGACTCCATCAAAAAAAAGAAAAGAAAAGAAAAAGTCTAGAAAGTTCTCTCATGCCTGTGATGGTGCAGGTCGCTGAGACAGGTGTGCAGGTCACCTGGGGCTGATGGGTCTTGCCAATGTACTGACAGTGCAGGGAGGGGCTGCTGACCCCACCAAGGTCCAGAGTATTGGACAGATGTGTGCCCAGCTCTGTGGGGATGGGGGGTGGCTTTGGGGGCCCCTCTGTGCTGTGGCCCTCAAAGTGTCCTCTGGACAGGAACAGCGCTACTTGACAGGGCATCTCCTGAATCCATTTCATGGGAGGAAACTGAGGCCCCCGAGTGGGATTTGGATGCAGCCAGTTTCCTGGCCCAGGCCTTGGTGGCGTGCCACATCCCATAGCAGGCCCCTGCGTAGGGCCTGAGTTCTGGAGCATGGCGCTGACATCACAGCACCTTCAGCCAGACAGCCTCAGGCTTGGGTCAGAGCCCTGAGTCTGGTGTCCTTGCCACCCTAGTCCAGCGCACAGGTGGACCACCTGTCTTGATGTTGGTCTGTGGATTAGCCTGGAGGAGCAGAGCCCCAGGTAGCCCCAGCCCTGAGGAACCAGACGCTGGCACAGTACACAGCTTCTGGCCCATCCCTCCCCAGCCACTGCTTCCAGGCCAGGGCAGCTGGAGCAGAGCCCTTCTGCCATGTGCACCATCCCAGTGCCCTCCCCAGCTGGGCTGTGTGGTGGACAAGCAGAAGGGATTGTCCTTGAGGATCTCCTCCCAGGCATGAGGAAATGGGTGGAGAGCGCTGGTGCTAGTGGGGGGCCCCCAGTGATGGGCCCATGGGGGGTCTGGCAACCTCCCTCGGGGTGAGGCAGAGCTGCCTGGAATGGGGGGGGGGTACGTTCTTGAGCACCCACCCTGTGTCAGGCCCGTGTGGATTTCCACACACGATTCCATTTTCAGTCCAGCACAGTCCTGGGGCCAGATACCATTATTACAGCCATCTTCCAGATGAGGCCCAGGGAAGTGCCATCCCTTGTCCCAGGCCACGTGGTGGGCAGGACTCATGGCACCTAGGGAGCCCCACCCCTCAGCCCTCAGACCCTGGTGGCAGTGGTCCCAGGTGGCCCCAGCTGCATCCCCCAGCCAGCACAGAGCTTACCCGTTGGGCCTCCTCTCGGTCTCTGGGTCTGACAACTCCAGAGGCCCTTGGGCGAGAGGGGGAGGCAGCCCCTCCTGACACAGGTGGGCCTTGTGCCTCCCCCTCCTGCCCCTCCGCCGCCCCCGCCCAGTGCCCTGCAGTGTCCTCCTGGAGGTGCCAGCTCTGCTGTTTCTCCTGGTGGCTGGCGGGGGGCCCGGTGCCCACCCACGCCCTCCTGTTCCCCTTATCCCTGGTTCCTCTCACTCACCACCCCCCACCCCCTGCTGTGAGTCACCCACTGCCAGGGAGGAGGAGGGGCTGGGAGGGTGGAGGATGGCATAGGGGGCCTGGGTGGGCAGAGAAGCCTCTGCCAGCTCCATCCCGGACCCCTTCTTGGCTCTGGAGAAAGAAAGAGGAAATTATGGGAGCGAACATCAACGATTTACCAAACCATGTAACCTTAACTTGTCCTGTAAGACCCTCCTTCCCCCGCGGGGGGCACTGGTCGCACCATGGCCTCTGGGTGCTGTCCACTTGGGACACGAGGGGTCCCCGGAGCCATGCACAAGTGCGCCTTTGGGATGTTGAAGGCTACCCTGCCCCCACCAGGCCCCCAGCCTTGCCCTTTCAGCCCTGGCAGCTTTGAGCTCCTCTCTGTGCCTCAGTTTCCTCATCTTTGCCCTGTGCCTCACCCTGCAGATGCAGCAGGGTTGGTGTGAATGTCCTTCCCGTCAGCTCCATCTCTTCCATCGCCCTCAGCTGGCTTCTCTTTGTTCTTAGCTCAGGGGACCCTACAGCTCCCATGCTGATGAGGGTGGCGTGGCAGGAGGGGAGGAGCTCCCTCCACACCAGGAGAGGTTTGCAGTCTCTCCCCCACCACTCCTGGTCTTTCCGGGCATTTTTGGAATGAAATAGGTTAATGCCTGTAATGTGCCCAGAACAGACGGTGCCTGGCATGTGGCAGGTGCTCCAGGATGGGTCACGTGGCTGTGCCCATGTCCCGGTCCTGTCTCTTCCTGCACTTGGCTGTGGGCACCTTGAGGTGGCCCCTGCCCTGTCACCTTCATGGTGGTGGGTGCCAGCTGCCAACCCACCAGCACAGTAACAGCTTGGAGGAGCCCCCACTCCCCTACCCCATCCCTCAGAGCTCCATGCCAAGGCTTCGGGGGTCCTGTGGATCTGGGAATGGCTGCTGGTGGAGGACCTGTGGTCCCTGCTCCTGAGAGGCTGGACATCTAGGCAAGCATAACCCGACCTTGTCTTTCCCCATGAGCATGAGTGGTTTGCTTTGTTTGGGCCTCTGCAGGCAGGTAACCCAGACCAGCTGGGCTCTCAGTGTTTTGGAGAAGGCTGTGGGGTGAGGGAGGAGGGGAACCTTGTCACCTGGGCCCTTGAGCCCCTCCTGGTACTGGCGTGGCGTTGTCTCCCCTTCCTCTGTGATGTCGGCCTTGCTGCCCCCACAGCCAGCATCTGCAGGCTGTAAATATCAGATTCTGCATTGAGCAGAGGCTGCAGCCACCAGGCAGGCACCACCCACCAGCTCAGAGAGCAGCAGGGAAGGCAGACCAAATGGCATATCACAGAGAGCCCCTGCGCTTCAGCGAGAGGCCTTGGCTTTGGGTCCCAGCCCAGCAGCCTGCCCTGCGCAGTCCAGGGCGTCTTCGGCGTCCTGGGATGTGTGCGGGAGCGGGTGAGAAGCCTGCTGTAAGATGAGCTCAGCGTGGCTGTGCAGGGCTCGGCTGGGGGTGCTTCTCTTCCCTGTCTTTCAGTGGCCCCCAGCCTGCCTGTGCCTCAGCACTTGGCCCTACCTGTTGTGCGGACCTCGGGGGACACCCAGGTGCAGGTTTGGCAGGATGAATGGCCGGCAGGCCAGGGCTCTGTGCAGAGATTGTAGCCAAATCACCTAGAAAAGCTCCCAGGGCTCGGCATTCCCCGAGGGCTGGAATCTGAGGATGTCGCACTATCATTAGAATTAAGCAGGCAGGCGGATAATTGCAGGCTCCGGTTTAGCCTGATCTTTTTGAGGGCAATTGTTTATGGGGTTTTTTGTTGTTGTTGTTTTGGGGGTTTTTTGATAAATGCTTTTATGGGGGTATAAATGAATGCTGTATTTGATCTGTGGGATGTTTCTCTGGTAGAAGAAATAAATAGCAATGCTTTTGCCAGCGTCTCTCTTAGCCACCCCCTTGGGGAGCAGGTGTGTAAATGTGTACACACGTGTGCGCATGTGTAGAATTGCATCCACACTGAATGGGCCAGTCACCTTCTGGCTTAAATACAGGCCCACACACATACGCCCTTGCCTCCGTTTAGGGTGCAGATTTGCAAGATGCCCAAGCATTTAGGAGCTGGTTGAACTCATGAGTTCCCTCTCCAAGCTTCACATCAGAGCGGGTGTGAGAACCAAGTCTTTTTCCAGCATGAGTAGGCAAACTCCTACTCATCCTCTAAAACCCCACTGAAGCATCACCTCTTGAGTCTCCACAGGCAGAATCAGGGCCTGAGAGCACTCTGCTCATCACTCTGCTGTAACAAGGGGCACAGGCACTGCTGTCATTGGCTTTTTGTGCCCCAGGGACTGTCTGCCCTGGAACCCCAAGACCTTGGCCAGGGGTCTTGGGGTGGGAGAAGAAGAGGGAGGGCAAGAGGGCAGAGGGGTCTCCTCTTGATGGGGTGAGGTCCCCTGGAGGTCGGGAGGGGCTCAGCCTGCGTCCTCACTCCCCAGCTCCTGCCTTCTGTCCCACGGTCTATTTCAGAGGTTGTTCTTAGACTCCTTTAGGAAAACTCAGCATCACAGGGAACTGCAGTTCCCGGAGCCAGTGTGCACGTAGAGGTGCCGTGAGCCTGAGCCTGAGCCTGACATTGGCCGACGGGGAGAGGGGATTCAGCACCTTCTGAGGAGTTGACCAGGCACCGGCTGTTGGATGGGGTGGGTTCTTGGGGTTTCTTTGTCATTGGATTCACAACCTGCAGAGGTGTGGCACCTCTTCTGTGACTTCTGTGACACTGCCTGGCCCTGACAAGGACATCACCGTAGTGGGCATAGCCAGGGCTGGCCACTCAGGAGGCCTCTTGGGACCTCCTTCAGGAAGGGGTGCCCCGCGGGGGTCCTGGGGGCATTGATGGGGCCCTGGGCAGGTAGGGAGCCGCTGTTGGCAGACTTCCGGCTGTGTTCTCGCCACAGGCCTGCTGGCCTCGGGACCTGCTCAGTGGCCACTGCTCTGGTCTCCTGAGTTCAGCAGGTTCCCTGGGGACCAGAACCCCCCAGAATGAGGCTGGCAGGGAGGGATGAGCAAGATATGGTTGCTCCACTGTCTGGGGCAGGGAATAAGACCGAGCTGGAGGTTCCTCCAGATTCCGCTGTACTGTTTAGGGCCAGGGCACATTTCTTATGCACTGGATTGGGTTCAATTTAACTTACTTAACCTTGTCCATGACAAGGGGTTTACGGTGTTAATGTGGAAGCCAAGAATAATGTCCCTGGTTTTGTGGAAAGAAAATCATAGTATGTCCACAGAGTTAGGAAGCTGGATTCTGGCCTGCCCTGAGATGGGGCTGTCTGAGCCAGGTGGAGAGAGAACGCCTCTTCCTTGTGCCCCCTCCTTCTTGTGGCTTCTCAGTCCTATCCAGAGTCACATTATATCTGCTTAGATTTATTTTTTGCCCGAATTTTTAAAATTTAAGAGCAAATGCTACCATAGCAGATTTTATGAAACATCCTTGTCATATTGAATCAGTAGCTTGGTCACTGGAGACAGGATCAAAATCTTTTTTAAAAACAATGCTTTGCTAAATTATGGAAGTAACGCATGATCACTGTCAAAACTGGGGGAGGGGAAGTTAACGAATAAAACAACATTAGCCATAATCCTGCCACCGAGAGTGAAGCACTCGATACGACGTGTGTGTTTGTGTGTTACCAGCTTAGATCTTGTGTCATGGTTTATGGTTTCCAAGCGGCTCTCTGAGCTCTAACTTACTGCAGCTGCTGGGAGGAGGTGGTCGAGGTGCTGTTGTGGGTGTTACAGAAAGAGGACCAGTCAGCAACCTGTATGGCCACCATGAGTGGACACCTGGTGCCAGGACTGGACAGCCAGGTGCCCTTTCTTTACCCCACACAAATAATTATCTCCCTAAACACATGCTCAGGAATAGGTATCATTTTTGGGCTGGGGCTCAGCTCTTGGCGATGTTTCAGTAATGAAACACAGGCATATAAATTATCTGTGTCCCAGGAGAATGCGTTCATAATTGCATCTTTCTCCTGATTTGGATTTATGATTTTATTGATTTAACTCTAATCAGGCAATTTTTCAAAAGGAAACTACGTGCCCTGGTTCCACCGCATCTCCCTCCTAGGTCCTCCTTTCCCTCAGCCTGGCTCTGGCCCACACGTCCCGTGGCGATGTGTGGTCCTGGGCTTGGATCCTGTCCTGGGGAAAGATTAGCCATCAACTTTATTGGGACAAGTTGGAAAGGTGGAACGTGGATTGTAGCTTAGAGACATGAGTGTCATATCTGCATTCGATTTACTGAATCTGGGACCTGCACTGAGATTATGGAAGGGACACCCTCTCCTTATGAGACGCACCTGAGTGCTGCCTGGTGTTACACACGCGTCAGAAGAAGCGAGTGTGTTATATGGAAGCAGGGGCGGGGCAGGGAGATTGTACAGAAGTGCTGTACACGATTGCTCTGTACTGTTGTTGCAGTTTTTCTCTAAGTCTGAAAAATGTTCACAATCAGTTTAAGAAAGATACTAGGAAAGAAAACAATAACCCCGTGAACTCACCGTCCTGCACCCTGAGAGCCTCCCTCCTCCCACCCCAGAGGGATGGGGGTCAGGGGTGTTGCAAGAGTTGGTGCCCTGCTTTCCACTGGAGCCAGGCCTTGTGCATGGACCCCTCCCCTCCCCAGGTATGTCCAGTGTTGCTGGGTTTTGAGCTCCATGCAGATAGGGAAACGGAGCCCACACCATGTGTATTCTATTGTGACTATGTTTGATTTTTCCATTCTGATGCTGACAGACACTTGGGCTGGTTCCAGTTCCGCCATCACAAATCCCTGAGGCTCCTGGCACCTCAGCTCCCACTTCAGTGGGAGGGGAGAGGGGAGGGAGGGGGAGCAGGGACTGGAGTATTCTGGAAGACCGTGCAGTGCTTGCTGAGTTGGGTGTGCAGGTGGGAGAGGGAGCAGGTATGCCCTGGGCTTCCAGCAAAACAGCGGGATGGGGTCTGACTCCCTCCATGCCACCTGGAGGCTCTGCCAGATCCCTCTGAATCCCTCTCGTGGGATGCCAGGCGGCTGGGCTTGAAGCAGATGGCAGCCAGGTGGCCAGGGCAGGGAGACGAATGCCTGTCCTGGGAGGGGGGAGCCAGGGGATGCCGCTCCCAGAGACCTTCCCATCTGTAGGCGTGGCTTTCTCACTCAAGACATATGCGTGTTTGCAGGCATATCCTGTACCCCCAGGCTGCCACCACCACACCTGCTCCAGGGGAATTAACCCCAGACATGACTCAGCCAGTCCTCCCTTCCTGCAGGTGGACAAGTTTCTGCCAAGCACGGGGATCAGAGGTTTTAATGCTTCCCAAGGATGATTGTGAAGTTGCAGCCTCATTCTTTCCCTGCTCCTGGGTGCTACTGGGCATTCCTGGCGAAGGAGGCATCCCCGAGGTCTTGTCTTGTGTATTAATTATGTGCCCCCAGGCCCTGCTCACCTTTCCCATGGTGGGACTCAGCACTGGGCAGGTAGAGGGGGCTCCAGACACTGATGCCCCCTCCCCAGTCACGTCCTGAACTCTGAAATGCACTGGCCTTTCCTCGCAGCTCCCCACATGCGGCTGTGCCCACCGACTGCCTAGTTTCGACCTTTGTGTAAATAAGAGCACACTGTGGGTCCTCCTTTGCTGCTCGTTCCCTCCACACTATTCGGATGTGGGTGCTACCCGCACGTGGGGGTTGGCAGAGGGCTTTGATGCATTGCAGTATGGGACCCTGTGTGACTGCAGCGCATGGAGTCCTCCCTCTGTCAGTGGAAGTGTGGGGTTTTGGGTTTTGCTATTACAATCTCCATCAGTTTTTAAAAGCCTCCTGCCTCTATTTGAAATGTAAAATTTCTGGCAGATAAGTTGCTCCATCCTTTGGGGGCCAGTGGAGGGGCCACCCAAGGGGCACCAGTCACCTCCACGCCTCCGGTGTCCGGGGATCTGGGCCCCGCACCTTGTGGGGTGGGAGGAGAGCGGCCAGGGCAGGAGGGGCCACCTCCTGCTTCACCACCAGTTTACTCCTATCTCCCAGGCGAGGCCTCTCTGAGGCTTTCCCCTCCTCCTCCTGCCAGCCGGGCTCTGGGGCACACCCTCAACCCCCTCCCGGCCCCATTCTGACAGCCCCTCCCCTGCCTCGGAAGAACAAATTTGGCTTCAGCCAAAAGCTCCAAAGAGTATGGAATTAGGACAAATAAGTGGAGGACTAAATCAGTGCACCGCTGACTTAGAATCATCCAGGGAAACTTTTAGCCCCGAGTTAGCAGCGCTCACTACCCGAATGGGCCTCTCCACCCATCCCAAACACAAGCCGGCTGGTCCCTGCCCCAGCCTTGCCACCAGTGGCCCAGGGGGTGCCACGAAGGGTGTTCCCTTGGTGGGGGCACAACCACTCCTCTCGTCAGAGGCCCTGGCACACCCTTGTGGGCCTCTCCTGACATGGACGATCCCTGGGCCACCAGTTGCTGGCGCAGGAGGTGACGCCTTGTTTTTCCTGTCCCCCAGATCACCAGAAGCTGGAGAGAGAGGCTCGGATCTGCCGCCTTCTGAAGCATTCCAACATCGGTGAGCAGCCTGGGGTAGGGAGCGGGGATGGGTCCCCACCTTCTCCCGGACAGCAGCCCATTCCGGTTTCTCTATCAGACTTTCAAAGAGATGCAGAAAGACTTCCTTTTCTTCTCTGTTGAAATATCCCACCAGAAGCCCCTGAGGACGCCCCCTCTTCTCCCCTGACCTTGAGGACTTTGTCGTATGTGACATGATTCCCGGGGGTGCTCAGAGCCGGGGCAGCCCCAAGGTGGGGCTCTGGGTGCCCAGCTCCACCCGACTGGACAGGTCCCTTTCCCATCCCACTCTGTCCTTTGGGTCTTGTCGGTGGCATTGGTGCAGAGGAAGGTAAAGGACACATTCCTCACAGAGCCCTCTGCTGAGCCAGTGCCCAGCATGTGACCCCCATAACTCTGAGCCGCCATTCTGCTGAGAACACACAGGGGCCCCAACATTCTGTGGCCTCAAGAAAAGCCACAAGATGGCCCAATTACAAGGAAAAGAAAGACTGACCAAAGACCCCAGCACATGCTGTTCTCGGGCTGAGAGCCCCTGACTGTTTTCTTGCGCTGGCCCAGGGCTTCTGGAACTACAGTCTGGGGTCAGGTGACCCTGGCCCAGAGTCAGCTGCTCCACAGGGGTATCTGGAGCCTGGAGCCCAGGCCTTGCCTTTGTCGGGGAGCAGCCAGGAAACGCCCTAGGGACGGCAGCCGCTCTTGGCCTCGGAGGCACCTGGGGAGCTGTCAGGTGGATTTGGGGCCCTTTCCTCCAAAGCTCTGATTCACTTATGCCAGGAGGAGCCCAGGCATGCTTGTTCCAAAGGAACAGCTGGGGACCGGGAGCCTGTTTAGGAGCCTGGGGCATCCACACACTCACCTGGGCCTGGCTCCGAAGGTCGCTGAACCCTCATCACCTGGTTTAGGGGGCTGGAACCACCTCGCCTCATCTGATGCTTCACCAATGAGCTGGGCAGAGGGGCAGGTGCCCCATTGGACCCAGCAGGACCCCAGCATGGAAAGCGGCAGCCCCAACTCCAGGGCCCGGGGCCAGGCTGCAGCCCCAGGTGGGCTCTCAGGGGCCTGCTACTGCAGCTTAGCCCCTGACGAGATTTGCCGCTGCCCACCAACCCACTGCATCCAGACTGGACTCTTCACCCTGGTTCCTCTTAGTAACCCAGGACTTTATTTGTTTGCCACCTCTGTATGCTGCCCACAGTGTTATTTGCTTACTGTTTTTATTTAAATAGATTTCCTGACAATTCACTTTTTTACTTAGCCCTGTCTGTGAATTTGCCGTCTGATGTGCCAGTTAGGTTTTCTTTTAAACCATTAAATAAGTATATAACTATTTTTAAAAAGTTAAAAATGTTTTTTTTTAAAGTGTCCACATGCATACGGCCCAGACTCCCCACACAGACCCCCAGTGCTCCATCTGGCCTGAGCAACCTGCTTCCTGCCGAGGAGGTGGGATTTCCCCCACCAGCTGCCACCCCGGAGCCCATCTGCCTCTGCCCCACCCCACCAGGCCTGCATGGGGAGGTGGGTGCCTGAGGGCAGGGGCAGCCCCCACCATGAGATCAGCCCTGCAGCGCCCCCAGGGAGCAGTGAGGTACCTTCATAGATGACAGGGCCTCCCTTGGAGCTGCCCATGGGGGTTCTGCGGGGGGCATCTCCTCCATGGCCCCTGGGACCACCTCTGCTCTGAGTGTGTGATTTTCATGAAGCATGTCCCAGGTGGGGCAGCTCAGAGGGGCCAGCCTGCTGGGCCCCCAACTGGGCTTATTGGGCAGCCCCCACTGGAAAGGAGTGGGGAGGGGTGAGCTTTTTAACTCCAGAGATTTCACAGGCAAGTCCTAGAAGCAGGACGTTGGTGGGCCTCCCATGTCTTAGGGACGCAGAGGCCAGCCTGGGTAGAATGGGAGCCTAGGAGTGAAGAGAGGGTCCAGGGGACCTAGTGAGAGGGCATCCTTGCTCTTGGGACAGAAGCCAGCCAGAGAGGGGTGAGAGGGAAAGGGGACATTGGTTTCAGATGAGTGCCTTAGCTGGTGGAGTCCCTGCTTGGCAGAGGCCAGCGTCGGCTCACAGACAGCCCCGGTGGGTAAGAGTTGCCCTCCGCCCAGGGTGCTGACCCAGGACATGGTCTGGGGAATACCTTGCTCTTTGAGAATGGGGCTTGGTGGGGGCAGAGAGGAGAAGGCTGGGCTGCTGGGCCTGAGGCAGAGAAGTGGAGCAGGTCTTTCTGCACTGGGCTTGAAAAAACCCCAGGACTCTTAAGTGGGCCCCAGACCCTGGTGCTGAGTGTTGGTCACCTGGGATTCTTCACACTCAGGTGATGATGGTGACAGTGATGGTCACAGAACTGTGGTTTACCTAGTGCTCACTGTCTCAGAGCACCACAAAGGTTACATAATTGATCTTCACGGCCACCCTGTGAAGAGGTGCTATTTATCCTATTTCATAGAGGGGCAGATTGAGGCTTAGATGGGCTGAGCAACCTGCCCCAGGTCACACAGCCAGTGCAAGTGGCAGGGGCTGGGCTTGCCCTATATTTTCTGATTCTGTGGAGGCTTCTGGGGCCTGGCCTGCCCTTGGTGGAGGGCATTTTGCCTGAGGTTTAGGAGCTAAGGAGGGCCATTGGTATGGGGCTGCTGGAGTCCAGGAATCTGCAAGGTGAGGCCTAGGCCCCAGAAGCCACATGGAGTTCCTGGATGTAAGGACGCTATCAGGCTGGGCCCCTGGGAGAACCAGAGCCAGAGGAGGGAGGGCACTGGCAGCCAGTTAGAAACTGGGACAGCGCCGGAGCATGCAAGGAAGGGGGGCTGCTTGTGCCTGAGGCCCAGGGACCTGCGAACCTAGGAGAAGGTGGCTACGTCTTACTGTCTTACCCATTCAGCGTCTGTGGCCCAGTCTCAAGTGGTAGAGGAGAGCCACACCTCAGAGGTTCATCTCTCCAAGACTTGAGGACTGGAGGGAATAAGGCTGGTGCAGTGCAGGCCCTCAAGCCAGACTGCCCGCTGAGTCCACAGCCCTATTCTGCCTTTTGTGAGCTGTGTGACTATCAGCTGCTTACCTAACCTCCCTGTGCTTCAGCTTCCTCATCTGTAACTTCTCGGGGTGGTTGGGAAGGTTAAATGAAATAACACACACAAAGTGCTTAGAACAGCCCTAGCGTGTTGGCTGTCGTCGTCCTCGTTGTTCTAGCAATCATCAGAACCGGCACGTGGGAGAGTGTCCAAAATGAGTCATTCCTAGAAAATATTTGCTGCTTAGTACAGGGCACATCTCCAGCTCAAGGAAAAGCAGGCCTTGAGGTTGCTTGCTTTGTGCTGAAATCACTCACTGTTCCCTCGCCTCTTCATCCGCTTGTTCATTCATCACATCCTGACCAGCTCCTGCCCTGCGCCAGGCAGAGTTCCAGGGCCAGGCACGCTTCACATAGATTGTCATGGGAAGTTGTGCAAGGAGGAAGGAGGGAATGATGGTGGTCCATCCTGCTGACCATGCCAGCTCTGGAATTGGAGCTCAGGGCCCAAAATTTTGGATGATGTTGCATCAGGCAGGGACCCTGCCACCAGCCTGTGCTGGCAGGACACAGCGGAGACACAGAGCCTGAAGGCAGAAGGCAGCCCTGGGAAGACCCAGGGTGAATAATGAGTGGTTTTTGTCCCAGCTTCTCCTCATGTGGAGCTGCACGGCAGCTCCTTTCTGGGGTTTGGAGGTGTGAGCTCCTCCTGTTGATCTCCGTGGTGTTTGGGAGCAGCTGAGGCCCAGGCTGGGACCAAAAGGACCTGGTCTCTCTCTGGCAGAAGGAGACAGGTGACCAGACTGGCAGCGGAGGGTGAGGCACTGGCAGCTGAGGGCAGTGGCACTGCCCTGAGGCCCTGTGGGTGCTCGCTGGGTGGCCAGCTGGCCCGCAGGGCCCAAAGCACTCTGCTCAGCCCTGCCCTCTGGCCTGCCCACCCGGGCCCTACCCAGCCCGATCCTCTGGGCAGCCCTAGGGCTTACACCGCTGGTGGTGTGCCTGGACAGGTACGGAGGCAGGCAGGAGGTGTGTCCTGGGCTATTGCCAGCCCCTCATGGCTTCTCTGTCCCCACAGTGCGTCTCCACGACAGCATCTCCGAGGAGGGCTTCCACTACCTGGTCTTCGATCTGTAAGTTCCAGAGCTGGGGACTCTCGCTGCACTCACTCCCAGCCTTGGCTCAGGGTGGGATCTGCAGCCTCCCCAGCCCCAGGGAATAGTCCCTACCCGTGGGCTGGCCACTCCCTTGAGTGTGCTTCTGCTGCTGGTCCCCTTGCTCCAAGCTGTGCCCAGCCTAGCTTCCCTCGCCTCCCCTCATTTGCTTTGCACTAGGGTTACTGAGGCCCACAGAGGCAGGGCTGACATCCTGGACTCCCCCTCTCCTCCACACAGAACAGGGCACACTGGAGGCAGCGGGTGGGTGGACCCCAGAGGAATAGTCAGTCAGCAGCTGCATTCACCTTCCTTTCCTTGGTGCCCTCATCCCAGCTGGACTGGGGCACCACTGGCTGGCGTGAGTGCACATGTGTGTGTTTATGAGTGTGGCTGTGAAATGTGAGCACGTGCACCTGTATGTATGTGTGTGGGTGTTTGCACGTGGGGGCGCGTGAGCACATGAAATCAGGGTCCATATGGGTGGGGATGTGCATACATGTGCATGTGTATTGTGTGAATGTATGAGTGAGCGTGTGGAGGTGTGTGCATGTGGGTACGCTGGCACAAGTGTATGCATGCACGTTTGCATGTGTGTGCATGCATGTGTATGTGTGTGTTTGCATGAATGTGCATGTGTGAGTGTTTCATGAGTGCGTGTGCAGTAGCTCAGTGAGAAGGTGTCTGGGGCCGCTGCCGCCTCTCACTTCCTGCCGGATTTAGAAGCAGTGATCTCATCTCCCTCACTTTTGACAGTTCCTGCTAAGCAGCGCTATATTTAGCTGTCTGTGAGTCAGTGCTGTTCCAGGACCCTGACCTGGGCAAGGGCCCATAGGCCTTAGCCTGCCCCTGTGGCCTCCAGGCGGCCACACAGCCAGAGAAGCCCAGCCTTGGTGCTATTGCCATGGTTACCCCAGGCCCTCCCCATGGCTGCTGTGAGCGTGCAGGCCGAGCAGAGACAGGACACGCCTGCGTGGGGGCTGCCCTCTCAGCTCCTCCTTCCTCAAGTGACAGACGTCAGGCCATGGCACATGTAGGCCTGAGGAGGCCTCTGTCCATGTGAGGTTCTCTGGCCTAGAGAAGCTGAGACTGTCCCTGCAGGGGCTTGGCCACCTCTCAGGTTCCCCTGCATGTTCCACAAGACACCAACTCAAATCACCAGCCAGGTGACTGGGGCTGACCCAGGACACAGTTGCCACTGCCTGGCTGAGGCTGTGTCCTGAAACGTCTGTCCTGTGGCCCTGGGGAGCTGGCAGGCTTGCTGCCACACCTGTGTGCCCCAGCACACCTCCACCAGCCTCTTTTCCCAGGAAATGGAGACTGTGGGGTGGGGGGTGGTCCGATCCAGGGCCCTTGGTGGCCAACAGATGGCTGCATGTGTTACAGGAGCCGAGGAGGAGAAAGGGTGGTGTGTTCGTGCATGTGTGTGTGCCCATTTGAGAGACTCTCATGTCTCCCGCCTTGCCAAGCACATGCCAGGCAGGTGTCATTGGAGGCCCTGAGGCAGGCTGGGAAGAGGAGATTGGCTGGCGAGTCAGGAAGGACCCTCCATGTCTTCCCCACCAACCTCCATGGCCCCTGTGCCTCAGCCAGCCTCCAGGCCAGCAGAGGGCCGGGACAGCAGTTTCTGGAGTTGGCTGGCATTGCCCTCAGGAGGCCCTGAGGCCCCATAGTAGTTTGGGAACTCTGTGGATTCTGGGGGATTGACAGATATCCCCACTCCCCTTGCTTGGGAATGTCACAGGGCTTGAGAACCAGGCCTGGGAGTAGAGGGTCTCACACACACCTGCACGCCCAGAGGACAGAAGCTCCCATAGGCGCCATGGCTGAAGCCAAGAATCAGCCATGTGTCCCCCACAGCCTAAGGAAAGGGGGCCATGGAGTCATATGTGTGCCTTCCCGGACTGTGTCCCTCCTGGGCCAGCACTGAGTTTCCCAAACTCCCCACAGCAACCAACGTGGGTGGAGGAGCAAACTCCCTTCCCTGAAACTGAACCACTAGATGGCCCTGGCCAGGGAGTCCCAGGTGCCCACCAGCCCAAACTACAGCTTCCTGAGCACACAGAGCACACCAGAGGGCCTGCATCAGCCCTAGTGAGGCACCCCTTGGAGCGACTCTGGGCTGCAGCCCTGGCTCAAGACCGTAAGGCCTTTTAGCCACTGTTCTGTGCCTGGACTCGGCGTCTGCAGAGCCTAATCTGTGTTCAGTGTGTGCCAAGACCTAAACAGTTATAGCACAACACTGGGGCATGCCAGGCCCTTGCCTGGGCTAGATGTGGGTTTTGATCCTCCTGCCCAATGCACATGTATACACAAGCACACATATGTACAAACATGCACACATGTGTGCGCATGAACAAACTGCTCTACAAGTGCACAAGGGCACACACAGGCACACAGTTGTACACACATGCACACAGGCACACATGCAAAACAATATACATGAACATGAGTGCACGCATGGGCACACATAGGTACAGACACACAGACACACATGCACATGTGCTCACATGCACAAGCCAGTATACATGTACACAAGGGCACACACAGGCATCCACACATGTGAACACGTGCACACACACACCCTCACACGGACAGGCCAAGCTCAGGAGCCCGGCCAGATGACCCTGGGAAGGGCCCCGTCAACACTGTTTTGTTTCCTTGTGGTCGGTGTGGTGGTTGATTGGCTGTAGAAATGTGCTGGCCCATGAGGAGTGAGAGGAGAGGCAGGCAGAGGAGTGAGCGAGGGTGAGCAGAGCTCCAGGTCACATGCCAGGTGCTGGTCGGGGACACAGAACAGCAGAACCAGTCAGGCAACAGAGGCAGAGCCCCTGCCCCCAGCCCCAGCCTGGACAGAAAAATGGGGAAAGGAAAGGGAACACCCAGTCCTTTAATGCCCTGCTAGGTGCCAGGGACTTGGGTGTCTTCCCAGTGCATTTCACCCTCACATTGCTCGAAGGATTTTGAGGGGATTCAATGGGATCATCAGGGCATGCGTTTAGCTGGAGCAGGGGTGAGCCGACATTCAACACATGCTCACTTTTCTTTTTCTCCAGTGCTGAGAGAGCACCCACATGTGCCAAGGTCACATGTTCAACAGATCCACTCCCTGGGTCTTCCCTGCCATGGACCAGCCCAGCCCCAAGTGCTGGGCCCAAAAATGAGGAAGACCTAAGCCCTACATTCCAGAACCAATGGGGAAAACTGCCAGGCAGATAGAGAAGCCACAGCACCTGGGCAGTGCAGTGGAGCAGGCGGGGGGATGGGGAAGAGGGTGCGGAGGCAGAGGAGGGGCTTGGACCCCACAGGCCTGCCCCACACATAGGGTCACAGGAAGTGGTGTGGGAGCAGTGACCCTAACCTTCTCAGGGGTGACAGCTTCTAGGGGAGTCTACCAGCAGACTCAAGCAGGCTAAGTGTGTGAGGGGCTTGGGCAGACCTGCAGAGGGCTCCGTCCTACTCCCCTGCCGTGCATCCAGCCCCTCCACCTTTTTGTTCCATGCCCACATTACCCGGCTCCCAGAGGCCCTTCAGATTGTGGCTTCTGCTCACAGGGTCTATCCTGACCATAGGGCCCAATGACTACTCACTGGGTGGAGACACAGGGCAGGAGAGTGGGCAGAGACCTCCCTTCTGCCTGTCATCTCTGTTCTCTTCCTAGAGATGGGACCTCGAACACCTCAAGACCCTGCGCCACCAAGGAGACCAGATTTAGGCACCGTGTCTTTAGGCTCTGATCCTGTGCGAGGGCCACCACTCTGGCCCTAAGTGGGGGTGGGAGAGTATTGAGGAGGGGAAACCAGATCTTCTCAGACTTGGAATTTGAGTCACAAGGCCTGGGTGTAACAATGCAGACCCTGAGACAAAGCTCCTGTGCTGCCCACTCTGGGCAAGTCACCAAATCTTTGAAATTTGTTTTCTCATCCATAAAAATGGAGTATAATCGTGGCCAAAGTCACAGAGTGGTTGTGAGGACTGAAATGTTAAATGTCATTATAGATAAGTAAGCACTAGTAAGCTGTCAGTCCCAAGTGATGGTAATACGGTGGAGGTGGTGGTGCTGGTGATGGTGGTAGTTGGTGGTGGTGATGATTGTGATGATGCTGGTGATGGATGGTGACATTAGTGATGATGGGAGTGATGGTGATGATAGTGGTGATGGTGGTGGTGGTAGTAATGGAGGTGACAGTGCAGTGTGACAGGGGTCTCCAGAATCTGTGACCCCTTCATGCTTCTCCCATAGGGTCACTGGTGGGGAGCTCTTTGAAGACATTGTGGCGAGAGAGTACTACAGCGAGGCTGATGCCAGGTGGGTGCAGAGCCCTCACGCTGTCCTGTCCCTCTTCCTTTATACCCTCACCATCCCTCCTTCACCCACTCCTGCTGCTCTTTCTAACCCACGTCTGGTGCTGAGCATCCCTGCTCACCCACACCCCAGAGCGATGGGCATGAAGCCAAAGGAAACTTGTAACCTCAGCGCAGAGCCAAGAGGCCACCTCCCCTCCACGCCCAAGGCCAGGTTCAGAGGGCTTGGCCCTGGGTCTGTGGGCCTCCCAGTGTGAGGATGGAATGGAGGAACTTGGGCTCTATCCAGGTGGGGCTTCCCGTGGACCCTCAGGCAGCCCTTCCCACAAGGCTGACCCTCCCCGGGGGGATGAAGAGGGACAGATGGTCTCAGAGATGACTGTTTGTGGCCCGGCTGCTGGAGACCAGATTGAGGGATGGCAGATGTCAGCTGGGGAGGTGACAGGGCCCTGTCCCTGGAAGCATAGGCCACTGGTAGCCTGCTGTGGCCCAGGCCAGATGCCACCCTGACACCTGACAAGGATGTCTCTCGTAACAGTACATCTCACCTCAGGGACAGCTGACAGCATTACTCCCTGCCCACTGGGCTCTGCCCACCCTGCTCTGCCACAGAGATGTGTATTTAAAAAAAAAAAAAAAAAAAACTGAGGCCAGGCATGGTAGCTCACACCTGTAATCCTAACATTTTGGGAGGCCAAGACAGGAGGATTGCTTGAGGCTAGGAGTTTGAGACTAGCCTGGGCAATATAATGAGACCCCCTCTCTACCAAAAACTTAAAAAAAAGTAGCCAGGCATGGTGGCACACATGCACATCAGCCACTTGGGAAGCTGAGATGGGAGGATGGTTTGAGCCCAGGAGTTCAAAGTTGCAGTGAGCCGAGATTGTGCCACTGCACTCCAGCCTGGGTGACAGAGCAAGACCCTGTCTCCAAAAAATAAATACATAAATAAGGCTAACGGAGGACCTCGCTAGGTGGTGAAATTGTGGATGATTTTAAATTTGTATCTTTGTCTATTTAAAAACTCTTTTTAGGCCGTGCGTGGTGGCTCACACGTGTAATTCCAACACTTTGGGAGGCCGAGGTGGGCGGATCACCTGAGGTCGGGAGTTCCAGGCCAACCTGACCAACATGGAGAAACCCCGTCTCTACTAAAAATACAAAATTAGCCGGGCGTGGTGGCGCATGCCTGTAATCCCAGCTACTCGGGAGGCTGAGGCAGGAGAATTGCTTGAACCCAGGAGGCGGAGTTTGCAGTGAGCTGAGATTGCGCCATTGCACTCCAGCCTGGGTGGGCAACAAGAGCAAAACTCTGTCTCAAAAAAAAAAACCAAAAAAAAAAAACTCTTTTTAAAATGAGTATGTATTACTTTTCTGATCCAGAAAAATGAATTTTTTTTTAAGTAGCAGAAGTAGTTTGATGTGACTTGCCTCTGCACCAGTAGGAAACTGCCCATCGTGACATGGCCCGCATCCCTGATGGGCAGTGTGAGCAGCTCTGGTGCCACTGGGCCTCCCCTAGAGCTGGGCAGGGAGAGGGACAAAGCTGGTGAGTCTCTTGGCCCCAGACTTCTGTGGGGTTCGGGACACTGGCTTCTTTTCTAAGGATCCTTGAGGAGGGAATTTGTAGTTTGCAGAACAGCCTGGAGAGGCCTGTGCCCTTGGAGTGGAGGAAGACGAGGTTTTCCTTTATATTCTACTTAGAAGACAAGTAGAAAGTGGAACGGAGCCCTGTCCCCCTGCTCTGAGCTTCTGGGGTGAGATATGTCACAGAGCCTGCTGCTGCCTGCCTGCTGGCCAGGTGGACTCGAGGGTCCCTGGTGGCCCATCCAGACACCTGCTGGGGCAGGTGGGATCCTGGGATGGGTGGAGTGCCCTGAGGGGTGGACAGATGCTGGGCAAGGGTGGGGGCATGTGGCCTCCTAGAGCCTCCCATCAGCAGATCGGATCCCACAGCTAGGGTTCAGGAGTGCCTTAGACCACAGCCCCACCCTCCCCCACCCCCACCCCCTGCCCGTGCCCCATCACAGGCCCCTCACTCCCACCCTCCTGCTCACCTGCTGCCTCCAGCCCTCTCCCCTGCCCCTCTGTGCTGCACCCTCTCCTATGCTCCCTCTGCCTCCTTATTGATGTCCTGCAGCCCCCCAGAGCCCCCTCTGCTCCTGTGGATCCCTCTTGGCCCCCTGTGTGGTTTAGGAGTCTTTGTGTTCATCAGGTTTGGGGAAGGAGACACAACCTGTTATCCCCCACTCTGGGGGTCAGCTTGAGAGTCAGCCTGCCCAGAATGCTGCACCCCTCACCGCCCCAGGTGGAGGCTGGAATGGGGCAACTCCAGCCATGGGGGTGAAGGGTCACATGTGGCTTCCTCATCACACCAGGCCAGTTCCCTCCAGAGCGCCAACCCCTCCGCCCAATCCACAGGCGCGGCCTTGACTTCTTGCTCAGCATCTCCCTCCTCAGTCTGAGTCTCGGATGGACACACAGCACCCCACACACACCCACAGCCCCTCCCCGTGGCGGGCCCTGGGGTGCCTGGCCTGGCAGCAGGAGTCCCATCTGCTTGAACCCCAGATTTTCTGCTGTGGGCCGGGGGACCGCAGAGCTGGCCTGGCGAGGTCTGGAGCAGCCTCAGGGTAGGCTCGGGAGGGGAGAAGTGAGGGATTTCTAGGGTCCTCAGGAAATGCTCGGGCTGTTCAGGTTCCAGAAACCTTTGCCAGAGCAAACTGTAGTGTTCCCGGCTCTGACCCAGGTCTCCCCATCTCCTCTCACAGGACTCCCGATGCGGAGGGCACCCCTGGTGTATGGGGTCCTTGGAACCAGCCAGAAGAGATGTTCTCTTAGAAACTCCACTGCCTCCATTGAGGGTTTGGAGCTCAAATGGAGGGCATTCCATAGCCAGACTGTGGGGAGCGAGGGGGCACACGGCCTGTGTGCTGTAGAGGGTGCCAGGATCCGGGCAGTGATTTTGGAGGCTGAGTGGGAGAGGGGACATGGAGAGGGAAGGAGCCTCCTGGAGAGCCCCTCCTGGGTTGGCCCTGCTGGTGCGACAGCCTCAGCATGGGGCCCCTCCTCGGGCTTCAGCAGCCTTGGGCTCCTTTCTTTCTGGGTGAGCCTCGTGCCCTGCCTGGGGCCACGGTGGCTTTGCTCTCTGTGCGTGAGCTTCAGCCTTCAAGCAGTGGAGCTCGGTGGAGAGTCTGACAGAGGCACCCGTGGGCCCCTACCCAACAAGCATAGCCACAAACTCAGGGCAGGACTATAGCAAAGGAGGGAGCTTGACTTACCCCCAGGCAGAGCCCCATGTCTGAACAGTCAGGGTTGTGCTGAGACAGAGGTAAAGGACAGGCGCGGGACAGGATGGGCCGAGGCCTCCTGGCCAGACCCAGGCAGGGAGGTGCTTTCCGAACCACACAGACGCAGCCAGGGCAAGTGTACTAATGCCCTGCCTGGTACCTGCCAAGGGCCAGGAGCTGCTGCCGTGGAGCAGCTCACAGATTTCTGGATGAGCCCCATCTAAGGAACAAGAAGAAACAGGACAGTCATTGCTTTTCTGAACTCATTTCTAACCAACAAAGCTGGAAATTCCTCTTAGGAGGAAGCAGGGTCTTATTTTGGAGTTGATGGGGAAACTGAAGGGTGTCCATGTCTTCTTCAAACAGGGAAAGCAAAGTACAAAACATTTAGAACCCATTTTTAAAAAAACCTTAAAAAGCAATGTGGTGGCCAGGCACGGTGGCTCACGCCTGTAATCCCAGCACTCTGGGAGGCCGAGGCGGGCGGATCACAAGGTCAGGAGATCGAAAACATCTTGGCCAACATGGTGAAACCCCGTCTCTATTAAAAATATAAAAATTAGCCTGGTGTGGTGGCGCATGCCTGTAATCCCAGCTACTCTGGAGGTTGAGGCAGGAGAATCGCTTGAACCCGGGAGGCGGAGGTTGCAGTGAGCCGAGTTCGCGCCACTGCACTCCAGCCTGGGTGACAGAGCGAGACTCCATCTCAAAAAAAAAAAAAAAAAAAAGCAATGTCACTACTGAAAGATGGCTGAAGGGACCTGGTGCAATGCTGACTGTCTGCGGAGGGGGAGGACATCAGAGCCCAGGCTGAGAATAACGTCCCAAATGCTGCTTGGGAACAATTCTAATCACAAAAGTGACATCTTAAACTGTTCAAAACATGAAAAAACAAAAACAAACCTAGAGGGGATCGGCCCTTCCTAGAGAAGACATCGATGTTAACAGAAAGTGACGGCAGACAAGATGGTGTGACTGTGAGTCTCACATCCTCCAAGGCCGTGGTCTCAGATTGCACCAGGACAAGGGCAATATGAGGACAGGTCCCTAAAGTGCAGGGGACTGCCCTGAATGGGCTGTCCCAGGCCAGGTGGTTGTCCCATCCCACCTACCCTGCTGGGTGCAGCCTGGCCCAGCGTTGTCTTGGGGACCCCTGGCTTGCTCAGCCAACTCAATCCTGAGCATGCGTTTGCAGGGCCTGGAGGCTGCGTGACAATGGATGGGGCGGACTTGATCTCAGCAACACGTGCCAAGTCCCCGTCATACCCTTAAGGACACCATGGAGAGGTGCAGAACCAATGCTGTCCCCATAGTCCCCGTCTCTGGCATTGGTTTGGGAGGGGAGGGGAGCCTCCTCAGCAGGGGAGGCTGAGGAGGACTGGGCGAGCCAACTGTGGAGTCAGGGGGTGATGACAGCTGGGGAGGAAGGAGGATACAGGGCGTGGCCAGAGCTGCGGCCAGGACTCAGTAAGTCTGAGGCTGAAAGAAGGTCGATGAGGAAGGTTCAACTCTCGCCCTCAGCAGTAGTCTGTGAGGTGCATGCGGTGCAGGCCGAGTCCCTGTTGGTGTCCCGGGAGGTGGCACTTCCTGGTGACCACAAGCTCTGCACATATCACTCCACCTGGAGAGTGCCCAAGGGCAGAGGAAAGTCCAGCCCTCAGGGAGGTGATGGACCACAGGGATGGGCTGGGGGAAAGTGCACACAGTTGGACAGGAGGAGCCCAAGATCTATGCCCTTCCCAGGACAAACCAGGGCCAAGACTGACCACAGGATCTGGTCAGCACTGCTACCGTCCACACCACGCAGCAGTGCATGAAGGAGCTGGCTGGCCCTTGGGAGGGCCCCTGGGAGGGCCACACTGAGCTCACTCTGCATCTGGACCCATCTGGATGGCTGTGGATATCTGACCCCACAGCCTCACCCCCGACTTCCCAGGCTTCCCGTCTTGCAGGGAGGCTGAGTCTGCCCACCAGAGGGAAGCCCCCACCCCAGCCAGCCAGCCAGCCATGCTTAGGCTCACAGGCCTTGGCAGGACACAGTTGGCCATTCAAAGGAACAGATGCTGGGCCCCTTCAGGAACAAGGAGGAGGGGCTGGTCCAGGCAGATGAGGGCAGCATGGGAAGTAGATGCTCCTCATAGTGGCTTGTCATGGGCTGACTTCAGGGACACAGCCCTCTACAGGAGTTGCAGGAGCAGAAGAGAGGCCAGGAAGTCTCTAGATGTAGGCCAGGGAGAAGGGAGGATGTTTCAACAAATGGGCAGGACACCCCAGGGCACATGGGGAGGAGGGAAGGCAGGACACCCCAGGGCATATGGAGCAAGGAGATAGGATTGTGGCTCCCACTCTTGGTGACATTGAAGTGACACCACCAAGGGGCTGTCTCCCATGAGTTTGGGCCTGGCTTCTTCTGACCCCACACACCTCAGGAGTCCATCACCCATTAGGACTCTGAGGGCTGGATTTCTTCAGGAGGAAACTCAGATTCACTTTTTAATGCAATGGCTGACGCTGTACAGATGGGACCAAGACGGGTGGGAGCTATTTGAGGAAGAAGGCTGACCTCTCGTGTCTTCTCTGAATTTGCTGTTAGGAAAACAAAGCCCACTCATCTTGCTGACCCTGGTCACCCTCCTGTCCCCAAGGATCTGGCTGGGATAGAAGGGTCTTGAGGGGGTCTTCCTGTCCCTCCCTTGACCGTGCCCAGTGGGGCGGTGACTGAGACCCCAGGCAGGTGGGCATCGGCAGCCTGTGGCAAATGCCTCCAGGCCCAGCAGGGCAGCCTCGGAGGTGGTGGCTGCTATCACCCTGCATTGTGGAGCTGTCCCTGGGGAAGGGCTTGTGTTGGGCTCCAGGGGCACCTGGGCAGAAGCAGATTCAAGCCACGGGCTCTCGGTGTGTGCAGGGGCTCCGTGGCCCTGGGTCTGATGTGCTCTAGGACAGGTGTCAGGGAGGTGGCCTGAGAGCAGCTTGGACCTCTCCTCCCAGCCAGTCATGGCCTGGAAGGGCCCTGGACTTCTGCCAACAGCCCTCCCTGACTATGAGAGGAAGGGTTGAAGGGGAAGCTCCGTGTGCTCAGTGCTGTGCACACACAGCCCCCTGCCCAGCCCCTCAGATCCCTGGGAGCTGAACTAGATGCCCCTAGTGCTGCTGGAACTGAGCCACCCAACACGGCAGCCACCAGCCAATGTGGCAGCTTGGGTTTCACTTTTTATTTTTTTCTTTTTGAGATGGACTCTCCCTCTGTCACCCAGGCTGGAGTGCAGTGGTGCCATCTTGGCTCACTGCAACCTCCACCTCCTGGGTTCAAGCAATTCTCCCTTCCTTAGCCTCCTGAGTAGCTGGGATTACAGCCGCCCACCACCACACCCAGCTAATTTTTGTATTTTTAGTAGAGACGGGGTTTCGCCATGTTGGCCAGGCTGGTCTTGAACTCCTGACCTCAGGTGATCCGCCCACCTTGGCCTCCCAAAGTGCTGGGATTACAGGTATGAACCACCGCGCCCAGGCAGGTTTCACTTTTTATTAAAATGAAATAACATGTGCCCGAGCACATTATTTCTGCTCCAGCACAGAGCAGGGTCCTGGTGCCTGGGGCTTTCTCACACACCAGGGCAGCCCCCTGCCCCCACCCCCAGCCGCCTTGACCCTTCCCTGCCTTGGTTTTCTAGCCCGCTCGCCCGGCCTGCTCACCTCAGCCTGCCTTACAGGGTACAGACTCAGCCTGGCCTCCCTCCTGAGGGTGCCCAGCTTAGGGTCAAGCTTGGCCAACAGGAGCCTGGGGACAGGGGTGTTTCCTTTGAAAGTCACTTCTGTGTGCCTAGCCATGCCCTCTGAACAGATATGGGCCCAGAGGGGAAGGCAGGGCCAGGGCCAGAGTTGCTGGCCTTGGAGGTGAGGAAGAAGCCCCAGAGGCCCCTCCTGGCCAGCATCTCCTCTCACCTTGACTTGCTTTGTCCCCCTGGTCCCCCCAGGCCACACAGCACCATTGCCCCTGCCCCCAGTGCCTCCTCTTGCTGCTCCCCAGGGCCACTCGCACTAACCCACCTGCTGTTTGCCACAGTCACTGTATCCAGCAGATCCTGGAGGCCGTTCTCCATTGTCACCAAATGGGGGTCGTCCACAGAGACCTCAAGGTGAGTCCCCACCCCACTCTGTGCCAGGTGTCTGTTGTCTGTACCTGCATGCTGTGTACAAGGAAGTGTGAGGGGCTGGACAGTGTGTGGCACTGTGGAGCTTGGAGGGGTGAGGTGTATGTGTGTGTGTGTCCTTGTGTGCATGCATGGAGGAGTGTGTGCATGCATGTGCATGTGTATGTGTGTGCATGTCCTGTGTGGATGGTGTGCATATGTGCGTGCATGTGTGGAGGCATGTGTGCATGCTTATGTGTGTGCACCTGTATGTAAATGTGCATGTGTCATGTGCATAGAAGTATGTGTGTGCATGTGCATACGTGTGTACATGGAGGTTCGTGTGTACATATGTGCATGCCTGGGTGGAGGCATTGTGTGAGTGTGTGTGCACATGTGTGTATACATGCTTGTGTGTGCATCTTGCACCTGTGCAGGGATGTGCATGTATGTGCACACTTAGAGGTGTGAGTGCATATGTCTGCATGAGTGGTGGCGTGTCTGTGTGCCTGTGTGCATGTGTGTATACATATGGCATGTGTGCATGCACGTGTGTGGGGACTGTGCATGCATGAGTATGCAAGTGTGTACAAGTGTGTACATGTGTGGGCATGTTCATGCGCATGCATATGTGAATGTGTACATGTGGGTACATGTGTGCGTGTATGCATGTGTGTGTGTGTCTGTGTGGGCATGTGTGTACATGTGCATGTGTGTGCACTTGTGTGTTGGAGGGGTGTCTGCACATGGCCCTCCCTACCCCTCCGGACCTCCAGGGCTGGGAGGGGTTAGTCTTCAGAAATCAGCCTATTACACCGCACTCCAGCCTGGGCAATAGAGAAATCAGCTAGTAACAAATGTCCACTCAGGGTCTAACTGTGAGCCCCCACCAAGACTCCACTGTGGCAGATGAGGACACAGGTGACAGGGCTGACGCCGCTGGGAGCAGAGTGGTGAGAGCAGGACTCGCCAGGGTCTGCCAAGTCCTCCCAGCCCTTTCCTCAAGTCTCTGCTGCCCCCAGCTCAGGTCTGGGCAAAGCAGTTCTAGGCTGTGTTCGGAAGAAGGTTGGTCACCCCCCAGGGCACAGGGTGGCCTCTCAGAAGCTTAGCTGTCTCTCTGCTCCTTCCTCTCTCCCTTCCTTCCTCCCTTTCCTTCCTTCCAATCTCCTTTCCTCCTTCTTCAACCCCACCTTCCCCAAGGCTTGGTTCAGCCTGCTGCTTCTCTGTAGACAGGCAAGCAGTGCAGACCCTGGGGCCATCACCCTGATGGCATTTTTAAGACCAACCTCCCCATTGGTTTTCATGCTGAATGGGGGTCACACCTTTCCTTAGGCCATCGATGATCTTTGTGCTGCTCTGGGGAGAGTGTCACACCAAGAGCAGATCCGGGACCCTCTCCTATACCCTTTACACGCCACCGTACCCCCTGTTCCCTCTCATCTCTGCATCCCAAGCATGTCCTGCTTTGTCTCACCTGAGTCAGCCTCACTCAGGCGCCTCTGGGAGGAGGGGGCCCCCAGGTGCTCCCCTCGGGGCCACGTGGGTTGGTGCTAGGACTCAGTGGCTCTCCTGTGAGGGGCCACAGACATTGTGTTACCAGACCCCATGATTTATCTGGTTAACTCTGGAGCCAAGGCATAGAAGTAGAGGTCAGTGGTACCTCCTCCCCAATTTGGGGGACAAACAGAATTCTTGCTGTCTCAACCTCCTGTTGAGGGGGACAGGATGTCCTTTTCTCCTGGACAGAAATCCACCATCTTGATCGTGACAGCCCAGGAAGCAGCAGAGTAGTGGGGTTGCTCTCACCCCACTGGGGAGGGTGGTAGAGAGCAGAGGGCAGTTGATGTCATCCCAGGGAACTGCAAAAGAGCCAGGGTGGGGGCATCACTGGGTGGCCTAGCAGGGGTGGGCACAGCCTGAGAGCTACCCTGGAGCCTCCAGGCCTTCTTGCCCAGTGCTTCCTACGGTCCATGTTCACTTAACGCTCCTTCTCTTCGGAAGAACTGCTGGTCTGTTTCCTCTGGGGAGGGGGGACATGCAGCAAGTCTGCTCTGGGCTGGGTGGAGAAATGCAGCCCCTGACCCCTCCTCTGTCCAACTTCTCCATGTAGCTGCACGGGGAGCTTGGGGCCTCCACCCACTCACGTTGGCAAAATCACCATGTCCAGTGGCCTGTGGATTGGTGCTCGGTGGACACGGATGCGTGTGCCCCAGCAGGCTGGGACCCCCAAGGTGACGAGGAGGTGGAGGTGGGGGACAGAAGCCCCCAATGCTGCCTTGTCAAGGGGGCACACGGCCTCATCCCGCCTGCTCAGTAGGGCGTGGCTGGAGCTTTCGAGGAAGCTCTGGGTTTCTGCTGAGGGGCGCTCACAGCTCGGGGCTGTGGCAGTCTTTCCACATGGGGATAGCATATGTCATTCATTCTGGGGGTCACTTTTTCACATTTCAAGATCTCTGAGGTTTACAACCAGTGTTAAAAGTGGGTGGAGTGGTCTGTTTTGTCTCTTTGGGCGGCTCATCAAGCGGCAGTGTGATCCCGAGGGTAGTGCATCAGATGGAAGCAGTGCCAGGACAGCGGGGTACTCACCAGGGCAAAGGGGTGGCCTGGGAGGCTGGCCAAGGGACCCGAGGGCCCCAGGGAGCCCCCTGCTGGTCAGGGACAAGGAAGGCCTGCAGCCAAGAGACCCCACCGCTGGGAGATGGTGAGGCTGATGGGTAGGCCAGAGCCCGATGGGGTTTGAAAGCTGGGACAGGAAGGTCCCATGGGATGCAGTGGCCCTGGGACCCCCTCAGGCCCTCAGTGCCAAGTGCCCCCAGGCCTCCTTGGCCGCTGCTGCAAGATAGGGAGCAGATGTCCTTCTGGCTTGAGCAAGGGCACTGCTCTCTGTGTCAGGGCCTGAGTAACCCCCCAACCTGTGGATACCCAGCGGGCAGGGGGTCATTGCAGGGGCCTCCTTCCTGCCCCATGTAGTGGGGATGACCAGAGCCAGGGGGACTTGGTGGGTGGATGTCCTGGGCTGCCCCTAGTGCTGAGGGCCCTGGGCGTTTCTCCTTGCCCTTTGGGGGTCACCATCTCAGCAGGAAATACCTGAACTTCCCCTCAAGCAGCCCCCAACATCCCAGGTCTCTGAGGAGTGAGAAACAGGGAGGGAAGGGAGGGCCATTGCAGCCTCTCAGCCAGTGGGAGTCCGAGGGCCATGGGAGCCCCCAGCCACTGCACAGTCTGCCCCAGGGCTGTGGGGAACATTTAGTTTGCTTGTAAGGATGAGCTTGAGGTTTTGGTCCAACTAGCCCCCAGGTCGCCCTTCCAGGTTATGGGGATCCAAGCTCAGGCTGAGAGCCAAGTTTCCTCTGAAAGGCCAGAGCTGCTGTGTCTCTGTCCCCAGGGGCAGAGGGGCTGTGGGGTTGCAGGCTCAGCGTCTGGGACTCTGGGGTGAAGGCTCAGCCATGCCCTGCAGACACCATGGGGCAGGGCTCAGACCTGTGCACCTGTCTCTTGCAAACCACTGTTTTCTCTGTTTTGTAACCCCCCACCCAACCCCACATAACACCTCTGGGTTTAAACAACATGCACCCTTGTGCCGGTCACCTCCCTGCAGCCGGAGAACCTGCTTCTGGCCAGCAAGTGCAAAGGGGCTGCAGTGAAGCTGGCAGACTTCGGCCTAGCTATCGAGGTGCAGGGGGACCAGCAGGCATGGTTTGGTGAGTGCCAGGGGCAGGGTGTGTTGGCTGGCAGTTGGCAGGGCAGGAGGTGATGCTGACAGCCCCTTGTGGCCTCTTCCCCTCTCTCTAGGTTTCGCTGGCACACCAGGCTACCTGTCCCCTGAGGTCCTTCGCAAAGAGGCGTATGGCAAGCCTGTGGACATCTGGGCATGTGGTGAGGCCTGGCCTGAGTTGGTGCGGGGCAGGGCCTCGGGTGTTTCAGGACTTCCCACCTACATCCTGGAGTGTGCAGTGGCCAGCACGTCTTGCTCTCATCTGGGTTTATCTGTGTCAGACCTGCCCTTGAGCTGCCCTGGCAGGGGTCTGCCCACACAGCCAAGAGCCCCCTTTCCACCCAGATTAGAATTGCTCACATGAACCTGGCGCACCCCAGTGCTCGCCTGCGCTCAGCAGAGGTCTGGTCCAGAAGTGTGGTGGGTGGATGGGAGTGGAGAAGAGAGGTCAGGGGCTGTTGGGCCATGGGCAGGGCCACCTCCTTGGGTAGGGGTCTCCTCCCACAGAGGTGGGGAGCAGCAGAGGGGCTTGACATCACCCTCATCCCTGTGATAGTGTGGGTGTGGGGCAGAGGTCAGGGGGCCGGCTGTGCCCTTCTACCCCAGTGTCTGCTGCACAGGTGGGGGCAAAGGAATGCTGAGGACCCCAATGCCCTCCCAGGGCCACAGGAGCTAGGCAGTGAGGGTGCAGGGCATGGGCTTCATGGACGGTGGCACCCTGCAAGTGGCTGCGGTGCTCACAGGCCCCATCCGCAGGGGTGATCCTGTACATCCTGCTCGTGGGCTACCCACCCTTCTGGGACGAGGACCAGCACAAGCTGTACCAGCAGATCAAGGCTGGTGCCTATGACGTGAGTGCACCAGCCCCTCTCTGATGAGCTCCCTTCCTCCAGGTGTGGCCGGGTGAGGGCAGCGTGGGAAGAGGCTAGGAGTGGGGTGAAGCCACCTGTGGCCAGGTCCTGGGTCCTGCTCTCCCAGATTCGTGGCTGGAGATGAAGCCCCTTGGAGAATTCTTGCCCCTGCCTGAGAGGGAGCTTCAGGCCCGGCCGGGGCGCTGTTTCCTTCTGCAGTTCCCGTCCCCTGAGTGGGACACCGTCACTCCTGAAGCCAAAAACCTCATCAACCAGATGCTGACCATCAACCCTGCCAAGCGCATCACAGCCCATGAGGCCCTGAAGCACCCGTGGGTCTGCGTGAGTCGCCCTTGGTGCCCATGGTGGGGAGGGGGCTCCTGGTGGAGATGGCCTCAGACCACTCCCCTGGCAAGGACCCCAAGAGGGTCCTGTTCCTGACATCCAAGAGCTCCCTTGGGTCCCCTGGGTGCTCCTTGTGGCCTCTGGCTTGGGACATACCAGCACGTTTGTGAGGCCTGGGGCTTGGAAGGCATTAGAGGGTAGAGGTGATCCCTTCCTCCCAACTGCAGTCCTGTCTGTGAGGGGCAGAGTGGACGAGGCAAGGGAGAGACGAGTCTTGAAGTCCCAGGCGGGTGGGGACAGACAACCCTTGCCGCAATGGTGGCCGGTGGCTCTTGGCAAGTGGGGACCCCAGGGTGCCACAAGCCTTGCCACCCTGGCCTCTCCCCTGTGCCTCGGGCTCGGCTGCCATATGACCACCCATTTCCCCACAGCAACGCTCCACGGTAGCATCCATGATGCACAGACAGGAGACTGTGGAGTGTCTGAAAAAGTTCAATGCCAGGAGAAAGCTCAAGGTGAGGCCCTGGCCCCTAGTCCCAGGCACGGCCATGCTTCTCTGTGTCCCTCTGGGCTGGAGCAGGGGGGCCTTGGGGGGTCTGGGCAGACCTAGGGGTTACTGCTGCCCCCAAGACTGACTGTTAGCAAGTCCCAGACTGGATGCATCAGGTGAACTCAGGCCAGCTTGGGAATGAGTCCAGAGGGGCCCTGGGCCAGGTGTGGCTCCTCCTAGTTGTCTGTGCCACCTCCTAGCAGCCCTTGGAGGAGCTGTCCTGAAGCGCTCGCTGTGGGCTCCTCACCCGGGCTCTGCAGGCAGCACTCACCCTCTGGCAGTCACACTGTTTAGTACAAGCAAGTCCGAAGCTTCCGGCTCAGACAGGTTTGGTAAGGAGAGCAGAGCCACACACACTGGTCTTGGGTGGGCTGGGGGAGTTCTGGGAGGGAGGTGGGTCCCAGTAGGGTATCCAACCTGCCTGCTTTGGTCAGGGCTGGCTCCGGTGACCGCACACTGGCAGTCCCTCTACTTGTGGGTTCCGGGATGGGGACTTGTTGCCTGACTGCCCTCTGCTGGTCTCTGAGCAGTTCTCCCCGGAAGCCCCAGGACTGTTGCCCTGTCTGAGCCTGTCAGGAAAAGAAGGGGCTGTCAGGGAGCTGGACCCCAGAGGAGCTGCCGTGGTGACCAGCTGTTCTGGTGACCCCTGAGGCTTGAGGGGTCTTGAAGCAGCTAGAAGCTGTAGTTGGTCAACAGGTTTAGGCCCAGGGTGTGTGTAGTTCTGGAAATAGGTGATCTGTCTCAGTGCGGCTGCTGGCTTCCTGGAGCTCTTGCCTCTCTGGAAGGCTGAGGTCATGTCAGCCTCATGACAATGAGGCTGAGCATCTGGGCAGGAGGACAGGGGTCTTATCCTGGCCAGAAGCCAGCAGGGAACACTGATGGGATAGCCCCGGTTTTATCTGTGTCTCTCCCCAGGGAGCCATCCTCACCACCATGCTGGCCACACGGAATTTCTCAGGTGAGCCTTTCTTCTCCAGGGAGACAGGCGCTGCCCCCTCCCTGCTGGCCCACGCAGGAGAGCGCCTCCTTCCTCACCAGCCTCTCCACTCCTCCTCTGCGGCAGGCCTGCCCTCGGCGTCTGCCCTCAGCTCTGAGACCCACTGCCCACCTGGCCCCGCTGGGCTCCCACCTTGGGTGATACCACAGGGTCCAGCCCCCCGAGGCCATCACCTTCGTGCTGGGTCTGTGTCCCTCCACCCCCTGAACACGAGCGTCTGTGCTGCCCCACTGGGGCTCACAGCATCGTGTGTGTCTGTCCAGGCGTTTGTCGGGCATCTATGTGGCCTCCTTGTCATTTTGAGTGCTCTGAACATTGTGTTTTGTGCGGGAGGTGGGCAGAAGGGATGCGGGGTGATGCGGGAGGCTCGGGGGCCTCCTTCCAAGTTCTGGATGAGCTGCAGCCTCCTGTCCCGGCTGCTCAGGGTGGGTGGTTGGGAAGCAAGTTCTCTTGGCAGGGGGGTGGGGTCTGTTATAGACCCCTGAGGCCCAGGGCGCTGGCAGACCCATCGGGCATGATGTTAGCCCCGGAGTGGAGCCGGCAGCCCAGGTCTGGACAAGCTGTACCTGTGGCTTCTCCGTCGTCCGACACTCCGTGTGCGAGCGTCTGTGATCCGTCTCTCTCGTTGTCCGTTTGCATCTGGTGCCCCCCACCCGCCATCCTGTTACTTTTGCTGTGATGCTGTAATGCCGGGAACGCGTGCACACGGTCACACCAACACTAATAGGACTGTCCTGTCTGCTGTGTGCTCACCACACCCTTTGGGCATGAGAAGCCCCCACTGGGGTTTTCTAAGGAGAAAGGAGGCAAATGCTTTTCCGTGTCAATCAGTCCAATCTTGTTTTCACTCTCTTGAGCAAAGGATTCTGGAACCATCTGTCACCTAAACTTTAACTCTAATCTTCTTCTGCTTCCTTTGTCTCTTTTCTTCCCTTACCTCGCCCACCCCTCGTCTGTGTCCGCCCACCCCTCCCTTCCCCTCGTCTCTAACCCGGTGCTAACAGTGGGCAGACAGACCACCGCTCCGGCCACAATGTCCACCGCGGCCTCCGGCACCACCATGGGGCTGGTGGAACAAGGTAGATGTGTCTCGACCAGCGTCCCGCCCGCTCCCGCCCGTCCCTCCTGCCAGCATGCAGCCCCCTGCTGCACGCAGCCGCTGGCCGGGCTCCAGAGCCGCCCCAGAGGCCGCCAGGCCCCCGGGAGCCCCTGCTCCCGTGTGGTCACATCCCAGCAGAGCCCACCACAAGGGCAGGGAGGCAGCCCCCAAGGCTCCTCGCCTGTAAGAGGAGGGGCTGGGCTAGGTGGCCCCTGGGCTACACCAAGCCCTTCTGGTCCTGGCCCCCGAGGTCTGGGGGTCCGGAGACCCCCATTAAGAATGGCCTGGGCCCACAGGGAGCCACTGGGCCTGCTGCTGGGGGGTCTGAATCCTGAAAGGAGAGCCTTGAGGAGCAGAGCCAGAGAGGCAGAGGCCCTTGGGGCAGACACACACCCTGCCCCTCTGGGGCCGCATGGAGACGGTGGTCTGTGCTGCTGAGTCCTACACATGCATGTCTGCCCTGAGCATCCCCCCAGGACAAGCCGCTCTGGAGTGGGTGAGGGTTTTATGCACCCTGAGGAGACTTTCAAGGCTTCCTCTTGGGTTGTTTCTGCAAAGTCCTCCTCCCCTGGCCTCAAACCCTGTGAGGGAAAAGGCCGGCACTGGCCACCTGCTCCTCTGGGCTGTGCGGGGCCAGAGCCAGAGGCCCAAGTTGGCTTCTGCCCACCTGCTGGCTTGTGACCATGGGCAGACCCCATGAGGGCTAGGCGACCCCAAGACCTCCTTGCAGCTCCAGCCTGAGCTGAAGGCTGGTGAGAGCTTAGGGCAGGCCAAGCTGACAACGCCTGGCCACAGAACACAGAGGGCTACAGGGGTGACCCCAGATCCTCCCTGGGCTGAGCTGCTGAGTTCCCTGTCGGTGCCTCCAACGTGGGCTGGGGACCCGGCAGAGGTTCCAGGGTGCTGGAGACTGCCTTCCCCAGGCCTCCTCATGACCCACAGGGTGAGCAGCCTGGCCTTCCCAGCCAGAGAACCCTCCTTCTGGGGAGGCCCAGGGCGTCCTCGGGGAGGGCAGTCTATTCTCCTCCCATGAGCCCAGTGGACGTGTCTAGCAGGCAGCACCCCGGGAGAGCCCTCCCACGTCTTCTCCATTTGACAGGCCTTTCCAGAGCGCAGGCGGGAGGGGGCTGTGATTAGAAAAGAGTGAGGCTAGTGGCTTCTGGGGAGGCACTGCTGCCCAGGGGACAGTGCTGAGAGACAGCTGCCTCTACGCTGCCCTGTGCCCGGGGCTCCCGCTGCAATGCCCGCCTGTCTGCAAGTGAACGTGGGGCGACGGTGCATGAGGCCCTGCATGTGTGGCTCCACCCTGGGCGCCGAGAGCAGCTCTGTCCTGGAGGGTGGTCAGTGCATGTGGACAGAGCCCAGCATGGCTGTCCTGGGTGACCAGCTAAGGGGACAAGGCAGAGGCAGGGCTGAGAGGACCACCCATCCTGCTAGGTCAGCCCAGCTCAGCCATATCACACGGCAGTGAGCATGGAGCTCAGTTCTCTGCCAATGGCAGCTGAGTCTAGTACCATCCAGTCAGAGTCTGGTACCAGCCCATGTGGCATAGCCCCCTCGGCCCGCAGAGAGACCCCGTCTGTCGAGTGTGCTTCAGTTTGGCCTCTGTGGTCTCTCCTGCATTGATCAGGTGTAAGGGCATAGGAGACCCAGTGTCCGGCCAGCTGCAGGGTGGCAGCAGTTGCCCCGGCCTGGAGACCCGGGAATGGGCAGTGCCTTCCCAGGATGGAGGGCAGAGGGTCTCTCCTTGTCCCACAGAGGCCTGCAGAACCCCCAACCCAGGTGTCTGAGATGCCTGTGACTGCTCCGCCTACCCTGGGCTCCTGCGGCACCTAACGCATGCTTTGAACTTGAGACACAGAAAGGAAGTTCCCGTGCCCTTGAATGCTAGTGTAGATGGGCATCGACAGGACTCTGGCCACGGTGAATCTGGAGTTAGTCCCAGGCAGAGATGTGAAATGAGCAGCCCCCCAAAAAATGGTTGGCCGGGAGCCATGCACTCAGGAGGGCCGGGCCCATGCACCCCACACTGCGCCCAAGGCGTGCACAAGCGATTGTTTTAAAAGCGGGTTCACAAGGAAGGATGTTTGGGAACTGACTGAGACAACAGGGACGTCTGCTGCAGGGCTTCCCAGAGCTCTGATGGCAGCGTCGGCCTGAGTCCTTCGAGGAGGGCTGGTTTGTACGTGGCATTTGCTGCCCACTGGACTGTGAACTTCTGTCTTTTTATTTCCCACTGCTGCTGTGGTACATCTCCAGTAGCATAGTTTGGAAATGCAGGTTTTGATAGACTCAAGGATCTAAATAGAACCCTCTTAGTACCAAGGACTGTCCGGGGTCTCTGCCAGCCCCGCCGATGGGCCTAACTGTGGTGCCTCCTTTCCTGTGAGAATCTTCTGAGGACATGCCCGGGGAAAGAGCTCAGTTCTGCTGCTGCCTAGGGTGCCATGCTGGCCCCGGTTCCAATGCAGAGCCTGGCTGGAAGTACCGCTGGGTTGGCGGAGGCTACGTGCCTGACTGTCCCCTCGGGGGTGGGGTGGAACTAGCCTTCTGAAACCGCCTGCTTCAGTTGGCCACAGCTTTTTGAAATGTGTGTTTCTGGAAGGGACTGGGTCCCTTCCTTGCCTGTTCAGCTCCCCACGACAAATGTCCTCAAGGCGAGGCTGGATGCTTCCTTCCTCAGGCTCCTAGGAGGAGCCCGTCCCCCAGCTGTGTCGGGCAGCTGGTCACCAGCAAGGACAGGATCCCTCAGCTGCAGCCTCAGGCTGGCTGGCACTGGGCGGGTGTTTCTGGGATGAGTTGTGTGTACTGGAGATGGGAGGGGAGCTGAGAGGGTGGGATGCACAGACAGGAGAGGGGACTGTGGGGGTCCTGGAACCCTGAGTTCCAAGTCTTCAGGACTCTCCCTCCATAGCAAGTTACAGGGAAGCAGATTTGAGCCACAGGGAAGCAGATTTGAGCTGCAGCGAGGGGGAGGGTTTTCAGTCTGTGCTATAGGGAAGTGGGCAGTCGGCATTTCTGGTCCTGGGAACTCACTGGGCAGGGCTGCCTTGGGACATCAGGGAGGTGGCGCTGTGCTCAGCTTCACCAGGAGGGGCCTTAGGCCTGGGGACGGAGAGTGATGCCTGAGGCCCCTCTACTTCTCCATGGATCCTGGGAGGGACTCCTGGGCTGGATACAAAATTGTTGAGAGTTAAGAGATCTGTGAGGAAGGGGAGGCTGGGAATAGAAAGTGTGTGCCCACTGCACATGGGGTCCGCAGGGCCACGTGCAGCCACTGCGCAGGCACAACCCCAGTCCCCACAGAGCCCAGGAGGGGCCAGAGCCATGGAGGAGGCAGCACTGGGCATTTGGACAGGGAGGGGGTGGTCAGCAGGCAGCAGGCCCAGGCCTGTCTATGCCCTGCGGGGTGCAGCCTCCTGATCTCCACGGCAACCTGGAGCACCCAGCGTCAGAACCACCGGGAGGGCTTATGGAACAGATGTCCAGCCCTGCAGAAGTTCTGGCTCAGGAGGGCGGGGTGGGCCTGGGAATTTGCATTTCTGACTGTACAGGGCGATTCTGCTGCTGCTGCTGCTGCTGGGGTTGGGGGAGGATCCCATTTGAGAAGCGCTGCAGTCCTAGGTTGAAACGTGCCTGTCTGTCCCCACCCAGGCCTGCATGGGCAGCACGGGATCCCCAGGCAGGAGGACCCAATTTCATGGCCTGGCCAGCCAGGGTCCTGGAGCCAGGCGGTGGGGGAGGGATGGGGGATTGCTGTGCCACCTTCCTTCCCGGCTTGGCCCGGGGGCAAGCATCCTCACACTTCCCATGTCGTCATCCCCTTGGCTCCAGCCTGGCTGCCTCTCTAACCCTGCTGTACCGGCTGGCCGCATGGCCCTGGCTCTTTTTGGTGAGCGTGGTCCAGGACTGGTGACCTGTGAGTCCTGGGCCCGCAGTCTTGCGCCCCTGCCCGAACCAACACAAATCTTGTTTTCTCTCTCTCTCTTCCTTCCTCACTCCCTCCCCTTCTCACCTTTCCTTTTCTGTAAGGTAAGCTGACTTCCTCTTTTGGTTTTTTATTTATTTTTATTTTTTAGTTCTGTAATTAAAATCCTAACAGCCATGGAGGGTGTGGGCACCGGGGGCTGGGGCCAGGCCCCTCTGACCTCTGAGGGGGAATGCTGGGTGAGGCAGGGGCCCCGCTGCTGGGACCAAGTATCCTCAGGGGCTTGTGGGCAGAAAGGCCTGTGCTGGCCCCAGTCAGTGCACAGAAGCGGCCCCAAGGCCAGGGCTGCTGGGCAGCTCGGAATGAGGGCGAGCAGGGCTGCCCTTGGTGCCTGAGCCAAGGAGCCAATGGGACAGACCTCTGAGGCCTGGGTGCCAAGGTATGAGGTCTGAGAGCAGGGTGAGCGCCTGGGCTGGGACAAGGCCCTCTGAGTGGGCGGCCAGCTGCAGCCCACCCACCCCTACCCCAGGAAGGCAGGGCCCGGGAGGGCATGACCTCTGGGGTGCTGGCTCAGCTGCCCCCACCCCAACCTGACACAGCTAGTCCTGAGTTCCCATCAGGGAGGAAGCAGCATCCTGCCTTCCTCTAGGAAGAGCTTGCATGTGGCCCAGAAGCCAAGGGGGCTCCCCAGCACCCACGGGCATCTCTGGGTCTGGTCAGAGGAGAAATCTGGATGCTTGCAGGAGCCCCAGGGTCATGGAGGAGGCTGGAGACAGGGCTGTCCTGGGGTGATGGGATGGCCCCCCCACCTGCTCAGAGCCAGCCTGGGTGCTGGAACCACACTTGCCTCAGGACCCTGGGCTTGCTCCTGGGGAAAGAGTGGGGTCAGGCAAAGGGGTGGGGTTGCGCTGCAGCGAGACCCAGGCCCATCACTCACCATACCTTCTTCCTCCCCATGCAGCAGCCAAGAGTTTACTCAACAAGAAAGCAGATGGAGTCAAGGTGAGGCTCCAGCCGGGCCCTGTGGTGCCGGGGAGCCCAGAGCCTGCAGCTTCACCCCCACGCCCTGGGGCTCCTGCTCTGGAGTCCCCCTCCCCCCATGCCCTGAGAGACACGGGACAGGGAATGGCGAGTGAGGGGCTTCTCCCACCTAAGAGTTCCTCTTCCCTCTCTCCACAGCCCCAGACGAATAGCACCAAAAACAGTGCAGCCGCCACCAGCCCCAAAGGGACGCTTCCTCCTGCCGCCCTGGTACTGAGCTCCTCAAATTCTGCCTCTCAGCCCCTCCTACGCCCCTGGCTGTGTGATTGCCGCTGGTCAGAGGGGGCCGGGTGAAGGTGGGGTCTGGCCCCGCCTGGCCTGTCTGACAGCACTCGCATGGCCCCCGCCCCTCATCCCTCACCGGTGGTGAAGTGGAGAGAAGAGGCCACTGTTGTGGGGGGCTCCAATTCAGACAGGTTTAGGACTGCTCTGGGGAGCCCCTGGCTGAGACCCACAGATGTTGGGGTGCAGGGGAGAGGCCCAGCCTCCCACCCATGTTGACTTGTGGATGTCTCTCCAGGAGTGTTCAGGAAGTCAGTGAGGCAGAAGATACCCTCTCCCCACCAGGACCCCACCCTCAGCTCCTCCACCATCCTCAACAGGCCGACCCACAGACCACTCCGAAGGTCTGGCTTGGTGGGGCTGGGCCAGGATCTGCAGGGGGAACAGCCCATAGTGGCACATTCCACGGCCCATGGGGAGACGGGGCCACGGTGGTGCAGTAGAGAGGTGTCTAAGCCAGTGGCAGCCAAGGGGAGGGCTTGCCGTCACCTCTGTGTTCCCTCAGTGCTGCTCTGTGGCTGCCTGAGAGGCAGGGCTTAGGGGCTCCCTGCCGGGGAGGGGAGGGGTCCCCACCATGCTCCGCTCCAACTGCGCCCCTCAGTGCCCCTTGCCCTGGGGGCTCCTACAGGTGAACCCTATAGCAGTACTCCCAAGGATGTAAAGTTGTGGCTGGTGGGTGCCGGCCTTCCTGCTGGGGCGCTGTGCTGTGTCCCCTCAGCTGTCCTAAGAGCTTTGGGGCTTGCTGGCCCGTAGGTCCCCATATTTGCTGGAAGCAGGCTTGGTGTCCCCTGAGAACCCCAGGCCAGGCTTCGGGAGCCAGCCCCAGACCGCCCACGGGAATACTGGGTTTGCCAAATGGCCACCTTGAGACCCAGGAGAGGAGAGCGGTCCTGGGAGGGGCGAGCTGCTCAGAGCAGCCAGGCCGTGGCTGGAGGGTGGCCTGGTGCAGCCTACCTAGGGCCTTCCAGTGGCCAGGGCAGCCCACGTGCCAGCCTCACAGCCAGCCCCATCTCGGACCCTGTCCATCCCATGTGCCACCGCCACCCCCATGACATCTTCAAACCTGTGCCCCCCACCACGCTGGGGCACAGGTTCAGGCAGTAAAGGGTAGGGAGAACCCCTCAAGACCGAGCCTGGCTTCTCTGGCTCCCACACACATTGTGCAGCTTGTCGGGGCCCCACACGGTCCATCTCCCACCCTGGACAGCAGCACCTCCGCCAGCCTGGACAGAGCTCCTGTCCATTCCATCCCTGCCGGCTGACCCAGGCTCCTCCCCCAGCTGCTCCACGCCGCCTCCATCCCTGTCCCCCACTCTGCTCTGCACTTCTTTCTCGCAGGCTCTGGCCACCCACACCTCCTCTGTCTCCCTGTTCCCCTCCTGGTGGTCTCCGCTTCCTCCTCTTCTCACTTTCCCTCTCTTTCCTTCCTCTGTGTCTTCCTTCTTCTGTAGGAGCCTCAAACCACCGTCATCCATAACCCAGTGGACGGGATTAAGGTACTGCCCCACTTTCCTCCTCCCGCTTTCCCCAGGCAGGAGGCTCCAGGCCAGGAGAGAGGTCTGGGGCAGCATTTGTGCCAGAGTGGAGGGCAGATGTCCCATGCCCTGGCCGCCCCTCCCCGCAGTACGGTAGGGCCCCAGTCCGTCTTCGTGGGCAACAACAGGACAGACTGGCTCAGGCCCCAGGCGCGCCCCTGGAGGTGCTTGGCACAGTTGCGCCCGGTCCCCATGTGGCCGACACTCTCAGACCAGGGCTCTGCGTGTCCCACCTACGGCAGGCAGTAGGGCTTCCTGAGGTCTGGAGCAGGGCCTGCATCTCAGGAGCTGCATCCTTGGCCCTCCTGGCTGTCCTCCACCCCACCTCCCTCACGTGGCCCCCAGTGCTTCCTGCTGAGCAGACCCTCCCTCCTCTGCTCCCCTCTCTGCTCTGGCCATCAGCTCCCATCACATTGGCATCATCACTCTGGGGCCAGGGAAGGGGCTGGCTCTCTGGGGTGGTGGGAGGGATGGGGCCAGCAGCCAAGCCATTTCCAGGACTTCCAAAACAGCGCCACTACACCCAACACGGCCCTCCAGCCCAGCTCCCACCTAGGCCTGGGCTCCTTACAGAGCCCCAGAGTGCCTCTGTGGGGACCCCCCACTTCCTTCTGGCCAGTGCCACCACCCAGCCCATCATCAGAAGACATCTTTCTCCATGGCAGGGACCAGGGGGTCCAAGGGGCACCCATGGTGCTAGGCACCAGGGCCTGGGCATTCTTCCCATCTGGCAGCTGGGGATGGGTGCCCCTGGGACCCGTGTGTGTCTGGGGTGGGTCATGCTCTCTGCAGGACTCCTAAACAACCTTCTGGGCTGTGGTGAACTCTGAGCCTGCACCTAAAGACCTGTAGTTCTGGTCTAGGGCCTCCAAGCAGTGTCCAGGCAGTGTCCAGACCAGGGGGCGGTCCCCCAGGGACCTTGTAAGATGTTTCCTCTGAGGAGCAGAGCAGGCCTCCTGGGGACCTGGGGGATGGTCTTTTGAAGGGCAGCAGCCCTGGAGCAGGGTGGGAGAGTCTGGGGCCACCTCTGCCCTCTAAGGCCACCTGAGAGGTGAGGCCGGGGCCTGACTGGACGTCCAGTCCCAGAGGGGCAGGTGCCCTGAGGGAATGTGGGCGACAGGAATGCTCTGCCTGGGGCCAGGCCAAGGTTCCTGGAGCCCTGTGCGGATCTGCAGAGCTCCTGGGAACGCCTCACCCTGTATTTTGGATGACACCGGCTGCTGCTTCATTGGAACCAGCCAGTCCCATTGTGTTTTACGTCTTGGAATTTCAAAAAGCCCATTTTCCTCTCTTGTTAAAGAGTCAGCTGAGCATACCAGTCTCTCTGCCAGGCTCATCTTGCTGGGAGAAGTGGAGCCCTCATGTGTTGGGGATGCAGGGTGGCCACAGCACTAGGGTGGCAGGGCCGGCCTCGGACTCCGTGCCAGCCTGTGCTGGCTGCCGTGAGAATGCACCCTGGTGAGGGGCGCCCTCCCAGGGACCAGCACAGAACTGGGTGTCTTCTCCGGTCACTGCCGCATGAGGTCCACAGAGCTGGGGCCCTGCAGCCGCCAGAGGGCATGTCCCCTGAGCCCCTGGCCTTTAAGCCCCGTGGAAGCAGCCGAGGCAGAGATCAGCTTCAGAGCCTGGGCTGGTCCTGACACAGGCCCAGCCCTGTCCACCTGCCCTCAGCCACGTCCCACCTATCCTTGGCCGCATCCTGACCCGCTGCCTCCCGTGTTTCCTCAGGAGTCTTCTGACAGTGCCAATACCACCATAGAGGATGAAGACGCTAAAGGTACCTGCACTTGAGTCCTTGCCCCCCCAGCGGCCTTGGCATTGCTGGGTTGCTCTTTGAGGTGGGTGGGACTTGGGCAGGGTCAACTCTCCTGCGACGCCTAGTTTATGCATGTGTTGAGGGGCTCAGGGACCCTGTAGCTGTAATCCTGCTCCAAGCCTGGGTGTCAGGCCTGCCCAGAGCGGAGAAGCATGGCAGAGATGACCGACAGCTGGGCAGTCTCGGTCACCGCATCCAAGTGAGGAAGCCACGGCTTTGCATGGAGGCAGGTTCTCCACACCAGGACCCTCACGGGGAAACAGGCCCATGGGTAGAATTTGTTCCAAGATGCTGTCCTTGTCTTAAAGCTCCTTAAGCTTGCGTTTCTGTCCAGCATGCACTTGCCAAGTGGCCGGGCAGCTGGGTGAGTGTTTCCGTGTTTGCCTTTGCTTAGCCAGGAGTGTCCTGCTGCGGTGGGTTTCTGCACCACAGATTCCAGGGCCCCCTCCCTTGCTCACCCAGGCCAATGTCTTGTGTGTTCCCCAAGAGGCCCCCAGGGCACCAGGCACTGGGGCATGCTCCATGGATTCTGCCGCCTCCAGACCACCCACATGGGGCCTCCTGACCCTCATCGCTCACACGGTCACCTAATAAGCCTTATGCTGTTCTCAGGGCTACCCTGGTGCCCAAAAAGGGTCAGCCACTCTGCCAGTTTAGGGGAGAAAACTTCTCACCTGTCCAAAGCATAGCCTTGCTCCTGCCCGGCCTACCCAGCTATGACACTGTCCCTGAGCAGAGATGAGCACAGGACTTTGGGCCCTGGATGCCGGAGAGTGGGTGTTTGTGTGATTCCCCTGCAGTCTGGAACAGGCCCCAAAGGCAACAGCATGAAGGCTGTCCAGAGGTTCTCCATCACCCTCAGCCGAGTGGGGTGCTGAGCAGTGAGGGAGGGGACCTGGGAGGGGGGCCCAGCCTGGATCCTGCAGGGGAGAAGAGAAGACAGCCAGAAGCCAGCAGCTGTGGCTCAGATCTGAGCCCGAGCAGCCTCTCGAGGTGGAGGCAGACACCCCCCACCCCACCCCGTGCAGAAAGAAGCCTTGCCAGCCTGCCCTGAGGCTGGTACAGAGTCCAGGCAGGCTCAGTGGCCATCATGCCCCTACGATGACTGTCACTCCCTCTCCGTGCGCCTGGCCTCTGCTGGCTCTGGCCAGGGGTGGTCACAGCACTAGGGTGGCAGGGTGGCCTCTGACTCTGCGCCAGCCTGCACTGGCCTGTGCTGCCCTGGCCTCTGCTGGCTCTGGCTCTGGCACCGGTCCCGTGTTGGCTCCTTCAGCCTTCACATACCTGCTGCGGCCACCACAGGCCCAGGACCCCCACAGGTGGCCACCCCACCTCCACCCCAGGAGCCCCAGGTATCCAGCTGTCACCCCCTCCCTCCCTCCTGGCCTCCCCCTGTCCTTCTCCAGTTGCCTTCTTTTCCTGCGGGCGCACCACCCACCTGCCTGCCTCACCTGTTCCGCCTCAGCCCCCAGGGTCCCCGACATCCTGAGCTCAGTGAGGAGGGGCTCGGGAGCCCCAGAAGCCGAGGGGCCCCTGCCCTGCCCATCTCCGGCTCCCTTTAGCCCCCTGCCAGCCCCATGTAAGTAGCCTGGGTCCTGCTGCTGTGGGGGTCATGTTGGAGGGCTGGCAACCCCCTAGAGGGGCCACTCCAGAGCCGAGGGCAGGCTGAGCGTGGACCCTGGCTCCAGCCTCATCACCCCACAATCCCTCACTGGGGCTTTCCAGGGTGGCCCCAGCCCATCGAGCCCCACCTCTTTGTGAGGAGGGCCCTGGACCACTTTCCTGCTCAAGGCCACTGGGCAGGATGGGAGGCCCTGGAGGCTCGGGCCTCAATTCCAGTCTTCAGGGTCGGTGCAGGCCTCACTCCACCTCAGCTTGCGGGCGGGGGGGCTCCCTGCTATTGAGGCAGGCTCTGATTCAGGGCCTGATCCCAGGGCCCAAGGGGTCTAGAACACGGGACCCCTCCCACTGGCCTCCTCCGCCTTGCCGCCGCCTCGTGTGTCTGTCTGCCTCATGTTCACGTCTCATCTGTTCCACCCCAGCCCCCAGGATCTCTGACATCCTGAACTCTGTGAGAAGGGGTTCAGGAACCCCAGAAGCCGAGGGCCCCCTCTCAGCGGGGCCCCCGCCCTGCCTGTCTCCGGCTCTCCTAGGCCCCCTGTCCTCCCCGTGTAAGTAGTGGCCCCCAGGCCTGCCGCCTCTGCTGCCGGACAGCTCCCTGCGAATGGCCGGCGCTCAGCAGCTTCCCACCTGCATGCACGGCCCAGCTACCCTGCCCCGGCGCCGCAGCCTGGAGTCCTGCCCTGGCGGGGCTTCCTGTGGGCTCCCATGCTAACCAGCAGGGCAGCTCCTGGCTTCTCCCTAAGGGGCCCAGACCCCTCCACGGCTCCTGCTCCCACTGCCACTCCCCGCTCGCTGTCCAGCCCCAGGCCCCTCTCCAAAATGTCTGTCCCAGCCCTGGGCAGCCCTGGCCCCTCCGAGGCCCCCCATGCCCCTAGGCCCTCTCTGCTGATCACTGTCCCAGCCCCACAGACTTCACACCCACCCAGGGGCCCTGCCCATGGTGCCCAGGAGCTGCACTCAGGGCCACCCTGGTTCCTGATGTGGCCCCAACCCCTGAGCACCCTCCCTCAGTCTAGGAGGCTGAGGAAGGTGCCAAAACTGGAACCCCGACCAGGGTCTCTGGAGCTCACCAACAAGGGGATAGTACGGAGAATCATAAGCCTGGCCTCTGCTGACCTGGGCTGTCCTCATGGGGCCAGGCCAGGCCTCCTCTGTAACGCCCGTGACTCCCTCCTCTCCCTGTAACCCCGTCCAGCGTTCCTCAAGGGCCACTTACCTGACAGCTTCTTGCTGGCCAGCAGCCTCTCCCTGGAGGGTGCCCTCTGCCCCCAGCAGCTTCAGCCCACGCCACCCGACAGCCAGAGCATCTGCCCTTCACTCCTGCAGCCTCCTCTCCACGCACCACGCTGTCCGCAGCAGCACCCTCTGTCCCCCTGTCTCCCTCCGTCCCCCCATATCCCCCTCGGTCAGCCTACAACCTCTCCACGTCCCCCTAAGTCCACGCTCTATCCCTACATCCCCCTCTGTCCCCCAAATTCCCCTCTTTCCCTCATTTCCATTTTCCTCCCCAAACTCTGCTCTGCCCCTCACATTCTCCCTCTGTCCCCCACACCCTCCTCTGTCCCCCAGACTCTCCCTCTGTCCCCCACACCCTCCTCTGTCCCCCATATACCCCTCTGTCCCCCACACCCACCTTGGTCCCTTCACGCCCTTTTCTGTCCCCCACACCCCCTCTGTTCCCTACACTCTCCCTCTGTCCTCCAGACCCTCCTCTGTCCCCCACACTCCCTCTGTCCCCCACACCCCCTGTCCCCCACACTCTCCCTCTGCCCCCCAGACCCTCCTCTGTCCCCTACACTCCCTCTGTCCCCCATATCCCCCTCTGTCCCCCACACCCTCCTCTGTCCTCCACCCCCTGCCCCCCATACCCCCTTCTGTCCCCCACACTTCCTCTGTCTTCCACACCCCCTCCTGTCCCCCACACCCCCTCTGTCCCCCAGACTCTCCCTCTGTCCCCCACACTCCGTCTGTCCCCCACACCTCCTGTCTTCCACACCCCCTTCTGTCCCCCACACCCCCTCTGTCCCCCATACTCTCCTCTGTCCCCCACCTCCCCCTCTGTTCCCCACACCGCCTTCTGTCCCCCACACCCCCTCTGTCTTCCACTTCCCCTCTGTCCCCCACATCCCCCTCTGTCCCCTGCACCCTCCTCTGTCCCCTGCACCCTCCTCTGTCCCCTGCACCTCTCTCTGTCCCCCACATCCCCCTCTGTCCTCCACACTCCCTCTGTCCCCCACATCCACCTTGGTCCCCTCACGCACCCCCATCCCCCATGACCCCTTCTGTCCCCCACACCCCCTCTGTCTTCCACACCCCCCTCTGTCCCCCACACCCACCTTGGTCCCCTCATGCCCCCCATCCCCTACACCCCCACTTTGTCCCCCCACATGCCCCTCTGTCCCCCACGTTCCCTTCTGTCTCCCACGTCTCCTCCATTTCCCGTTTCCCTCTCTGTCCCCCAAGCTCCCCTCCATCCCCCACATCCCCTTCTTTCCCCTATATCCCCTCTGTCGGCCCAGGTCCACCATCTTCCCCCCACACCCCCCCATTCTCCCTTCCTCCCCTCTGTCCCCTTGTGCCCCATCCCCCACATCTGCCTCTGTGCCCCTCAATCTCTGGCTTGGCTGTCTGCCCATGGTTTCTCTCCTGCGTGCCCCCCGTGCCTGCCTTGTGTTCACGTCTCGTCTGTTCCGCCCCAGCCCCCAGGATCTCTGACATCCTGAACTCTGTGAGGAGGGGCTCAGGGACCCCAGAAGCCGAGGGCCCCTCGCCAGTGGGGCCCCCGCCCTGCCCATCTCCGACTATCCCTGGCCCCCTGCCCACCCCATGTAAGTAGCACCTTGAGTGGCCGTGGCAGCGGCTGCCCGGAGGGGCTCGGGGCGTGCGAGCCTGGCAGTGGTGCTCTGGGAAGGGCCATTCTTGCGGAGGAGGGCGGGGCACAGGATCCCTCTGCTGGGTCCCAGGGAATTGCTTTGAAGCACATGAAGGTGCCACTGGGTCTCAGAAAATGGAGGTTATGGTTATGAAGTGTGTATGACATATGTGTATAGGAAGAGCGTCCGAAAGAGCAGGTTTGTTGCCGACCCCAGCATTCGCAACCCTGAGGTCCACAGCTTTCTCCTGATGGGAGGGGAATGGGTGGCAAAGGGTCTGCGCGTGTGGCAAGGGCTAGCACGCCAGGAGCTGCTGGCTTGGGTCAAGGTGGACCTGCTGGGCCGGGACAGAAAAGTGTCAGTCCCGGCCTGAGACGCTCTAGCATTAGAGCTGTCCAAGTCCAGACAGCAGGGAGCAGGTGGGGATCGGGAGGCGCGGATCTGGGGGGCAGCTGGGGCCAGGCTGAAACAGAGCGGGCGGGACAGGAAGCACAGGCTGGGCAGCCTCCCCGGCCAGGGAGGAGCCAGGCTGGGCCACCTCCCGGTCTGTCTGCCGACTACCCGCAGTATCACTTACAGGGATGGATGACATCCCAGGGCTGCTGCCACCCCCACCTGTGGGGAGACACCAGACTGGGGGTGGTGTGGAGATACTCTTAGAGAAGAGGCTGCTGGGCCACGGGCTCGGCATGGCAGGGCAGTGGCTAGGTAAGTACTTGAGGGACAGGTGGGGTCTGCTTGCCACCGTCCCCTCTGCAGGCTGGGCCTGGGGGCTGCTGCAGGCGGCCAGGGCAGAAGGGTGTGGGGAGAGTGAACCCACAGGAGCAGCGGCTCGAGGAGGGGGATGCAGGCTGCAGGCTCAAAGGGGCACTGGATCCACCCTGGGTGCCCGAGAGAGCAGGGGGCAGCCCCTGGAGGGGTACTCACCCCCAGAGCTTCTGTGGTCGGCTGAGGACCCCCAGCAGGGGTTGACTGAGGGGATCAGAGGCAAGCAGCTGAGGGGAGAGGCCAGGTTCTTGATGCTGATAGGGTCGGGGTGCCTGGGCGACCAGAACTCAAGGAGGGAGGCATGGGGAGGGGCCGCCGTGCAGCTGGGGTGGGTGCACCGCAGAGCCTCTGGGAGTGGTCAGAACCCCCGACACCTGCCACTTCTACAGCAGCTCATCTGATTTTAAGGGGCTTGCTGCCCTTGCAGAAGTGGAGGGGTGTGCCCAAAGGAGCCTGCCTGGAAGGTCACCCCATCAGGTTGGCATGACCCCAGCCCAGGACTGCAGCCTGCCCTCAAGGTCTGTGCAGTATCTGGGGTGAGTCCTCTGAGGACAGGGCCCAGGGTGGGTGTGGAGTGGCCAGCTCGGGGCTCGGTGTCCAGGCTCACCTTCAGGGGCCACAGCACAGACCTGCCCTTCCAGAGTCTTCCCTGAGCTTGGCTGGGGAGGAGGGGGCTGCAGGAAGGAGCTGTGAGCAGGGCAGGATGGAGATTCGTGTGGCCCTCCTGGGAGGGGCTGGGCAGGGCTGGGAAAGGGGTGGGTGAGATGTTCCGGAACTCAGGGAAAGGAAGAGTCTGGGTACTGCCCTGGGGGCACCTGGGCCCAGGTGGCAGGTGGCCAGCTTTCTGCCTCCTTTCCACCTCCTTTCTCCAGAAGGCACCCACCAGCTGTGTAAATAGGGCAGGTGCCCACGGCCCGCCTCAGGCCCCGTCTCCTCCCCACCCACGCTCTCTAATCGCGGATTATACACAATCCAGCCTGATCCCTGGGCAGCTGCCCTCCCTCCCGCAGCCACCTCTGGCTCTGAGAGATGGGCTTGGGGCCAGCCTGGGGTCCCAGGAGTCCAGGCCAGGATGAGAACCTGCTCTGACCCCACCTGGACGCATTAGGCCTGCCTGGACCTGTTGCCTCACCCCAAGAGAGCCACAGGCAATGCAAAGGCTCCTGTTCATGTCAGGGCACCTGGAAGGCCTGACTTGCAGAGGCTCTTGGCTCGTGCAGACCCCTCCAAGCCCAGGCCCTGCCCACCACCTCCCCTTTGTCTCTGGAACTGCCAGGACAGCTTGTCCTCAGCCAGCAGGTTTCCCGACCCGGGCACCTCTTCATGTTGGGCCCCCCTCCTTTCCCTCCATCAGGGATCATGCCCTTCTTCAGGGGCCTGGATATCAAGGACACAAAAGCTCCCATGTGCTATGTGGGGAGGCAGAGTGGGGGCTGGGTTGAGCTGGGGTCTGGGCAGCGCCATTCCGCAGGGCAGGGGCAGCCTAGGCTTCCCATCTGTGGAATGGGTGGGTGGGTCTCACAACGGACCTGCTTCCCGTACTTCAGCACGGTTACCACTCTTGATTGGAACTCTGACCATGCATCTCCTCTTCTGTTTACTTCACGCTTTCTCTTCCCATCAACTCCCATTTTAATTACAATTTGTTTAAAAGCACTGCATATTACTTCATTAAACAGAAGATTAGTTTCACTTACCATTAGTGTAAGGTGACTATAGAACCAAAGCAGACTGGAAACCAAATGACATAATGTCATTCTCTTCTCCATTCCAGCTGCCTGCTGCTGTGCGCCTGAGAACCCCTGTGGAGTGGGAGGGGCAGCTGTCTCTGTACATTAGAAAGGGAGGTTAACTAAGTGACAGGAGGTGTTTGGGACATGTGGACACCAGACTTCTCTCTTGATGCAAGGAGGGCAGAGCCAGGCAGCCTAGTGGGGGCTGGCTTGGGGGCTGCTGGAAGGACTGGCTACAGGTGGAAGAGAGGTCAGACCTGAAGCTTGGGGCCACCTCCAGGAAAGGACAGGTGAAAGTGGAGGCATGAGGCAGGGGAGAGGCAGGTGCCAGGCAGAGGGTGGAGAGGAGGCAGGAACATAGCAGCTGGGGCGGGGGCGGGCCTCAAGTGTCATATGCTACTTTCCTGGGGCCCAGGGGCAAGGACAGGAACAGCCACAGCATGTGTTGGGACAGAGCCCTGTGCCTTCCTAGAGCTGGGCAGGTGGAATGGGGCAGGAATGGGACTCGTGGTGGCTGCAGCAGGAACTGGAGGGGAAGGGGCTTCTGGATCCTGCAGCCTACCTTCCTAGAGGCCAGCTTTCCGGGGTCCACCAGGTGGGTGGGAACTGGGCTTGTGTAGCAAGACTGCCCTGAGGACCATCCATGACATGGTCTAGATGAAAGTTAGGAAAGAAAGGGAGACAAGCTGGCAGCAGAAGTACAGCTGGGTCAGGAGCAAGGGCCTTTCCAGATAGGGACAACCCAAGAGTGCACATGTGCCCACGCCACACAACACAGGCACACACGACACGTGCACGCTCATAGGCACTGCACACACACATGCACAGGTGCTCATGCATATGTATGAGCTTCATCTACACACATTCACATGCCGTCCTGCTTATGTGCATGTTTCCATACATGCACATGAATGCACAATCACGTGTACACACATGCATGTGATCACATACATGAACATGTGTGCACCCCACTCCTCAGGTGCCATCGGGCTCCTCCTGCTGTCACTGTGCAGCAGGGGACATGAGGCCCCAGAGCAGACAGGTGCAGCACAGGCGTTCCCAGGCAGTGCCCCACACACATGCATGAGCACACCCGGGCATGTGGCGCCTCCTTTGTGGACTCAGTCACCTGCCAGGTGGGCTCCCTGGTGGTGTGAGCTCCCAGAGGTCTGGCGAGAGAGATAAAGGCAACCCCACCACCAGGCGTGCTGAGAATTCCCTCTTCTGGCTGGGCACAGTGGCTCATACCTGTAATCCCAGCACTTTGGGAGGCCGAGGTGGGCAGATCACTTGAGGTTAGGAGTTTGAGACCAGCCTGGCCAATATGGTGAAACCTCATCTCCACTAAAAATATACACACACAAAAATTAGCTGGGTGTGGTGGTGTGCACCTGTAGTTCCAGCTACTCGGGAGGCTGAGGCAGGAGAATCGCTTGAACCTGGGAGTCAGAGACTGCAGTGAGCCGAGATCATGTCACTGCACTCCAGCCCGGGTGACAGAGTGAGACTCCATCTAAAAAAAAAAAAGAATTCCCTCCTCTGGGAATTTAGACCACAGACAGGTTGCATGTATGTGGCCGTTGGAGGCAGCACTCACAGCAAAGAGTGGAAACGTCACCACAGGGCCTGCCTTCTGGTGAAAATGGTGTCCTGCAGGGCGGGCAGCTGTTTGAGGGCAGGTGTCCCAGGTGCGGCCTGCAGCAGCCTGAGGGTCACAGAGCGCAGTGCTGGGAGTGCAGAGACTTCCCCCACAGGGAGAGTTCCCAGGAACCTGCTTCCGGTGCACTTCTGGGGGTTTGAGTTTTTTCCACGGACGAATTACTTTGAGAAACCACTGTTACTCGTGTGTATAGGTGAGCGTGCGTGTGCATGTGTGTTCTGTGTGTGAGTGTGCATGTATGTGCGTGCCTGCGTATATATCCTCGCAGATACGGCTAGGGACCTCACTCAGGACAGTAGTTCTGCCTGAGGAGAGTGAATGCGGCAAGATTGAGGAGAACACAGGCATCTTCAAACTACATGTGCGGTGCTTTATTTCTTTAAAAATGCGTCTAAAGCAAATAGGAAAATGTTAAGATTTGAATCCGTAGAGTGTGGGTTCTATTATTCTCTCCACATCTTCCATACGTTTAAAATCTTTTGCAATGAAAATAAGCTGTAGTTAAAGCAGCAATGCAGGCTGCCAGTGAGCGCCCCGGAGGCCAGTGAGGACCAGCATGGCTGGGTGGCCTGTTGGAATCCAAGGGGGGCGGGCAGGAGCTGCAGGCAGGCGCCCGGGAGTAGCCCGGGCATGGGGGTGCGGGGCAACAGGGATGTCTGCAGGGGTAGCATGTGGGCCCCGGACTGCAAGCAGGTGGAGCCAGCCGGATGCGGCTCCTATGAGAAAAGCGGGGAACAAGAGACCACGCTCGTTCTTCCTGCTGCGGGGACAGCCCTGGTCATCGCTCCGGGGAACCCTGCAGCCTGCGCCGCACGTGGCCGCCCCCTGCTGCTTCCTCCTCCCCGGCCTCCGGGTGGCCTTGCTGACGGCTCCTTCTCTGAGGCAGGTCTCTGCCTTCTCGCCTGGTGCCTGCACTCAGTAGCCCCCTCACCAGAGCTGCTGGGTGAAGGAAGCACTAAGAACCCAAGGCTCGGGAGGAGAGTGGGGCCGGGAAGCTGCAGGGAAGCGCAGGGCCAGGCCTGGTGGGCCCAGGGGCTGGCTCACGGGAGGGCAGGAGGGAGACTGTGGCGGACAGCACGTGGGGCCAGGAGGTGACCTCCAAGTGGATTGTGGGTGGGTTTTTTGTCCTCTTTCTGCATTTTCCAGGCATTTTGTAATGTGGATAGAATATTTCTGTTCTTCAAAAATACTTTAGTTAAGAAAAATAAGATGGAAGCTGTTGCACTTGAAAATGAGGAAGCCACTGGTGATGCAGGGGGGGCGGCGGAGAGGACCTCTTCTGCAAATAGCGGCAGGAACACGGCATGGATGCAGCTCGCGCTCCCCCAGGCCCTCCCCTGGGCTGTGTGGAGGGGTCCGGGGGGAATGGGCCAGCGCCCAGTGGTCACCTGGCCATGTCTCCCCACAGCCCGGAAGCAGGAGATCATTAAGACCACGGAGCAGCTCATCGAGGCCGTCAACAACGGTGACTTTGAGGCCTACGCGTGAGTCCCTGGGGCTGGGGGGGGGCTGTGCAGGACAAGGATGTGGGACCCTTGGGGGGGCCTGCTCAGAGTCAGGGGTCCACGGGGCCCCTCCTCACTTGGATTTGGCCCCCAGGAAAATCTGTGACCCAGGGCTGACCTCGTTTGAGCCTGAAGCACTGGGCAACCTGGTTGAAGGGATGGACTTCCACAGATTCTACTTCGAGAACCGTGAGTGAGGAAGCCCGGGTGGGCATGAGGGGGCGGTGCCCCCAGGAGAGCCTCTCGGCCCCTCCCAGGGACAGCATGGTGGCTGCCTATGGAAGCCCTGTCCCCTCTGTGCCCAGGGTTGGCCAGCCACCTCTCCCCCGCCAGAGGCCATACCCAGCCCCCAGAATCCCACTCTTGGAGGGGCCCATGCTGCTCCCAGGAGAGCCGAGCCTCCCCAATAAGGGGAGTTGAGAGAGGGAAAGGATTAGGCTGGTGGGGTGGAAGACGGGCACCAGGGCAGTCATGGTAACCCGAGACCCCCGCCCCGCCTGCTGTCCACAGTGCTGGCCAAGAACAGCAAGCCGATCCACACGACCATCCTGAACCCACACGTGCACGTCATTGGAGAGGATGCCGCCTGCATCGCTTACATCCGGCTCACGCAGTACATTGACGGGCAGGGCCGGCCCCGCACCAGCCAGTCTGAGGAGACCCGCGTGTGGCACCGCCGCGACGGCAAGTGGCAGAACGTGCACTTCCACTGCTCGGGCGCGCCTGTGGCCCCGCTGCAGTGAAGGTGAGTGTTCTGTGCTAAGTGACAGCTGGGGCAGAGGGGTGGCGGTGGTGTGAGTGGCTGCAGCCTGGGGAGGCGATGGGGAGCGGTGGGGCCTGTGCAGAGCCATGCCTGGGAAGTCCCTGAGCTTTCCTGGTGAGGCCACAGGAATGATGTCAAATTAGGGACCACGGCAGGCTGGGTGTGGCAGGCCTCCCCAGAGGACTGGGGAGCTGGTGAGGGCCTGAGCAGTCCACACTGGCCAGAGCTGGGTGGGTTGCAGGTGGATGGGCCCCGGGCAGCACAGTCCTGGGCACCATGCCCTGTTTGTGAGGACTGTTAGAGCCCCAGATGGGCGTTCCCCAGGTGGTGGGTGCAGCGGGCCCAGAGCCCAGTTTTACAGGGATAGTAGTAATTGGGTTGGGCACCTTGAACCTCTCTCCCGAGTGGGCCCTTTTCTGGACTTTAACCCTCTCTGCAGTGCCGCATGGCAGACAGCAGAGCCTGGGGGTGGATGGGAGAGGGGGCTGCTGAGGAGCTGACCCACCCGCCCCATTTCAGAGCTGCGCCCTGGTTTCGCCGGACAGAGTTGGTGTTTGGAGCCCGACTGCCCTCGGGCACACGGCCTGCCTGTCGCATGTTTGTGTCTGCCTCGTTCCCTCCCCTGGTGCCTGTGTCTGCAGAAAAACAAGACCAGATGTGATTTGTTAAAAAAAAACAAAAAAAAAAAAAAAAAAAACAAGATGACGACGACAACCACAAAAAAAATTGACATCAGATGAAATGAAAAAAAAAAAAAACAAAAAAAACTAAAGGAAGGAAAAAGCTGTAAAAATCACTGGCATTCGTGGGGCCACTCCCCACCCAAGCTCCACGTGTGTCCGTCTGTGCTCCTGGCCTCTGGGGGACCAGCTGGGACATGAACTTGTCTGCCAGGCCCCCGTCGCGTGCTGAACGGTGTTAGTTTGTAGGTAACGCACACACCCCACACCTAAGGTGTCTGCATCCTCCTGCCAACGCATGGGCTCCACGTGGTGTGCTCGCTGGCTGTCGTGACTGTCAGCTGTCTCTTGGGAGGGGCTGTGGGGGCCCGCTGGGCTGCCTCCTTTCCCGCTAGTTGTGCCTGAGAGTTGCTGTTGTTCCTGCTTTCCCTTCCCTTCCTTTCATCCCCTGAAGGGCTAGGTGTGGGTTTTCCGTGCCCGGTATCCCCACACACCCAGCACGGACAACCCTTCGGCAGAGCCCAGGCCGGCCCCTCACCCCCTGGAGTATTGAAACTGGAGTCCCGTCCCCAAGGCCTTCAGAGATGCCCCTACACACCCAGGGCTCCAGCTCTGGTCCTTCTGGGGGAGTAAAGTGCAAAGAGGGGCACAGCTTAGTTTTGGGCCTCTCGCCGAGCAAGAGACAGCACTGCTGGCTACAGCTCCAACACAGCCAGCTGTGGCAAGAGGACTCTGCCTGGGCTGGCCCCCCTCCTGTGTGAGGTGTCTGTCCCTTCTCTGCTGGCCAGCAGCAGATGCACTGGCAGCTCCCAACCCTGTTTCCGCCCCTCGGCCCTCCCCCAGCCTGTTCGGCTTCTCTGCAGCCCGCAAGGGGGAGCAGACTTTTGACAAAGGACTGCGGGCCTCGCTCAAGTCCCTGAGCCCCCAGCTGAAGCTGGGAGGGGAGGCCAGGCTTTGTGTCTGGGCATATTCGTCTGCTGATGGGGTTTGGGGAAGCCTGGGGCTTGGGGTTTGGTCGGGTGGTGCAGCTAGTGGCAGAGCGGGATCAGAGGTGGTGGCTGCCCAGCTTCTGGGCTGAGACAAGGGTCTGTGCAGGGGTTTACTGAAGTGGGAGTGCCTTTGGAATCTGGGCCGGGAGCAGAAGGGAGCAAAAGCTACAGTGGGAGCCAGCCTAGGGCACATGGGAGGCGTGAGGGCAGTGCTGCCCGTGCAGTGTCAGGTGTGCCAGTGCCTTGGCGGGCTGCAGTGCGTGTGAGGGCACCTTCTAGGTGGGCCAGGGATGCAGCTATGGAGATAAGGCGGGCTGGGGACAGAAACAGGTGGGCACAGGGCCCAGGACACCAGCGGATGGAGGGCAGGGTCTAGCCCTGTGCTCCTGAGCGTCGGCTGCCTGGGTTCGAGGCGGTGGGTCCCCGGCCCCTTGTGATGGTGTGTACCATGGGGGAGCTCGGGGACAGGGCAAGCCCGAGCATGGTGGGGCTGCAGGGTGGGTCTGAAGCCAGGTTGGGTGGGGGTGGTCACAAGCCCTGACTGCAGAGGGTCAGGGGCTCCTGCCCCAGTGCCTGCCCACTTTCAATTCACATTGTTTTCAACAAGGATTTTCTTTATCTTCCCCTACAAATCAAGCCAAGGGAGGGGCACAGAATGGGGAACAGGACACAGGATCCTAAACTCCAAGGGGACTGTCCACCGATGAACACTCAGAGTGGACACCATCTTCCGTCCACGCTGTGCCCAGGACAGCTGTCCCCATCCATGAACACAGGGTAAACATCTGCCGGGCTCCGCACCAGTGGCTCCCTGGGCCATGGGACAGCGGCAGGGCTCACCACGGACAGCACGTGGCCCAGCAGCCGGCCACCCTGGCGTCCTGGGGCCTCCTCCCCTCCTCTCCCTCTCACCTTGTCACCTCCACGGAGCTGCCTGTCTGGGATAATTTGGGGATTTTTTTTCTGGGGGATAATTCTTTTGCATGACCCCTAAAGAGCAAGCCACACCGGTCTGCTAGCTAGGTGTCCGCGGTGTGGTGGTGGCGGCCGCTGGCCAGCGCTGCAAGGGGTCGGCTGCCCACGGTGCTGGCTGGCCTCCCCTCCTCTCTCTTTTTGCTGAGTTTCATTGTCTTTTCTTTCTGAGCCTTGTAAGTGTACAAAAATTATTCTTATTTTGTTCTGTCTCGGGAAACTGCAAATAAAAGAAAAACAGGACAAACTGCTTCAAGTGCAGCTGGGTGCTTTAGCTGGAATCCTGCCGACCTCCTGCGCCAAAATACAGACTCAAGCCCGGTCCCTGGCCAAGACCCTACTTGGGCCCCTCCTCCAATGAAAGGTAGTGCTATGGGAGCCCTGAGCTGGCCCTGACAGTCCTGAGCCCCTCTAGGGTGAACGGCTCACCCCAGGTAGGGCACTAGTCATAGATCATAGCTCTACCAGCTGTCTCCACCTCTTCCTCTGGTCCTCTGAAGTCTTCTGGGCCCAGCGCTGTCCACCCTGAATGCTGGAACTGAAACTGGATCCCAGCCCCCAACACCCCTGACCTCTCCATTCACCCCCGGTGGCCGCTAAGGATGTGGCCAGGGCAGCCTCTGGGCAGGAAGGAGCCCCAGGACCAAGACCTCTGGCTGTCCTGCTGTTTCCTTCCGCCCCTGCTACATGTATTGGCTATTCTGGATGCTGAGGACACACAGTGACCACAGAGCCGGGCTCCACCCCAGTGGATTATGCAGACAGATGGCACGCAGGCCTGTGTGGACATCAGCCTCGGGCACCAGACATAGGCAAGGCGCAAGGTGATACAGTAGGCAGCCACCATGGGGGCCAGGAGGCTCCAGCAGAGGCCACACAACCAGCCCAGAATCCAGGACAGAGAGCTGGAATGGAGACAGGGAAGCCAGATACCAGGCCAGACTGGCCAGGTGCTACAGGCCTGTGGGCCAGGCCAGGCTTGGGGACTTCGTCCTGGGTGTGAAGGAGACAGGCACCCCTGAGGCCTTCCCTCTGCATCTCCAGCCCAAGCTAAGCGCAAACTCTTAGGTTGGAGTAAGGAGTAACCCCCTGCCAAGTTTCTCCTGTCCTCAGGCTCCACCCACCACCTATGCTGCCTGGCCCCATGGGGCACACGCTCAGGCCCAGCCTGGGAAAGCAACTGCACCTGCCTGTGCTATGCTGGCCCTTCTCAGCCTCAATGCCCTCCTCCCTCCCCGACGCACCCTCGTGGCCCCCGCTGGGCCCCCTGATGCACCCTCATGTCTCCATGGCAACCTGCTCAGAGTGTGGCCCTGCCCTTGGCTCCCCTCCACACCTGTGTCCCAGGCAGTGCCACGGCACTTTCCTAAACAGAAGGATGGGCTTCAAAACAGTCCCAGACACTAAACACACCTGCATTTTGGGTCCAAGTAACTTCTGACAAGACGAGTGCCCCTACACACTCTCAGTCCTATCCACTATGGGCAAGGAGCCTGAAGGATCCCCCAGAACTGGCTAAAGCCCTCAGTCTCCTCCTCCACCCTGAGCACCTTCACGCGGCAGAGTGGCCCTGGATGTCAGCTTCTTGCTCCCCATGGTCTGCACCTGGACAGGTGCTCTCAGGTGTGTGGGTGGGCAGGTGGCAGGTCCCAAGAGCCAGGTGCAAAGAATCTAGGCCAGTGCCCACGAGTGCTGCAGTGTCTGTCCCCAGCATGGTATCTAGGGCTCCACTTGCCTATCAGCTGTAATCGGAGGAGGCTTTCCAGGCCAGGCCTCCCCCAGGAAGGCTGCAGGCACTGCGGATCGTGCGCCCTCACATGCATTATTCCTGAGGCCCTTCTGCAGATGCCATCAGGGCAGCAACTCTGATGAGGTATTAGGGCACAGCACACAGGGCTAAGCCACCCTGTACTGGGCCAAGCGCTACAGGCAAAAAGGACACCACCGACGGGCATTTCATTCATCGCTTTTATTTTTATATATTTTTGAGAGGGAGCCTCACTCTGTCGCCCAGGCTGGAGTGCAGTGGCGCGATCTTGGCTCACTGCAACTTCTCCCTCCTGGGTTCAAGTGATTCTCCTGCCTCAGCCTCCCGAGTAGCTGAGATTACAGGTGCCCGCCACCATGCCCAGCTAACTTTTGTATTTTAGTAGACATGGGGTTTCACCATGTTGGTCAGGCTGGTCTCGAACTCCCGACCTCAAATGATCTGCCTACCTCAGCCTCCCAAAGTGCTGGGATTACAGGCATGAGCCACTGCACCCGGCCCATTCATCACTTTTAAATAGCACCCTCTGAACAAAGCTCCCTGGGCCACATGACCCTAAGGGTTACCCCATCCCACCCCAACCCAGGTCTGGCAGGTCCTCAGAACAGGAAAAGCTGAGCACTGCCCAAGGCTGCTTGCTGGGCCAGTCAGAGAGGTCTCTGCCTTCCAGGATCAGAAGTACAGGCTGAAAGCAGCCTTGGGCCCGCCTCCCTGGGAGGCTACAGAGGCTTCAGAGGGTTCCCTGAACTCAAAACCAGATGTGAGACTTGAATTTGACTTACCCCTGGTTCACCTCCCAACCAAAGCAGGGGTCAGCTTTGGCTCCTCCAGGAACCAGGAAGCTTCCAGGTACCCTGTGGAGCCCCCTCTGCTCCTGAAAAGTTGCCACCTGTGCTTGGTGGGATGCCAGGTGGTCTCAGATTGACCCTGGGGTCAGCGGTGAGGGACAGGAAGCCTACAGCGGGATCAGGATGGGGATGGGGCCTCCTGTCCCATGGCTCTGCAGCTATGAGGCAGCTTTCCTAGGGTGGGTCTCCTGGCTGCAGCTAAGACCAGGCAACAGGATTCAGCAATGACAGGGCTTCTTCTACTCCAGGGCTCCCTCACCTGGTTAACAGCAAAAAAGAAAATACAGTTCCTGCTAGCAAGGTCTATAGAAAGGAGGTGAAGGAGTCAGGCCTGCAGCTACCTCTCCTGGACAGGAGCTGGTCAGGATAACTTGGACCCTTGCATGCGGCAGGCCCACAGGCACACAGCATGAGGCCACTCTCTCCCCCGGGGGAAGGGCTTGGTGAAGAAAGGATTCCCCTGAAGCACAAAGAAAGCACAGGACCACTGTGAAATTTCAAGACAACTTTATCCAGACAGGCGCCTCTCAAATAGAACACAGGGAAGTTAGGCAGCAGTTACTAAAATACAGTCTCGCCAAATGATTTACAACAGAACACAACAGGAGCAGGGGATCTGTGGGTGGGGCTGGGCTGGGCCCTCTATCTCACAGGGCCTGAGTCAAGCCAGCCCGCCCTGCAAGGCAGGGGCTGACCTGCAAGCGGAGATCTCACTTCCTCTTACCCCAAATTCATACCTCCATTTTCCCCGCCCCCATCTCTCCCCAGGGTCCTCAAGTGGGAAAGGGAGAGGTAGCATCCCTCGGATCCAGGCCCACTCCACTCCGTCTCCGGCACCAGTGGGCAGGCTGAGTCTGGGCCTCAAGGGGCCCTGGGCTTAGGGTATCTATGGCAGTAGGAAAATGACATGGACAGGCTCTTCAGGGGTAGGCTAAAGTCCTCTGGCCAGCAGTACCCAGAGAAAATGGGCAGCAGCAGGTAAACCAGCCAGGAGGTGGAGTCCTCTGAACCCACAGCAGACCCCACCCTCCTGCCCAGCCCCTGCCCACATTGGGGGTCAGGACCACTGAGACTCTGGTCAGGACAGTGGGTGCTCTCAGCAGTGTGGCAAGCTCAGAGCAGAGCTCCCAAGGACCATACCACACTGGTTCAAAACCCATAGGTGACACCATCCCAGCAGAAGCTTCCATGGGTGCTGGATCCCAGGGCTGCATCCTGAGCACAGGTGGGCAGACTGGAACATAACACTAGGACCCAAGGGATCCAGAACATTTTAGGCCCATCTCCTGGGCTGCTCCAGCCTGTTGCCATGACTTGGGCAGTGAGTGGGCCTCCTGCCAGGTGGCAGGGCACAGCTTAGACCAAACCCTTGGCCTCCCCCCTCTGCAGCTACCTCTGACCAAGAAGGAACTAGCAAGCCTATGCTGGCAAGACCATAGGTGGGGTGCTGGGAATCCTCGGGGCCGGCTGGCACCCACTCCTGGTGCTCAAGGGAGAGACCCACTTGTTCAGATGCATAGGCCTCAGGCGGTTCAAGGCAGTCTTAGAGCCACAGAGTCAAATAAAAATCAATTTTGAGAGACCACAGCACCTGCTGCTTTGATCGTGATGTTCAAGGCAAGTTGCAAGTCAAGGCAAGTGTCCCAGAGGCCCTGGGCAGCTGAGTGCACCTGTGTTTGATCTTCCCCTGATGATGGACACTCCCAGCTGACCATCCAAACACCAGGAAAACATCCCCCTTTCCTGGGCTCAGTTCCTAGTCTACTTGCTGGTACGAACCCAACCCACACACTCCCCGCCCACAATGCAGCTCCTTCCAAATCCTCCCACAAGCCACCTTTGTGGGACTTGGAAGCTGCTTAGGATGGGCCCTGCCCTCTGCGGGAAGCCAATCCTAGCAGAAAGGTAAGCTAAACAACAGTCTCAGAATCTGAGACCCAGTGACTGTTCCCCCCGCCCCAGGCCTTGGGCCTGAAGTGGGGGCCTGCCTGTGGCCTCTGTGGTGGGCTCACTCCCACCCCCAACAGTGGCCCCAGGAGAGGCTTTCCCAAGAGTCTTCAAACTCCACCCACCCCAGCCCTAGCATCAGGGACTCCCCACCCCCCACTGGAGTGTTAATATCATTAATGTACAAATAAGATCCAAAGATATACCAAAGATCGAGAAACAGCTGGCTCCGACCTCCCTCCCACAGAGCCTTCCCAGGGTTAGCTGAAAAAGAGCCCTTTGGCATCTACAGAAGCCAGTCGGAGTTTATGGTTTCATTTGCCCAAAAATACACCTTTGGGGACCTCAAATTCTTTCCAAGAATCACTACCACACATATGAATTTGAACATTCGCCACCCTTCCACCATCCATTTCTCGCAGGAACTTCAAAATAAAAATGGCCAGTCTGCCCCCACTCTGGCTCCTCGTCTATGGCTGTCTCTTCTTTTCCAGGGGCTGCAGTTCTGATGTGAATGATGGTGCCATTCCAGCATTGGGCCTCTGGCAGGCTGCATCACATGATGGCACAGCATGAGTTTTGTTTCCGGGCCTTGGAAAAAAACAAAGAGGAGCTGAGAAGGAGGACTGACGAAGTAAGGGAAGCCCCAATCCTGGCAGGCGTGGCAGAGGGAGCTCCACAGGACACAGCCAGGCAGAGAAACTAGCACTAGAACAGGGTGGGGGTGGAGGCCTTGAGGGAAGCTGTCCACAAGCAATTCCCATCACCAAGCACAAGGCGGGCCCCGGCTTCCAAAACTAGTCTGGGATCCTTTTTCCTTTCTTTTCTCACACCCCATTAATGCTATCAAAAAGTGAGTAAAATTCCTACAGTTAGGCCAGGTACAAACAAAGGACCAATAATACAAATGGGATTGGCAGAATATCTTAACTTTGCCCCACTCCTGTCTTCACACAATGCTATCTGACCACCACGGTGGTGTTTCTTCCTAGAAGATGGTCCTGAGGACAACAGATGTGGTTCCCACTTGGGATGTGGTTTGTGGGGACCACTGTTGCCACCTTCTCTCTTGCTTTCTGGTCACAGACTATCTTCCTAATCCCACCTAGCCATCTCCCTCCAATGTGCACATGAAAGCAAATGTGTGTGGACAGACCAAGTAAATTTGTCCCTATGACTATCCAACCATGGGCCAACAGTGCCATCTCCACATAGGAAGACATGAGCACTGACCTGAGAGAAAGCGGCAGTCAGCAGCACCCATCCTTGTCAATTAAATATTTTCTGTCAAAGGGAAATTAAAAGCTTAAGAACCTCTTCAGGAAGGCTGAATTGCTTGCATCTTAAAGACTTATGTCTACTCAGCAGAAAGAGGAATAAGATTCAACAGTAAATCTCTGGTGATCAGAACTTGAACCAGCCTTCCTGGACTGGGAGTAGGAGTTCAGAAATCAGCCAGAGCAGCAGAGGGCAGAGCAGAGGCAGGAGTGGAACAAGGCCTCGGCCCGCATCGACTCCAACGGCGCCCAAGTGAACTGCCTCCAACCACCTGGGCCTGAGGCGCTCACCTTAGGCTCTTGCCGCACAAGGAATCATCCACCATGATTCAACAGTCTAAGAAAGACCCGTTCATAGTGGAGAGTGCCAGAAGCAGCAAGCTGCGACTGCTCTCTAGAGAGAACACCCAGGAGGCAGCAGGTGCTGGGTACTCACAGTTTTATAGAAGGCTTTAGACTGTGTTCCCAGCACCTCGGATTTGGACACCAAGTCATCTAGCTTCTCACCTCGCTCTAACAGAGACTCCATGGTGTTGTGCTGGACAAAAAAGAAAAGAGAATCCAGCTCTGTTCAGTACGTGCCCTGACATGAGCCCCTCATATTTCAGTCATGGGGGAAAGTGCCTTACCTGGGTTCCTCTCCAACACACACAAACTTCACCTCTAGGTGTCGAGACTCGGTCCAAGAATAGTTACTGTCCAAGTGGATGGAACAGAACCTGGTGACATTCCCGTGAAATCTAGAAGATCTAACTGGGATGTAGCAGACTTCCCAAAAAGCTGTCCCCAGCACAGGCTTAGATAACCAGCACTCCAGGAAAACTCATATATATATATACACACACATTTATATATACATTTGTGTGTGTGTGTGTGTGTGCACGCACATGTGCGTGTGCATGGAGCTTTGGAAAAAAGAGTAGCTGGGCACTATATGATTGTACTGGGTTGGAGAGTGACCCACACCGCACCCCCCAACCCCAACCGCATCCCAGAAATTAACATCCCCAGAATCTCTGAATGTGACCATATTTAGAAATAGGGTCTTGGCAGATGTAACTAGTTAGGAAGAGGTAATACTGGATTAGGGTGGCATCTAATTCCATGACTGATGTCCTGGTAAGAAACGGAAACACACACACAGAAGGTCACGTGACGGCAGAGGCAGAGCCTGAAGTGATGCACCTCTAATCCAAGGAATGCCAAGGATGGCCAGCAGCCACCAGAGGCTGGAGAGAGGCCTGGGACAGACACTCAGAGCCCCAAAAGACACCAGCCAGGCCCACAGAGCTATCTGTTAAAAGCAAATATTTGAGGGTTTCTGTTGACAGCAGCCACAGGAAACAAAAGGCGGTGGGAAATGGCTATTGAGCACTTGATGTGAGGCAAGTCCAAACTGAGCAGCGCTCTGAGTACAGACACACCAGATTTCAGATGCAAACTCACACATGCTTCATTAGTAAGTTTTATACTGAAAAAAAAACAAGTTTTATACCGATTACATGTTGGAAAAATTGTATTTGGATATACTGCGTTAAGTAAAATATATAATTAAATTAAATTCTACCTATTTTCCTTTTATCATTTTAAAATATGGCTCCTAGAAAATTCTAAGTTACACACATGCCCCAAATATATACCAGACAGCACTATGACAGAACATGTCCTGCCTTCTAAATGGGCTATGTCCTAAATGTCATCACTACAAACTCTGACTTAGGAAATGAAAACACTGACCCCATGGGAAGGGGTCTAGAGATGGAGACCTCACAAGAGCCAGCAGCTCTGCTGCCAGGGCCCTCAGGAAGCAGCAGCTCGCTTCTCTCCTCAGATGGCCACTGCTGCAGCAGCTAGATGCACACATGAAGCGCCATAGAACAAGGAGCCAGCAAGAATGTCCTTCATCCCTACACACAGCTGAGCGACTCAAATTTTTAACACAGAAAGTTAACTGATTCAGATATGCACACCAATCATCTAGATTTTACAACTGCAGCTAGATGAGGCTGGGTGAATAGGACTCATCCACTCCCCACCGTGGGGAGAGGAGAAACAGCGGGTGTCCCAGGTGTCATGGTACTCAGACTAGGACTTGAGCAACAGAAAGAGATGGCTTGAGGAGAAAACGGAGAAATGCCACCTAGGTGGTAAGAAAGCTCACAAGGTTTCAAAAGACACAGATACCATGAGACTTTCACATCTATCGTTCATTCCAAAGCCACGTTATTTGGAGTGCAGTCAGCACACCTGTGTTTGAAGCCCCTGGGATGCTTTTTATAAAATGCAGGTTCCCAGGCTCCATCGCAGGCCAACAACTCCAACCCCAGGAGACGCTGATGTACACACTAAAGCTATGCCTGTGTAAATGGTAAAGCTTTGTATGTGGGTTTCAATCCACTCCAGGTATCTATCAACTGCTGAGCATGGTATAAACTAGGCACTGTATCATGAGCAGGATGGAAAGATGTCCCAGTGCTCATACGCTGGTCAGGGAGACATGTAAACAAGCAGTGACAAAACTGTGACATCTGGTCAGAAAGGCCCAACCTTCAGGCGCCTGTGTGTGAGCTGGGCAAGAAAGGGTATAAGAGAGAACAGGGCCCAGTCAGGAGACTGTGAGTTAGTTTGCACTTTATCCTGGGGCGGATCTGAGAGCTGCTGAAGGGTTCTAAGTTGTGCAGATCAATGACTACTCTCTGGTGGACAGACTGGAGGTGAGCAGGAGGCAAGGGGACCACTTAGAGGCAAAGGCTGTAAGAGAAAAACCTGAGAAAAACAGATAGCTGCTTACATTCCACTTGTATGCAAAAATTTAAAAAAAAAGAGTTGAAGCAACAGTTACAAATCAGGAGATTTCAGCTCAAAATGCAGGGTTCTGGCTCTTTTCAAAGGGGCCTATGTGACAACCCTGGGCCCATATTCCAGAAGCTGCCCTGTGGTCAGTGCACGGTGCTTCAATCTGTTCACCTTCAATGCAAACGCTGCAAGGGGAGGCACCTGTGGGGTGTGGAGGCACCCGAAACCCTAACAAAGGCACCAGGGTGGGAATCCAGGTCTTCAGAAGCCAAACCCTAGGAACCCAGTAAATGGTCAGACAGGCAGTAGCCATGAGGAAGGGAGACTTGAGGGTTCCACTGGTTCCCAGCTTGGTCCCCTAGAAACAATGGGTGCCATTAACCAAGAGAAGGGTATAGGAAAGACAGTCTGATGCCCGGGGTGGGGGAAGGGGTGGGCAATCCCACTTGCTGGAGAGTGCCGTGGTTACTATTATATTAAAACGAGGATGGATCTGTGCATGCCTGGCCAGTGGAAATCGCACCCCCGCCTCAGTTCTTGGGCTTGCTCTCCATCTTCCTGCTTACCAGAATGATTTTGGTCTCATCTAGTTCGGCCTGCACTTTAGTCATGGGATCAGCTTCTCGTGGGTTCTAGGAAAGAGTGAAAAATAATAAAGTCAGGACTGGAGTGGCTACCTGCAAACAAAACCTAAAACTGAGGAAGCTGGACAAACTTTCACAGGTTAAAAACCACAGCCTGGGCCGGGCACAGTGGCTCACGCCTGTAATCCCAGCATTTTGGGAGGATGAGGCGGGTGGATCACCAGAGATCAAGAGTTCGAGACCAGCCTGACCAACATGGTGAAACCGTCTCTACTAAAAATACAAAAATTAGCCAGGCGTGGTGGCACATGCCTGTAATCCCAGCTACTCGGGAGGCTGAGGCAGGAGAATCGCTTGAACCCAGGAGGTGCAGGTTGAGTGAGCCGAGATTGCGCCACTGCACTCCAGCCTGGGAAACAGAGTGAGACTCCAACTCAAAAAACAAAAAACAAAAAAAAAAACCCACAGCCTGTTTAACATGTAACAGAAACCCAAAGCCTGCCTAGAGCTTGGGTTCCCCGGTCTGAACGTAGATTCTCTGTTTTCCAAACAGTAAGGCTTGAGAGAGGACACCAGCATCAGAAGCTGTCAGAAGTAATTAGACCAGAACTATCAGGGCAGTTGGCTTTTTCAGTTTCACATGGATTCTGGGCCACATGGTGTCTGCTGAAGCTTCCTTTAACCCTACCTGGTATCTACTGAGGTGACCATCCAGGGCTGGGTAATGGATTGTAGCAGGGGATCCTACTGGCCAGTCTATCCTGTCGACTTGCTTGGAGAATTCATCTAGTACCTGCAAGACAAAGGAGACTCAACAAGCCTCCCACTGTGCACTCACCAGTGGTCTCAATGACAGGGCTTCACCCCTGAGCACCTCACCCTGAATGAGGCTCCTTGGCCTTCACAGCCCAGGAAGGAGGAATGAGGGGGACATATAATGGCAACAGAGAAAATCTAGGCTAAAGTTCTTTCCAAATTTTTATCATTAAAACATATCCTAAATATTCTGAGAATCAAAAGTATGCCCAGCCCGAGATGAACCTCACTTGGGGAGTAATAAAGGTATTTGAATTTTAAACTACAGATTTCCAGAAAAAAGGGGCACTGGTCCTCTAATTTTCCAAAGCAATTTTTTAAAAAAGAGAATTAGGTCCCCTAGATTTAAGAAACCACCAGATTCCATGTGTTTGGAGGTATTTTGGTGCTCTGGGGTATAGGATGAAGCCTCTGACTTCAAAGAGTTAATATTAGTAATTAGCACCGTACGCAAAAAAATTTAAAGAATGCTTAGGTGCTAAGCTCTGTGGTGCAACTGACTGACATCAAGGTAGAGGGATGCAGCAACTGCAGGAGGCAATGGGGAGAGTGAAGGCATTCAAGAGGGAGACTCCTTGAGCAGAAGCACAGGGGGCGAGAACACAAGGCACAGCTGTCTCCGAGGGTCCCATCCCAGAGAATAGATGCTATGACTCAGTGGCCTAGACCCAGCTCACATGAGGGACAGCACCGGGGAGGAAACCCATACAGGGATGCCAAATTGTCTCTTGGGTTGCAGGGAAGGGGGCTGAAAAATGTGTTGACTTTGGACACATCATTTCATCCCTTATGTCTCAGGGACTGCCATCAACCCCTGTCCCAGTCCATAAATGTGCCCATTCATCATCCAAGTCCAGGAGAGGCAAATAAAAAACTCACCTTCTCCAGCAAGGTAAAGGCCACCCGGGATGGGTATTCATTGTCAGCAATGACCACACCTGCAAGACTATCATTCCGGACGTAGACGTGGCACAGATAGTCTAAGGAGACAAGAGATCAGACACATGGATGCTGACATGAGGGCTTCAGACTTCTTTTAATCCCCCCAAATCAAAGCATCCAATGTTAGGCCAAATGAAGCCACTCGGAAGCTCAATAGCTCTGGGCAAGTCTTGTGGAGAGGCTTAGCAGCACAGCCCAATGGGCCACACACAGGAGCTTGGCCCAACGCCTGCTTTAGGACCAGTAAATACCCAGAGGCCCAGTATGCAAAGCCAGGGCTTAAAGAAACAGCCAGTGGTGCAGAAAACACACCCTTGACAACATGGCCCCAGGAGCATTTCCAAGTGTATTCCTTAAGCTCGGGTCAGGCCAAGCTATATCTTAGGGATCTGGAGCCCTTGGGGCTCTGTGCTGCTCCCAAACTTAGGGAACCCTGGACAAGCCAAGAGGCCTCTGCTTTCTTAAAAAATCTTTTCAGAGCAGCCAAAAGACAGGAAATTACCCCCCAGGGCCTCAGTCTTCCATATTATAGCAACCTGCTGGGTTTGCTCCACTCTGGTGGGTGACTGGGAGTAGGGGGGTTAGTCTAGAAAAAGATTAGCTACTGCCAGCTAAGGCCTCCAGAGCACTGTGCTAAAATCCTCATATGATTGAAAGGTACAGTTGTACAGGTCTTCCGCAAAATATTCACAATCCACAGGATTGTTCATTTCCATCACTTTGAAAGGATTCAGAGTTGATACAGCTAACCATATCCCCAAGGAAAGAGAAATGTAAGGATTACAGCTTACAAATAAGAACCTTCTTGTCCTTAAGGATCTGACCCAGAAGATTCCAATGCTAAACAACAGAAAAACAAATAAAAGAGGAGGGAATGATGGTGAGCCCCTGAAATCAGAAAAGAGCAGAGATAAATGAGAACAAGAATGAGGAGGAGGAAGAGGACAGGGGGTTGTCACCAATGCTCTCCAGATTTTGTATACCATCCCCAATTAAGATTCAAACATGGGGTCAAAGTGCATACCCTCCAAAGAAACTGAGAACCTGGTCAGTGGAGGAATTGTCTTTAAGTAATAAACGTGGGAAGGGCAGGCACAGTTTGAAGAACAGAGCAAGAACACTGAAATATTTGTGATGCGATTTCACTTCTATGATGTTAATAGCACAGAGATCCCACATAAAGTGTATATAGTCAATCCTGCCTGTATCATAACTGACATTTATATCATCAATTCAGTAACTCTATGTCACGTGACTTGAGGTTAGCATAAGTGTGAGATGATCTTTGTCCCTACCTGATGAAACTCATGTAACTCTTTCCTGATCTGTCTGTATAACATACACATCTAAATAAATGCCTAAACCTGAATTATCAGAAAGAAAAAATAGTTTTTTCAGATTCCTGATCAAAAAATCTACGATGCACAGAATACATATAGTACCTCAACAGTGCTAGCTGGAAATCCTTTTTTGAGGGGTCTGCAACTCTGAAGAGGATAGGGAAGAATACGATATGAAGGCTGCTTACTGCTCCAAAAGAGTCAGACCCTAATCTTAAATGAGTCTAAGTTTGAGGGCAATTTTATCTGGGAAGCTCAGACTTCAACAGTGGGCACAGAATTCTGCATAAATAGGAAAAGGAAGAGGTGGGAAAGAGAGAACAAGCTAGAGGAGGAGTAGGGTCCCAGTAGAAAGGAGAAAGCTGGGTGCTATGTGAGGTGAGGCATGGCAGCCAGGCCAGCACACGCACAGAAGTTGGAGGGTCTTCTTACCTTGTTCTTTGACAGAAGCTCTAGTGCCTTTCGATGAGCGCTCCACAATCAGTTGACTCGTGAAGGTCATGAATTCCTGAACGCTAAGAAACACAAAATGTATTTATTGCCTACTTCTTATCACCTTGTCCCCAACACAGTGGAAAGTGACCTCTGGGCTTATACATTAAGTAGACATTGCTTCTTGGTTTCATTCCTTTCCCTCCCATCCCTAGTAACAAACACTCTATAAATGAGCACAAATACTGATAATTATGAATTATCATCACCATGAAAGCTCCATCTGTTTGCTACCTGGCTCACCAAAACAGGTGAATTTTCTGGGGGGTTTTTCCACAGGATACAGTCAATTTTACATTTTGGTGAATGCATAATTTGGAATGCAATGGAAAAACAAGAGGCAGGTCCTGCTCTCAAGGTCCCAATAACTTCCAAGAAGCAGGACATTTATAAGAACTGCACTAGAAGAATAGTGTGCAAAAACTGTCAGGCAGAAATGCACAACCATTTATGGCTGTGTCCACATGACAGACCCTCGCAATGCCACATACACCCATAGTGAGTGCTGGCTCAGGTCTGCTGGGGCTCGTCCACAGAACGAGCGCAAGACACTCTGGATGGAACAAAAGGAAAACTGCTCATCCAAGACAAAGAAGTGGGAAATGGCTCATACAAAGGGTGAAAGGGAGAAGGTCCATCATGGGCTCAACAGAGAGATCTATCCAGAACAGAACAGTCACAGGAGATGGTACAGCCAGAGGAAGAGGTGCTGACAAGGAGCCTCCAACTGAGGATGTGATATAAAGGGCAACCAGGGCCATCAAAGCAGGGTGCTCAAATGGGAGTCTGCAGCAGGCTCCAGCAGAGCCATATAGGTAACTGAAGGCCTGACTCTGGGCCTGTGTGCTGTGCCTCCACATTAAAAAAATCAAGATTTGTGCAACAGTTAAACGAGGTAATACGTGTAAAGCACTTGGAACAATGCCTGCACACACAGTATTACTTGTTAATATCTTGAGGGACTGAAGTGATCAAAATAACCCCTCAGAAAAGAAGACCTCAAACAAGGAAGGCTTTGCAGTAAACCTAGAGACAGCATTTGAGACACGGCTATAAAGAGACAAAGGAAGAACTGCATTGTGACAGCATGTATACAAAGACCAAAAAAGCTGGGAAACTACTTTTTCAACTTTGGAATCGGGTAATTATAGGGCACAAAGGACGTAAGTAAAGCGGTCTTATAAGAAAACAAGCTCAGGCCGGACGTGGTGGCTCAAGCCTGTAATCCTAGCACTTTGGGAGGCCAAGGCAGGCGGATCACTTGAGCTCAGGAGTTCGAGACCAGCCTGGCTAACATGGTAAAACCCCATCTCTACTAAAAATACAAAAATTAGCCGGGTGTGGTGGTGCGCGCCTGTAATCCCAGCTACTTGGGAGGCTGAGGCAGGAGAATCACTTGAACCCAGGAGGCGGAGGTTGCAGTGAGCTGACACTGTGCCACTGCACTCCAGCCTGGGTGACAGAGCAAGACTCCATCTAAAATAAAATAAATAAATAAATAAATCAGCTGGGACATGTGTTGTTTTAAGACATATTAGTAGAGATGTCCCTTTAGTGTTGCAGCTGTTAGTCATTGGAAACTAGTGTGGGCATCCCAAGCAGGTGAGGTATAAGTCCTACAAGTGAAATCTCTGAGAATCTTAAGTACTAATGGGAAGGAAAAAGGAAAAAGAATCAGAGCCAAGTTGGCACCAAAAGTTCCATCTGAGAAAAGCAACAACACAGAGCAGTGAATGTAGGCCATGGTAAAGACTGCAAAGACCAAGAACCCCAAGAAGGAGCTAAAAGATAATGCAGCAATTCCGCTTCTGGGTAAATACCAAAAAAATGCGAGCAGGGTCTTGAAGAGATATTTGTACATCCATGTTCATAGCAGTATCATTCACAATGGCTGAAATGTGGAAGCAACCCAGGTGTCCACTGACAGATGAACAGATAAGCAAAATGTGGTGAATAATACAATGGATTATTCAGCCTTAAAAAGGAAAGAAATTCTGATATATGCAACAAGATGCATGAGCCTTGAGGACATTATGCTACATGAAATAAGCCAGACACACAAAAACTATATGATTCCATTTATCTAAGGTCGCCAGAAAAGTCAAAATCACAGAGACAAATTAGAATGGCAGTTGCCATGGGCTGGGGGAGAAGGGAATGTGTTTAATAGACACGAATTTGATAAAAAGGAGTTCTGGAGACGATTGACAGTGATGGCTGCACAACACTATCAATCTATTTCATATCAATGCACTCACTACACGCTTAAAGATAGTGAAGATAAATTTTGTGTACCATTTTACCACAATTAAAAATATTTTTTTAAAAGAACTCAAAGAAGCAGAAAGTTTCAACAAAATAACATTTTTTTTTTTTTACATCCAGCAAGTCCTTGGCAAAGAACTCTCATCAAGAACCAGCTGCACTGAAGCAGGGAAAACAGAATCCAAACGGCAGATTCCATCAGATTTTGAGACAAGATGACCATAGATACCGACCATGTAGGGTCCTCCTTCTTTCGTGCCTGAGTCACCCCAATCCCTCCCACGAATGGTCTGGAAGTGTCTGTGTTACTTCTAACACGTTCCAGCAATTAAAGCGCCCCAGAAACAAGTAAAAGCCTGTAAGCCCTACAGATCCCATGCTTCATTTGCATCTTCCGTGTGGAATCCTTTTGTACCACTAGTGTCCAACTAAAAAGCGTTAAACCTGGCTTTCAGTTCTAGCTGGTTGTGATATAACCTCTTGGTACCTCAGTGACTTCACCCATTAAAAACAAACAAAAAAAAGTATATCACTATCTCTCATACAGAATTGTTGGGAAGCCCCGCAAGAAAATCAAAATATGGCTCTCAAGATGCGGCACCCAAGCTCCCAGAGTCAGAATCACTGGGTGGGAAGTGTTGGTCTAAAATATAAATACCGAGGCCTCAATCTACTAATTCAGAACATCTTGGCATGAAGCTTGGAAATCTGCACTACTTCACAGTCTCCTTAAAATTTTTACACGACAGAAATTTGAAAAACACTGAGTAGAGAACTATATTCTAGAATGGTATAAGCTCTTAAAGAGCTAATGTTGGTTCCTCAAAGGTAGAGTCCACGGCCAGATTCCATTATAGGAGACCAAGCCCGGACAGCAGACCCCGGGCCCTCCCCACCCCGCCCCGCCTCTGACTCGGACACCAGCCTTCTCAGACCCCGGGCACTCGGCCACCCCGCCCTGCCCCTACCCTTGGCCTCCTCCACCCTCCCCTCATCCCTCCGCCGACCCCAGGCCCACTCCGACTCGGACCCCCACCCCAGTCCTCTCCGCCCGACCGCCACGGCCCACCAGCCTGTGCCGCTCACCTGGATCTCTGGAAAAAGCTGAAGGAAGACACATCGTATGCGGCTTTGAGCAGCACCACCTTGGCCTCGCCTTTGTAGAGGACGCTGAGGCTGTACAGCTTCATGGCTCCGCGCCCTCAGGCCGCCCGCCTGCCCAGCTGCGGGACCCGTTCTCAGGGAGCAGCGCGGCCGCCGCCCCTCGGGACCGCCGCCGCCTACCGGCCTCTCAGCAGCCGGCTGCTGACGGGGCCACCGCCGGCTTCCTCCTCCTGGCTCGCAATCCACTTCCGGATCCGGTCAGCCTGGTTGAGGGTTCTCATACTCCGGATGCAGAAATGTGAGCCCGGAAGTACAATGCAGCGAGGGGCGGGATGCCACGCCTCGCGTAAGCTTGGCCCCTCCCTGCTCGCCAGGTGGAGTCGGGCGCGCGGCGGGATACCGTACTGTCTTGTGCTGGGTGGTGCTGGGCCTCCCACAGCGGCCTGAACCCTTCTTTTTTTTTTTTTTCTTTTCTTTCTTTTTTTAAAGTAAGCATTTTTTTTATTATTATACTTTAAGTTTTAGGGTACATGTGCACAACGTGCAGGTTTGTTACATATGTATACATGTGCCATGTTGGTGTGCTGCACCCATTAACTCGTCATTTAGCATTAAGTATATCTCCTAATGCTATCCCTCCCCCCTCCCCCCACCCCACAACAGTCCCCGGTGTGTGATGTTCGCCTTCCTGTGTCCATGTGTTCTTATTGTTCAATTCCCACCTATGAGTGAGAACATGCGGTGTTTGGTTTTTTGTCCTTGCAATAGTTTGCTGAGAATGATGGTTTCCAGCTTCATCCATGTCCCTACAAAGGACATGAACTCATCATTTTTTATGGCTGCATAGTATTCCATGGTGTATATGTGCCACATTTTAGGAGGAGCTTGTACCATTCCTTCTGAAACTATTCCAATCAAAAGAAAAAGAGAGAATCCTCCCTAACTCATTTTATGAGGCCAGCATCATCCTGATACCAAAGGGTGGCAGAGAGAGACACAACAAAAAAAGAATTTTAGACCAATATCCTTGATGAACATTGAAGCAAAAATCCTCAGTAAAATACTGGCAAACCGAATCCAGCAACACATCAAAAAGCTTATCCACCATGATCAAGTGGGCTTCATCCCTGGGATGCAAGGCTGGTTCAACATACGAAAATCAGTAAACGTAATCCAGCATATAAACAGAACCAAAGACAAAAACCACATGATTATCTCAATAGATGCAGAAAAGGCCTTTGACAAAATTCAACAACCCTCATGCTAAAAACTCTCAATAAATTAGGTATTGATGGGACGTATCTCAAAATAATAAGAGCTATCTATGACAAACCCACAGCCAATATCATACTGAATGGACAAAAACTGGAAGCATTCCCTTTGAAAACTGGCACAAGACTGGGATGCCCTCTCTCACCACTCCTTTTCAACATAGTGTTGGAAGTTCTGGCCAGGGCAATCAGGTAGGAGAAGGAAATAAAGGGTATTCAATTAAGAAAAGAGGAAGTCAAATTGTCCCTGTTTGCAGATGACATGATTGTATATCTAGAAAACCCCATCGTCTCAGCCCAAAATCTCCTTAAGCTGATAAGCAACTTCAGCAAAGTCTCAGGATACAAAATCAATGTGCAAAAATCACAAGCAGTCTTATACACCAATAACAGACAGAGAGCCAAATCATGAGTGAACTCCCATTCACAATTGCTTCAAAGAGAATAAAATACCTAGGAATCCAACTTACAAGGGATGTGAAGGACCTCTTCAAGGAGAACTACAAACGACTGCTCAATGAAATAAAAGAGGATACAAACAAATGGAAGAACATTCCATGCTCATGGGTAGGAAGAATCAGTATCGTGAAAATGGCCATACTGCCCAAGGTAATTTATAGATTCAATGCCATCCCTATCAAGCTACCAATGACTTTCTTCACAGAATTGGAAAAAACTAAAGTTCATATGGAACCAAAAAAGAGCCCGCATTGCCAAGTCAATCCTAAGCCAAAAGAACAAAGCTGGAGGCATCACACTACCTGACTTCTAACTATACTACAAGGCTACAGTAACCAAAACAGCATGCTACTGGTACCAAAACAGAGATATAGAGCAATGGAACAGAACAGAGCCCTCAGAAATAATGCCGCATATCTACAAGCATCTGATCTTTGACAAACCTGACAAAAACAAGCAATGGGGAAAGGATTCCCTATTTAATAAATGGTGCTGGGAAAACTGGCTAGCCATATGTAGAAAGCTGAAACTGGATCCCTTCCTTACACCTTATACAAAAATTAATTCAAGATGGATTAAAGACTTACATGTTAGACCTAAAACCATAAAAACCCTAGAAGAAAACCTAGGCAATACCATTCAGGACATAGGCATGGGCAAGGACTTCATGTCTAAAACACCAAAAGCAATGGCAACAAAAGCCAAAATTGACAAATGGGATCTAATTAAACTAAAGAGCTTCTGCACAGCAAAAGAAACTACCATCAGAGTGAACAGGCAACCTACAGAATGGGAGAAAATTTTTGCAACCTACTCATCTGACAAAGGGCTAATATCCAGAATCTACAATGAACTCAAACAAATTTACAAGAAAAAAACAAACAACCCCATCAACAAATGGGCGAAGGATATGAACAGACACTTCTCAAAAGAAGACATTTATGTAGCCAAAAAACACATGAAAAAATGCTCATCATCACTGGCCATCAGAGAAATGCAAATCAAAACCACAATGAGATACCATCTCACACCAGTTAGAATGGTGATCATTAAAAAGTCAGGAAACAACAGGTGCTGGAGAGGATGTGGAGAAATAGGAACACTTTTACACTGTTCGTGGGACTGTAAACTAGTTCAACCATTGTGGAAGTCAGTGTGGCGATTCCTCAGGGATCTAGAACTGGAAATACCATTTGACCCAGCCATCCCATTACTAGGTATATACCCAAAGGATTATAAATCATGCTGCTATAAGGACACATGCACACGTATGTTTATTGTGGCACTGTTCACAATAGCAAAGACTTGGAACCAACCCAAATGAACCCTTCTTTTTGCTTGCGTTGTTGAAAGAAGGCAAGTCTATGGATAGGAATGAGTGAGGCACAGCTCCCTGAGGATGCCATATCTTGCCCGTTTCTTGTGTATTAAGTGACATCACGTGTTACCAAACTAAACCGGCTGCATTTGCCTGCGCACAACATAAAACCAAACACCCAAGCATTGGATTTTTGTAGCAAGAAAGATGTATTGCCAAGCAGCCTTGCAAGGGGACAGAAGACGGGCTCAAATCTGTCTCCCAATACTTGCTTCGCAGCAGTAGATTTAAGGGAGAGATTTTGGAAGTGGAGTTTCGGGCTGGACGGTGATTGGCTGAAACGAAGAAGTGTTTAGAAAATCTCTTGGTCATGAGCTGTTGCTTCTTCATGCTGCTTCAAGGGTCACATGCAGATTCAGGAGGTGGTATAAAACAAGCTGTGGGAATTTGGGCTGTGACATCAAAGGGCCGCTCCTCGGGCTAGTAAGTCTATTTTGCACAGGCTCCAGTCAGCCATATTGGTTCCAACCTGTTCCAGCAAGTTGTATAAGCAGAGGGGATTATAGCAAACTGTTTCCTTATCGGCTGCCCTGCAAGACAAGCTCAAGATTTCTGTTAGTTACCAGTTTCTTTAACCCTGTCGGGCACAGTTTCACATGTAATCAGAAAGGAACTTGCAAGACACATACAACTGAAAGAAACTTGGTCTTTGGAAGTTGTCAGTAAGGTCACAAAGTTGTGATGCTAGAAGCAGCCGTATCTGAGATTATGGGAAAGAGATGATATATTGGAAAAACAACAGCATCACTTTAAACATTACTCTAAATCAAGGTTTCTCAACCTTGGCACTATTGACATTTTGGGTTAGATAGTTCTTTCTTGTTGGGAGACTGCCCTGTACATTGTGTAGGCAGCATCTCAGGCCTTTGTAGAAATGTCAGTACCAACCCACCCCCTCCCCACTGCACAATCAAAAACGTCAAAATGTCCTTTGGGAGCAGTAGTTTTGAGAAACATTGCTTTGCAGATATATATGTTTGTTTGTTTGTTTTGCTTTGTGACAGGGTCTTACTCTGTTGCCCAGGCAGAAGTGCAATGGTGTGATCCCACTCACTGCAACCTCTGCCTCCCAGGTTCAAGCGATTCTCATGCCTCAGCCTCCCGAGTAGCTGGGATTACAGGAATGCATCCATACACGCGGCTAATTTTTGTATTTTTAATAGAGATGGGATTTCACCATGTTGGCCAGGCTGGTCTGAAACTCCTGGCCTCATGTGATCCACCCACCTCGACCTCCCAAATTGCTGGGATTACAAGCTTAAGCCACTGCGCCCAGCTGAGAAACATTGCTTTAAATAATCTGTGGTGAAAGGAAGTTCCCACCACCTGCCCACTCACTCAGTACCTCTGTCACCAACCCTCTTCCCTGGGTGTTTCCAAGTACAGAGGGTGGAAAGGGCTTTTCCACATTTCCCCTGTTTTGGTAGTAAACATTAGGAACAGCCATTGGCCGTGGCTAGGCTCAGCCACCCACAGATATGGACACAGTAGTCTGACAAGCTGGGTTGCTGGGTGCTATCAGTCCAGGCTCAACTGCTTGCACTGACACCATTTCCCTATAGGAGGCAGGTGAGAGCCATTTCTGAGGAAAGTCTCTGGAGCCCCTCTTCCTTCCACTGAAAGTTGTGCAAAAAGATCAGGAAGACAGCGCTTGGATGGAATAAATTTCAGTGTATCCACTTGACACATTATAGTGGCTGTCCCAAAGTTTACCTTATGCCAAGTACTTTCCATGTGCCACATCATTTAATCCTCACAAAAACAGGGGAAAATATTATTGCCACCCTACAGACATAGAGACTGAGATTCAATTTAAGGAGATGGTTGGTAAGGGACAGAGTTGGGGTTCAGATGTCAACAGTGAAATGCTTAACAAACTGTCATGCAGCCCACTCCTGGCAACTCTTCCTGCTCCTCTCTGGCCTCACTCAGCCTCTACTGTTCCAGGAAGCCTCATTCATAGTCATGTGGTTGCAGACTTCCCAAGCTCACTGTGTTACCAAAAAGCAAGACCTGCCTTCTGCTGCATCGCCCCAGCTGTCACCCAACTTGGATTCAGTCCCAGCACTGACACATCACAAAATCACAAAAGTGAGCAAACCATTACCTCCCTGAGTCTCCTTTTGTTTTTATCTATAAAACTAGAAAAATATTCTTTCCATAGGAATGTTGTTGGAAATAATAAAACATTATATTACAAGCTCTAGTCATTGTTGATGTTTAACAGGTAACAGTGATAATTATTTGTCTTCTCATTAATGAAGAAAAGGATTATTAATCATAGAGGGTGGAAGGCATCTATGGGAAGTAGAGATTTGAAGATAGGCTAAAACCCAAGTAAGGCCTCTAGATTAGATAATAGTATTGTATCTATTTTAATTTCCTGCTTTCCATCACTGTGCCATGGTTATATAAGAGAAGTCTTTGTTTATAGGAAATATACACAAGAATTTAGAAGTAAAGGGACATTGTGTCTGCAACTTACTCTTACAGGGTGTGTGTGTGTGTGTGTGTGTGTGTGTGTGAGAGAGAGAGAGAGACAGAGAGAGAGAGAGACAGAGAGAAAGAGAATGATAAAGCAAATACAGGAATCAGGATGAAGCGTATCTGTTTGTTTGTTTTGCTTTGTGACAGGGTCTTGCTCTGTTGCCCAGGCAGGAGTGCAATGGTGTGATCCCGCTCACTGCAACCTCTGCCTCCCAGGTTCAAGCGATTCTCATGCTTGTATTGTTCTTGCACCTGTTCTGCAAGTACAACATTGTGGGAATGGAAAATGCAGGAAATGGGCAGTAAGGCTATGAACGAAGCCCGCACAGGAGTGTGGGTAGCAGAGTTCTCTAGTCCAGGCTCCCACCTGAGGTGCTGGGACCTAGAAGAAAAGCCTCTCTGCAGACAGAACTGGAGTTAACGCTGTCCACGATAAATGGCCCAGGCCCTGTTAAGTTTGCCCCATTGAGCAAAACAAGTACCCACCCGCCTTTGCAGCCTTGCCTAGCTCACATAAGGTGCCAGCCCTTGCTGTACAGCAGAACCTTTGGGGAGCTGGACAAAAGCCTATCAAGGAGCATACCCCCAGGAAGCCCAGTCCAGGTGGGGAGCCCAGCCACACAATGGCCCTTGCCCCCACACCTCCTCATTCAGTCAGCTAAGGCCATGGCAGCTGAGCTGCCTCCACAGCTCATATAGGAAAAGGGTGTGGAAAGGGGCCACCAATGTGGTCAGGCCTCCATGGCCTGAGTAGGTCACCAAGCCTCAGGTGCACAGACTTGATGTCATCAATCAGGGTCTGTCAGCACACCTAGCCCTCAGGAACACTGCTCCCCACTGCAACCCCACACCAAGGCATCCTGGGCTCCCTCTGGGTTCTCCAGGCCCCAGGGAAGACAGACAGAGTCTGCCACCAAAGGTTTGAGCTCTGCCACTGGCTACGAAGCAATAGGGGATGTCAGAGCAAGGGAGGAACAGGACAGGAGTATACGTGGGCAGGAAGGGATTACAGCCAAGGAAGACAGGAGGCAGGTGCCCTGATTTTGAGGCTGTGCCCCAGCAGGGGCTTCCCAGAAGCTGTATTTGTCCTAAGACACCCCTCTGCAGCTGAGGGGCTAGAGATGGATATGTAGCTGTGTTAGGCCATTCTTGCATTGCTATAAAGAAATACCTGAGACCAGGTAATTTATAAAGAAAAGAGGTTTCATTGGTTCACAGTTCTGCTGGCTTTGCAAGAGGCATGGTGCTGGCATCTGCTCAGCCTTTGAGGAGGCCTCAGGAAACTTACAGTCATGGCGGAAGGCAAAGGGGAAGCAGGCACATCACACAGTGGAAGCAGGAGTGAGAGAGAGAGAGGCACTGGGAGGTGCCACACTTTTAAACAACCAGATCTCGTGTGAACTCAGAGCAAGAGCTGACTCATCACCAAGGGGATGGCCCAAGCCATTCATGAGGGATCCACCCCCATGACTCAGACACCTCCCACCAGGCCCCACCTCCAATATTGGGGATTACAATTCAGATGAGATTTGGTGGGGACACATATCCAAACCATATCAGTTATCAGTAGCCATACTGGATGAATGCCAGGAACTTAGAATTAGGACACATGGTCATTTAGGCAAGTGGCTTGTCCTGTCAATGGTACCCTGATAGTCGTGGGGTTGCCCCGTACAAAAAGCGAGAGGAAGTCTACAGAGCTGTCAAAGAGGGGCAGGTGGAAAGGCCTGCAGAGGAGTCCCCTGCTCCACAACCAGGCGTGCACCTCCCACATCCTCGGGGCTGTAGGCCCCACATGAGAGCAGAAAGAAGGATGCAGAGGAAGGCCAAGAACACAAGGTGTGCCCTTGGAAAGGCTGGGCACACCAAACACAACCTAATAAACAACAGCAATGAGCACACAGGGAAAGTACTCACAGGGAAACCATCATGAACTAGAGGCTGATCCCACACCCTGCCACATGGGGCCCCAGGCCCCAGCCTATCAACCAGTGGTCCTTATTGCCACAGCGATTGGTCTTTGGATAGGCACCTGATGCAAGCTTCAGCCAATCAACAGGCCACTCAGCTGGCCATCAGTAGGCCATCCAATCAGAGCAAAGCCCAGGACTTTCTTCGACTCTTAAGAAAAGAGAAGCAAAGTAACTGGCACAGATTGGAGAGGATCAAGGAACCCCGAGCTGGATACATACAAACTTTGGGTTAACATGGATGATTAAATACATATGTTTATGTGAACCACCTCCCAAATATGCTCCACTATAATGACACAAGACAAAGGGCAGGGGGAGACCAATTGCAAGGTGGCGCAAATGAGAGATGCTACCAAGGGTGGCGGGGGAGAGAGGGGAGCAGTTGTCAAGTTAGGAGGCAACAGGCTGAGGGACAGGGACCAGCAGACGGGGAGGGAGGGGCTGAAGCAGAAGTGTCCAGTGTCTGGAGGGATGGGGCCAGAAAGGCAAGGGGCATCCTGAAGAAGCTATACCTGGGGAGGGCAGCTCTCTCCCCACCTGCTCCCCAATTCATCAGCCAGGAATGCCCCATCCACCCCACCCCAGGGAGGAGGACAGAGGACTTTCGTTTGGGAGCATTGAATGGTTCAGAGATTCTGCAACTCTGCGGTCCCCAACTAAACTGCTCATTGTTTCAAGCAGTCCCTGTTGGGTAAATGTCCCCCATTGTAACCGGACTCGGATTCCACCGCTTGAAAGCCAAATACAAGAGGAGAGGTTTGGTGGGAGGAAAAGTGGTTTTAACTAGAGCCAGCAAACCAAGAAGATGGTGAATTGTTGTTTTAAAGCATTCAATTATCTCAAATTTTAAAATTTATCATAGGATTCTGAAAGGAAAACTTGGTATGGGACATACGTGGGAGCAGTGCAGGGTACAGGGTCTATGTGTCTTGATCCAATGGCTGTCTTGAGTATCACCTATCCTGAGGTCTGGTTGGTGTTATCTTTCCTTCGGCCAGATGGTGGTGGGTGAATTGTTTCGACTCCCCCTAAGTTGGAGGATTCCGCAGGGGTTCCGTGTCTGGTTTTTGTTTCAAGATTAGCCCCTGGAATTCCCAAATAAGCATAGAGTTAGATAAGCGGGCATGGTGCAAAGGAGTGTCTAGTGGGAAAGGGAGAGAAGCAGAGTTTCAAAGTACATTTCAAGGTTACATTTTAAGACTAAAGAAAAAGCCTTAAAATGCATTTTTAAAGCTGATTTAATGCTTGGCTACACTAGGCTGTGGCCAGTGTGCAGTGTGGCTGCTCTTGGATCAGGTGATGTTTCATCAGCTGTGTCCAGGGAGGGCAGGGCCATGTGGCAGAACCTGGGACCTCTGTGTGAGGGACTACCTTGGCCCCTGTCCTTAGCAGGAAGCTATGGTAAGGAACCCTTAGGGAGACATTAAATTGGGGAGACCGTCCCTGCCAATCCTTTAACCTCCCCAGCCTCAGCGACCTCAGTTGGAAAGTGGTGGTAATAATACTACCACTGACCAGGTGTGGTGGCCAGACATTCCACACTTTGGCTTCAGCCGCTCCCTCCCCACTCTACTGTAATCCCAGCACTTTGGGAGGAAGAGGTAGGCGGAACCTGAGGTCTGGAGTTGAGACCAGCCTGGTCAACATGGTGAAACCCCATATCTACTAAAAAGAAAGTACAAAAAATTAGCCAGGTGCAGTGGCACACGTGTGTGGTCCCAGCTACTCGTGGGTCTGAGGCATGAAAATTGTTTGAGCCTGGGAGGCAGAGGTTCCATTGAGTGGAGATCGAGCCACTGCACTCCAGCCTGGGTGATAGAACGAGATTCTGTCTCAAAAAAATAAAAATAAAATAATAATAATAATACCACTGCCTGCCACACTAAGATTGTCTGATTAGATGACAGAATGAATGCAAAAGTACTTTGTGAATCATAAATGTTTTCATCAATATTAGTTATAATGACAATTGCTCCTTCTCCTAATAAATGTATTGCCTTTCTTTAGGAATAAATATAACAAGAAATGTGTAAGATATATATGAGAAAAATAATAAAATTCACCTGAAGGACATAAAAGAAGACCAAAATAAATGAAACAACACATACTTCTAGATGAGAAAACTCAATATTATAAAGAGGTTAGTTCTCTAAAATGAATCCCTAAACCCACAAAGTCAATGTATTTCCAATGAAATTGTCAACAGCATTATTTTCCGAAGTGGGATGAGTAGTGCTAAGATTTATAAGAAAGCCAACATTCCAGAGCAGTGGGGAAGGGATTGCTTCACCACCAAATAGCCATATTAGAGATTCCCTTGCACCATACCCAAACCACCATCTCCCAGGACCCGGGAGAGCAGAAAAGAGGAATGAGAAGAAAGGCGAGGATGTGAGGTGTGCCCTCATAATGGCGGTGCACGCAGCACAAGCAATTGCAGAAAGACTAAAGTACTGAACAAATAGAAAACTTGGAAAAATATTAGAAGGAAATGTGGGAGAACATTTTTGCAATTTGGGGATTGGAAACGGTTTTCTTAACAAGATATAAAAACCCCAAAACAAGAAAACAAAGGTTGAAATTCATAAAAACTAGATACTTCTGTATGATGAAAGACACGATTAATCAAGTTGTTAAGTTTAGCAATAGACTAGGGGAGATATCATAGTATATTTAACAGACAAAGGATTAATAGATACTACAGATGAAATATAAAATAGTTTCTCCAAGTCCATAGGCAGAAGATAATCCAATAGCAACATAGTTAAGTAATGTAAACAAATCATCCTTAGAAGAAGAAATGCAATCACCAAGAAACACATGAAAAGGTGTCCAGCATTTTGCAATTCAAGCAACAATGAGGTGACAGATCGGCAAAAAACTCATAAAGATTTATCATCTGAAGGATTGGCCAAGATAAAGCCAAACTTCTCGTGTTGGCAGAAGAAACTGGTGAAGCCATGTGAAGAGGCCACGTGGTCCTGCCTACCAAGATGTAAAATGTGTACAGCATTTGAACTAGCAATTCAGCCTCCAGGAGCCATCCAGAAGAAACACTGACACACACTTAGACTCCGGTGAAATTCAAGGACTTCTGCCACAGCCTGCTTCGTAATAGTGAAAATCTGAAACTGCCTCAATGACCGTCAATAGGAAGTTGATTTTAAAGTGTTACAGCACATCTGTCTGGAGAGATCGCACTGGCCACTCCTCCTCACCCCCTCTGCTGGACCTCTGAGCGTAGGTGGCCTGGAGCTGGGTCCTGAGCCCTCTTTGGTCTATACCGACACTACCCAATATGGTAGCCACCAGTCACGCTGGACACTTGAAAAGTGGCCGATCCTGACTGAGAAGGGCCACGAGTGGGAAAAACACACCAGACCTCAGTGACTTAGGCAGAAGTATGTTTTGTTCCAGACTATTGACTGAGCCCGCAGCTGAGTTGGCTCCAGCACCCTGGCCCCCTGCTCCATCCACTCACTGGGACTCCCCACTGCACAGGGCAACCTCTCCAGGGGCACTTGGGCTGCGAAGGGGAGAGTGGGTGGCATCCCAGGCTGAAGCTTCCTGAGCAGGGCCAGAGGAGGAGCCAGTCCCTGTGGGCCTCTGTTCTGACAGTGTCAACCTCAGCCAGGCTTGTGTGGGCCAGGTGTACTGTTCTGGTTCAGATTTCAAGGAGATAGTCAGGGCAGGCCGCGCCAAAGCCCTCCGATGGGCTCCCCTACTGCCTGGCAGACCTGTCCAGCTTTGGACTCTGGCCCTGCGACCTGGAAGTCAGGCTGCCAAGAGGTCCAGGCAGTGGCCTCCACTGTGGAGGGTCTCTGGAGAGTTTACAGCCCTAGATAGGGGGGTTAGGGATGTGAGATGGTCCCAGGGGCCTGCTCCTGAGCCACGCCAAGCTGCCTGCTCCCTTTCCTCTGCTTCCAGACTCACGGGATCCTCTGCTCATCAGAACAGGAGTGTGGGAGACCCTGAGACACTGCCCCAGGATCTGAACAGGTGGCAAAGGCTTAACAGGCTAGCGGTCACTGTAGTGACAAGGCGATTGAGTGGTCACCATGGTGATGGGGATGGAGGCTCTTTGCCACCAGTCCCAGTTTTATGCATGGCAGCTCTAATGACAGGATGGTCAGCCCTGCTGAGGCCACTCCTGGTCACCATGACAACCACAGGCCCTCTCAGGAGCACAGTAAGCCCTGGCAGGAGAATCCCCCACTCCACACCTGGCTGGAGCAGGAAATGCCGAGCGGCGCCTGAGCCCCAGGGAAGCAGGCTAGGATGTGAGAGACACAGTCACCTGCAGCCTAATTACTCAAAAGCTGTCCCCAGGTCACAGAAGGGAGAGGACATTTCCCACTGAATCTGTCTGAAGGACACTAAGCCCCACAGCTCAACACAACCAGGAGAGAAAGCGCTGAGGACGCCACCCAAGCGCCCAGCAATGGCCCTGCCTGGAGAACATCCAGGCTCAGTGAGGAAGGGTCCAGAAGGGAATGCTTGCCGACTCGTTGGAGAACAATGAAAAGGAGGAAACTGTGACTGAACCTCAAACCCCAAACCAGCCCGAGGAGAACCACATTCTCCCAGGGACCCAGGGCGGGCCGTGACCCCTGCGGCGGAGAAGCCTTGGATATTTCCACTTCAGAAGCCTACTGGGGAAGGCTGAGGGGTCCCAGCTCCCCACGCTGGCTGCTGTGCAGATGCTGGACGACAGAGCCAGGATGGAGGCCGCCAAGAAGGAGAAGGTATCTCGCCCTCCATTGGGCATTCTGGGAGTGTTTGCTTGCCTGTCCCCAACATTCCATGGTTTGTTTGAGCCTCAGAATCTGATTTTATGCACAGGCTCTTTGAGAAGGGTCTTGCCAGGGGTGCCTTCTGGGGCAGGAAGGCCCCTACTGCCTGGCAGACCCATCCAGCTTTGGACTCTGGTCCTGCGACCCGGAAGTCAGGCTGCCAAGAGGTCCAGGCAGTGGCCTCCACTGGGGAGGGGCTCTGGAGAGTTTAGAGCCCTAGATGTGGGGGTTAGGGACATGAGGTCTTGTGGACAAAGCCCACTACCTGATTTTGAGACAACACTCACTAGACATGGTGACAAGTCAAAGATGCCTTGCCTCCTACCAGGAATCACTTCGCAGGGAGCCCGAGGGCTGCTGTGGCCTGCTGAGGAGTGCAGGGCAGTTACTTTTTCCAAAAACAAAGAGAAATCCAGGCATGCTCTGAGCCAGCCCTGAGCCCAGCAGTGAGCAAGGAGAGAGCTGGAGACAGGGGACTTTGCTGTGAAACACTGGGGGGAATGTGCCTGCATCACCCCAGCTGGGGGCCCAGGCAGAGTGGGGGAGAAGGGGTAAGTGGGCAGAGCCAGTCACTTTGGGCATGCTTCCCTCTCGCCTCTGTGTGAAATGACCAGGTCAGCATAAACCCCGGGCTGGCTGTGCTTCTGGCAGAGCTAATGATGTTAGGAGGAAAACAACCAACCCAAGTGAGAGGGTGCGCAGCCAGACAGCTGGACCGGCCGAGGCCCCAACCAAGTCCCAGATCTGCCTGTCACTGGTGCTATGGCAGCAATTTGGATGAGAAATCCTGCCCAAAGGGCCCCTTCAGGCCACCCGGGGAGAAGGAAGCGGCTGTCTTTGGCATGACCAGAAAGATGGCTCGGAGCTAGGGAGAGGTGGACATGTGGGCTGTGGAGATCTGGCACTTTCCCCAAACAAGGAGAGAAAGCATAGTGTGCCTATGTGTGAATGTGCTATGTGTGCATGTTTGTGCCTGTGCATACCTGCATGTGTACATGCATGTGCACATATGTGTGCACAGGGAATCACTTTAATAAAGGCCACAGCAGAGCTGTCCCTGAGCCCCTTGCATTCACAGTGGCATGTGAGTGAACCACCTTCTTAGGCTGGGCATCCAGTCTCAGACTCTGGGGCTGCCCATGCCCCATCCTTTATCTGCTCCACGTGTGAGGGGTTGCTGGTCCTGACCAGGGCCAGCTGTGAACCCCAGAATCCTGGGAAGTCACTGACATTCTTGTCAGGGCCAAGAGTGGAGCAAGGCAATGCCTCGGGCACAAACTTTAAGGGGTCACCAGAAACATCAATCATCAAGATATATGCTATTTTAAATAATCAAAATGAATGCAAAAAAAATTTATGATGGACAACATACCAAATTCTAAACAAAGGCAGGATGAGTATCACTGGCTTCTGCACTTTTCTCCACCCAGTCTACCCCTCTTCTAGTGCCTGGATCGCAGGGTGCCAAGGCCTGGATGAGGGAAGCGTGGAGCTGCAATGGCCACTCCTGTCTGCCTGTTCTGGCTGCACAGAGGACTCAGTCCTTGTCTTGGGGGAACCTATCTTGGTTTTAGGGTCATCCTAAGGATCTGATGTTTTCCAAGTGAGCTGGCTGTCCAGGCCCACCCAGGTTCAGTCCAGTCCTGTGTCTCTGGGAAGTGCTGCCCCTACCCCAAGCCAGTGTTTGACCTTGGAGCAATGAGCAATGCCCTCCTTCCACTTTCAAAGTTGTCCCCAAGACGTCAGCTGTGGTTGTCTCTGTGCAGACACCGAGGAGGAACTGTCTTCTTTCTCCTTTTGGTTGCTTTGGAGGAAAGTAAAGTGTTGCTGGTTTCCCTCTTTCTACTTCTTTGATTGAGAGCAGCCGTCTTGCCGGTACCAACCTTCCAGATCTTACCTGTGGTTGCAGGAGCCTGTGGCCTCAGTCCTGTGCCCAGTGACTTCTCCATGTGGATGTCAGCTCCTTAGGGGCAAGCCTGATTCCACTGACACTACTCCCACCCCTCATAAGCCCCTTCTTACCAGCTGCAGTTGCCTGGTACCCCACCATCGCTGACTCATTCCTTTGGCATCAAGGTTCATCCCTTACTGGGCCACCACTTCTGGGTGGCCTGAAATAGGGCCCTGGGCATCCCTCTTGGGGACCTTTTGGTCTATATTTTCACTCTCACCTCACTAAGGACAGATGAGTAAATCTGGTTAACTTTGCCTGATAGATTTGGTGACCTTTTTTCAGGAAGGAGCCTGGAAAGATGAGATTCAGGTGTATTGGTCAGCTTAGACTGCCATAAGAGAATACCATCCACTGATGGCTTAGAAACAACAGAAATCTATTTCTCACTATTCTAGAGGCTGGACGTCCAAGATCAGATGCCAGCATGGTCAGGTTGCAGGGAGGGCTCTCTTCCTGACTTGCAGACCGCCACCTTCTTGCTGTGTCCTCACATCGTGGAGAGAGAGTGAAAACAAGCTCTCTGGTGTCTCTTCTTATAAGAATGCTAATCCTATGATGGGGGCTCCCCCTCCTTACCTCATCTAAACCTAATTATCTCCCAAAGGTCTCATCTCCAGATACCATCACACTGGGGTTAGGGCTTTGACATATGAATCTGGGGGGACACAATTCAATCTGTAACACCAGGAGGGCATGCCGGGAGGAACTGACCTTCCTCCCTCCAGCTGCCCTGGACACCTTTGCCCCATTGAAGGAGCAGGCTCAGAAGTGGAATGAGGATGGAATAAGGTGCACTCCATCATGCTTACCCACATCCCTGGCAGGAATTGTCCTGGGCCCCAGCAGGAGAGATGCCCCCCCATACTGCCATGGCACCTGCTCTGAGACAGGTGTGCAGAGTGCAAAGCTCCAGGTGGCCCCCAAGCAGGTGTGCTGGGAGGAGGGGCCCGTGTGGGAGGAGCAGGCAGCGCCAAGGCCTAGCGGAGCAGTGACAGGTCCCTGACTTCAGGGAATGGGCACGCTGTGGGCAGGCAGCTGGTGTGGGGGTGAGGGCTGGGGCTGCATCTGTGGGACCAGGGCTGGGCCATCCATCATATGCCGTGTCACAACCCCAGTGCCCCTGCTGTAGCCAGGACAGGAGGCTGGGCCAGGCTGGGAGGTGACAAGAGTGGGGGCTGTCCCCAGGAGAAGCACTCTGCTGCCTGTGCCCAGGCCTCTGGGGATGAGGACCCCTCAGAAGGAGTAGCTATGTCTAGGAAGCCCCAGGGCAGGAGCAAGCCAAAGGGGACATCATTAGTGAGATCCAGGGGATCAGTGGGCCACAGAAGCCCCAGCGTGAGCCCCTCTGACTGATGCAGCTAGGCCCACACCTGCACCTGCCCACAGCAAGACCCCCAGGAGGAGAGGGGACAGATGGAGAGAGGCACAAAGTGCCCCTGGCCTCTGCCTTGAAGCCACCCCAAGGCAAGAGAGATTTGAGCCCCTGTTTAGTGACCTCCAGGGGAACATTCTGGCCCATCTGATGTGGGAAGCCCCTTGTGGAGTCTGTCATTCCTCAGCTGAGCCAGGCCTTTGGAGGCAGCCCAGGCATGTCCCCTGTGTGCTCCTATCCCTGTGTTGGGACACCTGGCCCAGCCCCTCCTTCTGCCTTTCTCTTCCCTTCCCTTCTCAGGAGTGGACACTTCCTCCTTTAGCCCCCTCACAGCTGTGTGAACTTCTCTGTATCTCTCTCTTTCTGTCTCTTTCTCCCCCTCTCTCTCTGTCTCATTGTCTCTCTGTGTGTCTGTCTGTAGTATTCTCTCTCTGTCTCTGTCACTCTGTCTCTCTCTCTCTCTGTGTCTACCTTTCTGTATTTCGCTTTGTTTCTTTTTCTCTGTGTGTGTGTGTGTGTATCTGTTTTTCTCACTCTCTCTCTGTGTCTATCTTTCTGTATTTCGCTTTGTTTCTTTTTCTGTGTGTGTGTGTGTGTATATCTGTTTTTCTCACTCTCTCAATCTCTCTCTCTCTTTCTGTCTCTCTTTTGCTGGCCTGAGCAAAGAGGGAGCCCCATCCTGATGCTACATAACCGTGAACCAGCACAGACAGAATTGTAGGAAAGTCCTGCAAGTAGAAGGATAGAAGGATGAGGGAAGAAACGCCATGTGAGTCATGACAGATCCCTTTCCAGGAGCCACTGACTCACCCTGCCTCCTGCCCTCCCACTGTGACACTATTACTCACAGACAGGCCCGGATTAAACCTATGTTCCAGGTGCCCTGTGGTTCCCACAGTGTGGCTCCCTGGGTCTGGCCTCAGGCTCCACAGGTGCCCAGCCCTGCCAAAGTCTCCAGAGCAGCTGTCCAGCTGGGGAGCTGCGGGGCCCCTTCACAGAGCGCATGGGAAGAAGTTCCATCCTACACATTACATCGAGAGGGACGTGCCTGAGAAGGGGAGCTGGAGCCCGTGCAGCCCCCTGCTTGCGTGCAGAACATAGTGTACCCTGAGCATGCCATGAAAAACACAAACGCACAAAGTTGTAAAGAAAAAAGAAATGACAGGTGGCTGTAAAATCAGTTATAGCCCACGAGAGGCCCACTAATGAGTGGTGATTTCAGCTGATTACAAAGAAATGATGGTGTTTCTGTAATGAACTAAACATGCACTCGTGCGTGCACACACGCGCACGTATAGTCACATAACTGACCAGCCCTATGCATCACTTGTTAATTACTTAGTAACTGTAACAATAATAGTTTCCAATAAGTGAGCCTTAGTCTCTGCGCAAGGGTCAGTTTATTGAGCACACGGGGGCCTTGCAGTGGGGGCAGGTGATCTGCTCCTGGGAGCCGCCAGCCTCTCCTCTCCTGCTCTTCATCTTCCTCCGTGGTGGGAAATTGTCTCACTGCTTCTACACCTGAGGCTGAACATCTCCCTTTATTTCAGTCTGAAACACATGTAAAAATATACTGGAATGAATTAAGGTTGCAATTATTGATATCAGGCAGTGAGTACATCAGGGTTTATTATACTATCTCCTTTACTTACTTCGAAGTTCTCTATTACCAAAAAATTAAAAACTATAAAAGAAAGAAAAAGGAAATGAGGCTAGATTCAACACAGATTACTCTTACCAAACCCTTCGTAGTCCCAGGAGTCCCCTAACACAAGCACTTGTGACCTGGAGTGATATTCACAGCATTCCTTACCTGGCAATACCTGAGTATTAGCCCCCCCAGTGGGATCTTTGTTGTAGACAACCAGCAACTATCAGCCCAGCCAATAAACAAGTAGGAAAGGGGAGTGCTGGAGAGGCCAAGAAGTGGGATTTTCCATGCTCCTGGGCTGTGATCCAGAGGGCACGGCTGTGAGGCTGATCTCAATGAACACTCTGTCTTGGAAGTACAGGGATCCTCTGCTACCTGAAAACGTTCTGAGTATTCACTTTCATGGATTGCAAAGTCATTTACCCAAAATTCACTCTCCAAATGAAAAGTGAGTATGATGAATCAGTATTCAAGTTCCACCTGGGTCCTGGGAGAGGGCATGGACATCATATCCCAGCTGTTCCGACAGGAGGACCCAATCTGAGTCTCACTGCCTGCCTGCATCGTTTGTCTGCTGCCAGCCTGCACAGTAGGAAGGGAAAACATGATTTGTATCTGTTTTAGGTCAGGTTCCCAAGAAGTAGAGCCTGAGATTGGAATTCTTGGAAAATGGTGTTTGCGGGAGCGCTGTCAGCAGAAGCTATAAGGAAGTTGGGGGGACAGAAAACGAGAGGTAAGAAGCCAGTCAAAAAGGCAGGTCCAGCTTAAGTCCGCCTCAGTCTGGTTCCACAAGGGCTCTGATGCATGAAGAATATCACAGGGTTGTCCCTCCTGGGAGAGGGGCCAGCCTATTGTACCTGTATCAAAGCCACCAGCTGAGGGCCAGTGGGGAGGGAAGATCTTCCAGGCATTTCCAGGAAACTCTCAGGAGAAGGGTGTAGCTGTGAGCAGTCTGCAGCTGCTGCTCACTGCGGCTAAAGGCTGGGTGTGCAGGCCAGTCAGCCAGTGAGGTGCCAACAGCAGGCACTACAGTCCACCCCTTGACTGCTCAGACCTACTGCTTTCCACTTTAAGCTCTCTCCATCCAGGCACAGCTTCAGGGAAAACTTACAATTGGAGAAACAGAGGGATGAACTACAATGCCCACTTCTGCATGTGATTGTAAGACTGTCACTGATACTCACCATCATGCCCCATCCCCACCATCCATTCTAGTGTCCCCTTCCCCTTGGCTAACACTGCTGGTCTAGGTGACTTCCCTAGAGCAGGAGCCAAACCCTTATCCCTGAGGCATCTGAATCCTGGATTCCTTTATCAGGCTATTGTTGTTGTAAGTTGTCCATTCCCAATTACAACTGGACATGAGACTACCAAGAAACACCCTGGCAAATCATCTGAGTGCAAGCCATATTCTTCCTGCTCCATTATGTAGCGGTAGTCCTACCTCCTAATGACAAGGGTAAATTGCCACATTTTGCTCCTTGTGCCAGGATGGTAATACCTTTCTCTACCTGCTTGGCTACTGGCACAAGGAAGCACAGCATGACCAGGAGGCAATTGTAGCTGTACATTTAGTGAATGTGTTAATGTATCACCTGGTGGAAGGACCCCCTCTGAGAACCAGGACTTCTAGACCCACAAAACCTAAAGTTGTGAATGGCGGAAGCACAAATTTCCCAAGTGGATCATGGAGAGTGATGAAGAGTTCTTGGTTCCCAAACCCACATATTTTACCTTTCAGGAACATGGCCTCATCCCATAGCCATTAGAGTGCATATTGCATTCTGGAGGAGACTGGGCCCTCCTCATGGGTGTCATCTTCAAGATGACAGCTCCACTGTGCCTCCAAGAGGATGCTCCACCACCCTATCTGTGATTCCTTGGTTAGCAGGACAGGCTGCTGCACTGAGGGTAGGAAAGGCAAGTCCATTGATGGCTGGAATACATGTCAATCCAAGTCAAGAGAAAATGCCGCCCTTTCCAGGTTGGAAGGGGCCCGATTTAGCCAACTTGTCACCCAGTAGTGGCTGGTTGGTCTCCTCCAGGAGCAGTGTTATACCAGGAATTCAGCACCAGTCGCTATTGCTGGCAGTTCTTACATTCAACAGCAGCAAAACTAGGTCAGCCTTGATGAGAGGGAATGTATGCTTCTGGGCACAGGCATGGCTTCCTTCTCTGACTCCATGACTATCTATTTCTGAGTGCATGGTGGCCGACATTCAGCTGCCTGCCCATCCTATCCACTTGGTTATTATTGCCTCTTCCACAAGAAGTGGTTTCTGGCTGTCATTAATGTCTCATACTTTGTGCCCACTCACACAGGTTTAGCTCTACAACTTTTCCCCATGCCACCACTTTTCCACAATCTTCTAATGTTGCTCCTTCCAAGCTACTGAAGAACGAGCTAAGCTATTCACCAATGTCCATGAGTCTATATTTACCTTAGGCCACATCTCTCTCCACACAAAGTGAATAAGCAGGTGCACCCTCCAAAACTCTACTAAGAGGATTTCTTCTCCCCAGTGTCTTTCAGGGCCACCTTGAGTGGGGCTGAAGTACAGCAGAAGTCCATTTCCAGCTTGCATCAACATTCCAAACTAACCTATCCATGATCAATGCATAGATGGGTTTTTCCCTCCTCCAGCAGCTAGACAAAAGACACCCCCCACCAGGAGGCCATATTTGCATGTGGGTGAAAGAGAGGCACAGGGGCCAATATTCGTGCAACAGTGGTAGATGGCAGGTGGGTCTGGGCCACCTGTCCCTGCAGCTTATCTGTGCCATCTGGACCTGCTCAAGCCTGATTCCAGATATACCATTTCCATCTTATGATGGATGGCTTATGACCTAGTGGGTCTGACAGCACCAAACTCATAATGGGCAGTTATGGCCACATGGTCACTTAATGTCCTATGGTCAGACACTCTGCTGAGTGGCATGCCAGGAAATGCTTTACAAGTGGTGTTTGGTTCTCTGCTGCAGATGGCATGACCTTGGTCCGGAGCCCTAGGGGTTTGGACAGTGACTCCTGTTGGGGCCTAATCTCACATTCCATGCAGAGTATCATCAGATTTGCCAATCACATAGCCTAAGGGTCAGGACTGATCCAACCAGTTTTTGCAGAGATCAAACTGGAGAATGAAAGGTTGATATGATGTGACCATCATATCACGTTTTTCTCTCTTGAAAAGTATGCAGATGTCTGAAAGAGACAAGTGCCCCAGGAGAAAATGCATGCCTTCCTCAGGATCGGCCCCCACCTCCCCTCCTGGCCACAAGGAGGGTCAAATCTCAGCATGGCCCAACTTGGACCTGTCAAGGAAGAAGAAAAAAATTGTATGCCAAAGGAACTCAGTCTTTGGCTAACAAGTACTAGACATCCTTTAAGTCTTTGAGAATGGTAATAATTTCTGCCATCCCTCCAGATTTGTGTTTTTCTGTTTTGGCTGGGTGGGAATGCAGCATTTTCACTTTGCCTTTGTTATTACAAATGTTGCTTATTCTATAAATCAAGGAACCATTGTAAGGGCTCTTCTGATGGTTAAGTATATCCATTCCAATGATTTATTCGGGATCCAAGGAAATGATTTCTGGGTGAATACACAGAACTAGTGGATCCAATTTGAGACATACCTGGGCCAGAACTATATTTGTCGTCTTACCCCAATAAGCCTGCACTCTACTAGGACAGCCATGACAGCACTTTGGGACCCTAGATATAAGTGTGAATTGCTGGCTGGGCATGGTGGCTCACGCCTGTAATCCCAGCATTTTGGGAGGCTGAGGCAGGTAGATCACCTGAGGTCAGGAGTTGAAGACCAGCCTGGCCAACACGGTGAAACCCCATCTCTACTAAAAAATACAAAAATTAGCTGGGCGTGGTGGTGGGTGCCTGTAATCCCAGCTACTCGGGAGGCTGAGGCAGGGAGAATTGCTTGAACCCAGGAGGCGGAGGTTGCAGTGAGCCAAAATCACACCACTGCACTCCAGCCTGGGTGACAGAGCGAGATTCCATCTCAAAAAAAGAAAAAAAAAAGTGTGAATTGCTATGAAATCACTATCAAAAGATCTGAGTGTTACCCTTACTCAGTGTGGTCGAATATAAATAGCCATAGGTTCCTGTTATACACACTTGCTGTGGTGCTACAGAGTCTTTCCTCATGGGAACCCAGTCCCTCTTTCAGTCAATGGGTTCTGGTTCGAGAACTGGCTGAGGTTTGGAAACTGTGCCTTTCCATCATAACTTTC